>NC_000002.12:108095678-108398708 GCF_000001405.40 Homo sapiens
GAAGAAATCCACAGAGTGAAACGAGAAAACACTCAGATGCATGAAAATAAACACATAATATACCAAAACTTACAGGGTGCATCAGAAGCAGAGCTCAGAGGGAAGTTTACAGTTGTAAATACCTACATTCAAAAAGAAGGAAGGTCTGAAATTGACAACCTAACTTTACACCTTAAGGAACTAGGATAAGAAAACTAAACCCAAAGCCAGCAGAAAGAAAACAATAAAAACTATATCAGAGATAAATGAAATAAATAATGAACAAAATATATTTTTAAAGGTTGTTTTTTTAAAAAGATCAATAAAATTGACAGGTCTTTACCTAGATTGACTATGAAAAAAAGAAAAAATTAACATTAACAAGATCAGAAATGAAAGAAAAGATATTACTACCAACATTACAAATATATATAAATAAGAAAGATTATAAGAAAATAGTATAAATAATTATATACCAACACATTATATAACTTAAATGAAATGGGCAAATTTCTATAAACACACAAGCTACAAAAATAGACTCAAGAAGAAATGTACAACCTAAATAGACTTATAACCATTAAAGAAATTGAATCGGTAAAAACCTCCCAAAAAAGAAAAGCTGGAACCAGATGGCTTCCCTGGTGACTTCTATCAATCATTTTAAGAAGAATTAAAAAGGGTTACTCTCAAATTCTTCCTAAAGAATAGAAAAGGAAATAACACTTTCTAACCTATTCTTGGAGGTCAGTATTATCTTGACACCAAAGTCAGATAAAGATCCACTACAGGAAAAGGCAACTGTAGTCCAATATCCTTTGTAAATATAGATGTAAAAATCCTCAACAAAATAGAAAAGCAAATCCGTTAGCATATGAAAAGCACTAACATCTTGACCTAGTATGATTCATCCTATAAATAAAAGAGTGGTCCAACCCATGAAAATAATCGATGTAATACACCACATAAACAAAATGAAGAAAAAATGCATTATAATTTCAATTGAAGCAAAAAAAATTTGGCAAAATGCAAACAATCTTTTATGGTAAATACACTTAACAATCTAGGAATAGAAAAGAACTTCCCCTGCCTGGTAAATGAAATTTATGAAAAATCCACAGCTAACATCATACTCAAGGGTGATGGCCTGAAAGTCTTTCCCCTAAGATCAATAACAAGACAAAAATGCTTGTTTTCAACTGAGTCATGAAGAAAAACAACTAAAAGACACCCTAATTGGAAAGGGAAAAGTAAGATTGTCTCTATTTGCACATGTCATGAGCTTATAGCTACAAAACCCTTTATAATCACAAAGAAACTATTAGAACTAATAAATTAATTCATGTTACAGAACACAAGATCAAAATACAAAAATCAGTTGTCTTTCTACACACTAGGAAACAATAATCTAAAAAGGAAATTATGAAAATAATTGTATTTACAATAGCATCCAAAAGAATAAAAATACTTAGGAATAAATTAACCAAGAAGGTAAATAACTTGTATACTTAAAACTCCAAAATATTGCTGAAATAAATCAAACAAGACCTAAATAATAGTAAGTTATATGATGGTCATGTTTTAGAAGACTTTATGTGGTAAGATCACAAAACTACCCTAGGTGATCTAAAGATTTAACCAAAATTCCAACAACATTTGTAGAAACAAAAAGCCCATCTGCAAATTTCTAGAGAATGGCAAAGATACCCAAAGAGACAAAATAATCTTGAAAAAGAACTAAGACAAAATTTACACTTCCTAATTTTAAAATGTACCATAAAGCAATGGCAATTGCTTTGTTACTGGTAGGAAGATATATAGACAAAGGAAATATAATTGAGAGTCCAAAAACAAACCTATAACCCATCTATGACCAAATGATTTTAGACAAGGATGCCGAGACCATTCAATGGGAACATCAAAGTCTTCAACAAATGGTGCTGGGACAACTTGAGAGCCACATGCAATGGGATCAATTTGTACCCTTAACTTATACTGTATATATAAATGAACTAAAAATGGATCAATGCCCCAAATGCAAGAGCTAAAACTACAAAACTCTTAGAAGAAAGTATAAATAGATCTTCAAGACCCTTGACTGTCCATGGATTTTTCATGACCCCAAAGACAAGAGCCAAAAAAAAGAAAAATTGAACTTTATCAACATTAAATATTTTTGTTCATCAAAGGAAATTATCAAGAAAGTGAAATACACTCTGCAAAATGAGAGAAAATATTTTCAAATCATCTATTTGATAAGGGTTTAGTATATAGAACATATGAAGAATTCTTACAACAACAAAAAATCAGCCATGTATTTGAATAGACATTTCTCTAAAGCGATGTGTAAATAGCTATCAGGCACTTGAAAAGATATTGAACATAATTAATCATTAGGAAAATAAAATTTAAACCCACAGTGAGATATGCTTTATACTCACTGGGATGGCTATAATAAAAATAGGGGGAAAGATGACAAATGTTCATGTAGATATGGGGAAATTGAAACTCTCATATATTGCTGGTGGGAATGTAAAATGTTTCAGCCGCTATGCAAAACAGCTTGCTGGTTTCTCAAAAAGTTAAACATAGACTTGCCCTATGACCCAGCAATTCCACTTCTAAGTGTATACCCCAAATAATTGAAAACAGATACTAAAATTCTTCTGTAAGAACGTTCATATCAGCAATATTCATAAGAGCCAGTGGGCAGAAACAACCCAAATGTACATCAGCAGACAGATGAATAAACAATATGTAGTAATACATACAATGGAATATTATCAGCTATAAAAATGAATAAAATACCAATACATGCTACAACCTGAATGAACCTTAGAAACATTATGCAGGCGGGACGCGGTGGCTCACGCCTGTAATCCCAGCACTTTGGGAGGCCGAGGCGGGCAGATCATGAGGTCAGGAGATCGAGACCATCCTGGCTAACACGGTGAAACCCCATCCCTACTAAAAATAAAAAAAAAAAAAAAAAAAAAAAAAAATTAGCTGGGCGTGATGGTGGGCGCCTGTAGTCCCAGCTCCTCGAGAGGCTGAGGTGGGAGAATGGCGTGAACCCGGGAGCTTGAACTCGGAGCTTGCAGTGAACTGAGATTGCGCCACTGCACTCCAGCCTGGGCGACAGAGCAAGACTCCATCTCAAAAAAAAAAAAAAAAAAAAAAATTATGCTAAGTGAAAGAACCCAGACACAAAAGATTGCATTTTATATTTTTCCATTAATGTGAAATATCCTGAATAAGTAAGTTCATAGAGACAGAAAGGAGATTGGTGCTTGCCAGGGGATGGGAGTAAGGGAGAATGGGAGTCAATTGTATAATGTGTTTGGGGTGTTTTTTTTTTCTGAGGTAATGAAAATATTTTAGAACTTATGTAAGTCATAGATATACAACATTGTCACTGTGCTAAATGCCAATAAATTGTACAATTTTAAATGGTTGTGATCAGCAACGAGGGGATCAGGTGTCTGGAGATGCTGTTCCAGCCTTCCTTCCTGGGCATGGAATCTTGCGGTATCCACGAGACCACCATCAACTCCAGCATGAAGTATGATGTGCATATTCGCAAAGACGTGTTGGCCAACACGGTGCTGTCCAGTGGCACCACCATGTACCTGGGGCATCACTGACAGGATGCAGAAGGAGATCACCGCCGTGGTGCCAGCACCATGAAGATCAGATCAGCGTGCCCCCAGAGCACAAGTACTCAGTGTGGATATGCTGTTCCATTCCGGCCTCACTGTCCCATCTTCCAGTAGATGTGGATTAGCAATAGGAGTACCACGAGTCAGCCCCCTTCAGAGTCTACTGCAAATGCTTCTAAATAGACTGCAAGCAGATGCTAGCATTTGCTGCACGGGTTAATTCAGAAGTATAAATTTGCCCCTGGCAAATGAATACACCTCATGCTAGCCTCACAAAACTGGAATAAACCTACAAAAAGAAACTTATCCTTGAAGCTTGTATCTGATATCAGCACTGGATTGTAGAACTTGTTGCTGATTTTGACCTTTCATTCAAGTTAACTGTTCCCCTTGGTATTTGTTTAATACCCTGTGTTAATATACTGTGGGTATGTTTGTGTACACATAAAAAAACTAAAAATATATACAGAACAGTTTTAGCATTTGACTTTTTATAATGGAATTTGTATTTTCTTCTTTATAAGTTTGCATATGATTTATTTATAGCTTGTGTTTATTTTATATTCTAAAAAATGAACTTCATTTTATTTTTTAAATGAGAATAAATTAAAAGGTTATTTTAATCATGTAAGTTAAGTGATAAGTTTTCACATTGTAAAACTCGCTAGAGCAGGTGTGCAGGTGCAAAGCAGATGTGCACATAGAGGTTTTCAGCAGCAGTCCAAGCCGATGATTGTCTAGATTAGAAATGCAGTATTGGCAGCAATGAAAAGGAAATGCATTCCAGAAATAGTAGAAAAAAATTGACAGAAATTGATATGTTTACTTATCCTCTACTCTCAAACTAGTACACATTTGGGATAAGCATAGCCACTTTTTTCTTTCCCCCATACAGATATGGAAAACTGCTGGGAATGGGCAGCATTTTAAGTCAGTAACATCATAATGTGATGAATGTGCCTCCCAGCTATTCTCCAAGCACTGAGCATGCCCTGGCACTCTGGGAGCTGAAGTAAAGAAGAGGCTAGTTCAGCGACAGAAAAATGGCCTACATGGCAATGTTCATCATGTTTAGCCCTCTCTTAAATCCCTGTCTAGCTTGTAAAGGACTGATAGACATATATTTTCATTATTAAGTATGCCCATTATTTTAACACATTTCCCTCACAAATATGTTGAATTATAGTCTTCCACAGCAGTAATTCATGACCCTCAGATATGTTGGCTTTCCAGGCCATCCTTTTCACTCTAGAAAACACGTGGAATGTGGACTGTCTGATGCAAGTTAGCTTCTTCATTTCAAGATTGAAAACTGGAAATTCATTTTCCAGAACTCCTTGGCCCTTACAATTTGCCAATAAGAACTACACATGCTGCATTAGGAAAGCAGAAGAGAAGGAAGACAGCACATAGCACTGGCAGTGGCATCCCTTGGCTTCCAGTGCTTCTCCAGAGAATCACCCACAGTGGTGCTGCAGAAGCTGGGGTCATGGTCTGTGTTTTCCCCATAACTCTCTTTAAAAAAAGATATTTTATTTCCCATTCATTTAAATAGTTATATAAAACTCTCGTTCTCTCTATTAACTGCTGAGTGGATATATTCTCACTGTTCACTTTCTAAGTGAAATTATAATCACTTGTGAGTTTTGTTTCTCATTTAAGTCTTTTCAACTATTTACAAAAATCAACATGAGTAATTACTTTCATGTTCTATAGCAATTCTAAAATATTAGTATAGTCTTCATGAAGATCCTTCATGAACAAACAGAAGGAAAATCAAAGAGGCTTACTTTCTAGAAAAAATACAGGTACACTGTATATAAAGAAATAGTATTTATGTTTGAAACTCAAATGAGTGTCATCACCAAGAGTTGCTAACAATTTTTTATTGCATGTATTTAAAGTGTACAGCACAATGATTTTATATACATATACATAGTGAAATGTTTACTACACTAAGCAAATTAACATATCCATCATCTCACGTAGTTACCTTTTTGTAGTAAGAGCACCTAAAATCTACTCTCTTAGCAAATATCCAGCATAGGATATAATCTTATTAACTGTAGTTCTCACAAGTGCAACTTTATTCCCTTTTGACCTATATCTTTCCCTCCCCACCCTCCCCACTGTAAGAGTTAAAGAAAGAGAAAAGAAACACAAAACACAGCTGACAGTTAAAGACAGGTTTTCTTTAGATAAAACGTGAGAGGTGCCTCTGGCCAATTTCGGTCAGGAGTGCTTTCTCTTACAGACTAAGAATATATATTGGTTTCAGGGTGAGGGGACTTATCACAAGCTTGGAATGTTTATGTGTGTGGAGAAGTTTATGGTGGGGCTGGAATCTTTCTGTGAGGTGGGGAAGTTATTTTGGGGCAGACATCTTTCCTGCCCAGAGTGGGGTTATCTCAGGGCTAGTATGTCTCTGGTCGGGGAGGAGTTTGGAATGTTTCTAGTTAAAGATGTTATTTGTGGTTTATGGTCGTGCTGACCTTAGCCATTAGGTTGATGCCCTTTGGATTTAAGTGTTTTTTTATTAAGGTAAACTTTAGAATGATGGGCTTGTCCAAGATGTCGATGCTCCTGCTCTGTCACCCACTGTTGGTTCCCGGTAACCACCATTTTAATTCTATTTCTGTGTATTCAAACTTTTAAAAAAAAATTATATTCCACATATAAGTGAGATGATTCAGTATTTTTCTTTTTGTGTCTGGCTTATTTTACTTAGCAGAATGTCTTTCAGGTGTAACCATGTTGTTGCAAAAGGTATGATCTCCTAAGAAAATTATTTTAGTAGCATGATGAACTAAGTTGAACAGAACAGTGACGACTGGCAATGGAGTTATTTGTTAAATAATTTATTTGGCAAAAACCTACTGAATGGCAACTAACCAAAAATGTGCAGGACTATGTGTTGGATAATGATTATGATAAATTGAATAAGCAATGGGTGCTAAAGGAATACTACATCCCACTGTAATAATAATAATTACAACAACAACAGCACTAATGCCGTGTACATATTATATGTCCAGAACTAGAATAGGCAGTCTCTATACATTATCTTATATACAACAATACTATAAGGTAAGCAGCTTTATCTTCCCCATTTCACAAATGAGGAAACAGAGATCTAGAAAGACTGTGTAACTGGCTCAATATTAAACATCTAGCAAGTGATCACACAGAGATGGGAATCCAGGCCTAACTCCAGAGCACATACAGTAGCATGCCCAGCAGTATGAACAACTTCTAAAGGAAGTGTGGGATAGGCAGGTGGCAATCAATTCCTTTTAGGGTATACTAAGGAATTCTACATAGAGAAAGTGACTTTGGACTCCAGACTACTTGAGTTTTTCTACATGCCCAAGAATGTATAGGAATTCAAGACAGAGAGACTAGAAGAGGCATAAAGATATAAAAATAAATAATATGTAGACATATCTGACTAGAAACCAGCGTGGCAGGCTACTGACTTGGGATGTGGCTTCGAAGGAAGTCAAAGTACTTCCTGAATCTAAACTAAGTTCCTTAAATGTCAGAGAGCAAAGAATAACATGCCTTATCCAGCTAAAATCTCATTAATTTTAACAACTAAATGCAATTTTGATGTATACATAAAGCTATAAAGTGGCCACAAGGGAAATATTTTCCAATAGTTTGCGTTCTTTAGCTAAATTGTTAGAAGTGGAAAGGTTTGAATTGATAGCCACATGAATACATGTTTGTCAACCGTGTTGGATGTGGTCAACACTTCTTTCGAGTTTAAGCACACATGAAATAAACAGAGTATGTATCACCTGTGATTTGAAGGTCATCAGAAAGCTCTGAACACCCGAAGTTCTTTCTACTAGCAAACTACCAAGAAAGAAATTCTCATAGTTAGAGTCACCCTTTGGGTTTAAGACAAAGTTCTCAATAAAAGCACAACTAATGGCACAAAAGAATGCAACTATGTCTACTAACAGCATACAATTTCTTTTCCGTTTCATAACTAACTTTAAAATTTAGTATAAATTGAAGATGATACACTATAACCTAGTCATAAATATGAAACAATAAATATATTAAAATATATATCATTTTTTAATATTGCTCATCACAAAGTAAATTTAACACTTCATGAAAATGAAACTTATTTATCCTATGACTCCATTAGCCTGCAATAATTGGTCATACTCCAGTTTGAGAAGTACCAGCTTAAGATGTTATGTTTAAACACTGTTTATGGAGCCATAATTGTGTCTTCTGAGGGATTAACTGGGTATTAGCTTTGAAATTAGAATAAAGGACCAGGCCAGGCTCAGTGGCTCACATCTATAATCTCAGCACTTTGAGAGGCTGAGGCAGGAGAATTACTGGAACCTAGGAGGTCGAGACTAGCCTGGGCAACACAGTGAGACCCTATCTCTACAAATAATAAAAAAAAAAAAAAAATAGCCAGGCCTGTTGGCTCGTGTCTGTGTTTCCCACTACTCGGGAGGCCAAGGCAGGAGGATCCCTTGAGCCCGGGGTTCAAGGCTGCAGTGAGCCGTGATTGTGCCACTGCACTCCAGGCTGCGTGACAGAGTGAAACCCTGTCACAAAAAAATAGAAATTAAATTAAAATGAAAAGGACCAAAAGAAGCAGGATATAGAACCTGCACATTTTAACAGGACTGGATAAAAGCTGAGTAAGGCCCTAATGACAGGGCATTGCCAAGAAGGAAGATCGTGGCATAGAGGGCTTTAGAAGAGTTTAGGGAAGAAGAGTGGAGAAGAGGAGAGAAAAGAGAGGAAAATGAAGGGGTCACTAGTTAATATCAGTATTGATCTTAGTGTGGAACCCATAGGCTGTAGCCACAAGAAAAGAGAACAATAGTTTCAACAAGGGTATTAATATAAATGGAAACATTAGACCAAAATATAAGCTTTCTCAAAGAGCAAAAACTTTATCACATTAATTAATTGCAATATATGGACTGTATTTAGATCTTTATTAAGATAAAATTTACATATTTATAAGACACTCAGGGCACTTTGAATACTGAGTAATGAATATTTGATGGTAATGAGGAGTTATTGTCTTTGTTATTATTATTGGGGTATGACAATTGTAGTGTAGTTATCTTTTTAAAATAATTCTTTAGAGAAACACTGAAATCCTTATAAATAAAATGATATGTGGATTTGATCAGAAGATGCTGGCATGAGCTGGGAAGTGAATAGGTTTATAAATTAAACAAGACTCATCATAAATAACAACATTTGAAGCTGAGAGGTGCAATTTCATGTACATAGGATTCATTATAATATTCCCTCTATTTTTGTATAGATTGTTTTCCATTAAAAATTTAAAGGAAGGGCTGGGTGTGGTGGCTCAAGCCTATAATCCCAGCACTTTGGGAGGCCAAGATGGTCAGATCATCTGAGGTCAGGAGTTCAAGACCAGCCTGGTCAACAGGGTGAAACCTGGTCTCTACTAAAAATACAAAAACTAGCCGGGCGTGGTGGTGGGCACCTGTAATCCCAGCTACTTGGGAGGCTGGGACAGGAGAATTGCTTGAACCCAGGAGGCGGAGGTTGCAGTGAGCCAAGATCATGCCATTGCACTTCAGCCTGGGTGACAAGAGTGAAACTCTGTCTAAAAAATAAAAAAATAAAAAAAAATAAGAAGGCTGAGCACAGTGGCTCACACCTGCAATCCCAGCACTTTGGGAGCCCGAGGCAGTTGGATCACTTGAGGCCAGGAGTTCGAGACTAGACTGGTCAACATGGCAAAATCCCACCTCTACTAAAGATACAAAAATTAGACGGGCAGGGTGGTGCACACCTGTAATACCAGCTACTCTGGAAGCTGAGGCACCAGAATCACTTGAACCTGGGAGGCAGAGGTTGAAGTGAGCTGAGATCACACCACTGCACTCCAGCCTGGGTGACTAAGAGAGACTCCATCGAAAAAAAAAGAATTAAAGGAAATACGTTAGTAATTGGAAGGCGAGAGTAACATTTAGAAGCTAAAGAGTACTTGTGGGAGATATGAATGGGGGAAAGTCTAAAAGAGAGGAAAAATGACAGTGTGGAAAGGGGGGATTGGGAAGAAAAAATGTCAGAATATGAGTGTTATAAGCTTATTAAGCAATCTAAGATATTAACACTTCTCAATTTTACCTAGAAAATATTCAAAACTCTTTATTAAATTTCATATGTCATAGTTTGGCCTGGGTGCGTCCTTTGTAGAAAAGCAAATACAGTTGTTTACTGCCCCCTTGCAGTTCCCTGAACAGCAAGTCAAACCATTTGCCATTCCCTGGGAGTCTGTAAGTCCTTACGTAGGGACTGACCTCTCTCCACATCAAATTGATCACCAGGTTTAGTGCTCCAAGTTCTGCCCATTGGAAGTATGGACCCCATCCAGGACTCTCAAAGCTACTCTAGTAGGGATGTAATGTGGCAGCAATCTGTTTTTTGCTCACATTAAGACATTTATTTGTGAACTAAGCATGACATTTTAAATCCTCTATTAGTTGGCTATATGGGATCTCCCACAGGTGAGAGCTGAGGGAAAAGTGTCAGTACAACAGAGGCTGTGTGTGGAGAGCTAAGCTACCTATTTCTGTCACTTCCTTGTGCCCCCTGGACTTGTCTGGACATGAGCCATAATATACTGTTTCCAATATATGATAAATTGCTGCTATGCTCACCCAACTTTAGCATTGGTTGGATGGCAGCCCCCAGTCCATGATGGGCATTCCAGTGACCTAGTCTCTTACTGTCTAATGCCAGGTAGTCTCTTCTGAGGTTTAGTTGCCCACCAGGCACTACTTTTCAAACAGTCCTGAGACAGACTATAAGGAGGGCCTGAAGGAGCTAGCTCAAGTGATGCTGTCAATATTTATATCAGGGAGGCAACCTGCAGAGATAATCAACTCTGCGTACATTAAACATTTAAATACCCATCATTTCAGCTTTCTCATGGGTGATCTTCCTTTAGAGTTTTTATCCCTACACTTTTCGGGAGCACAAGCAGCCTCAAGGGTGTAGACACTTCGCCTACAATTGACAGAAAATAAACCGGAACACTGCAGCTGAGAAATCAGAAAAACAGTAGGGAAAAGAGCCATGGCTAGTCCCAAACTTGCCTTTTTCATGCATTTTACTGAATTGAAACGGTAATTAAAGTTGTCCAGATGCTGTCGTTTCAGGGGAGCACTAAAGTAGAAAACACAAAATTGCTTTAATTGCCTTGAGGTGATTAAATTTGGAAGTAATGGGCTTTCCGTCAATCTTGGCTCCTTTTTTCAGAAGACAAACCACTAACCTTGTTGCATTCACAAGAAGATCAATCTGTATGAGCTCTGTGTGTATGTGTTTAAATAACTGCAGGCAGGTTATAAATCTAATCTACTTTTGGATTCTCAGTGACGTGCCCCCAAGCTTTCCTATTCATCCCACAATAACAAATCCCCTTCCCCGGTTCTTCCTAGCTAGCTTAGACACTTCTCACCTGGGTGCACACACAATAGCAAAACCGTGAAGTCAAAGTCTCTGAGGGAGAAAATCTTTAGGTGTCTCTAATGTGTAGAGGAGATTGATGGGGTCAGTGTTAAAGTGGCTGTCTCTAATGAGTTGAGGACTCCCATCTGTGCTATATCCTGACGTGGAGGAAGCCAGGGAGAACAGAATCAATAAGATGAGATGGCCTCTTCATCAACATTAACATAACAGTAGGGTAAACAGAGGGTGGGCTAGAGGGAGGGCCCTAAGGCATTAAGGTTCAGCCTAATAACAGAAAAACAAACACAATGAGAAGTGTTAATTCAGATATTCAGTGACAAGTTTAACTGTTTAAAAAATGAACTCCTTTGAACAGATAAATATTAACCAAACAAATTCTACTTCCCCAAAGAAAGATGTCAATCACTTGGCAAGTTAGCGTTTCCTTGGAAAATAAGACACACCACGTATTCTCAGTGTTAGTGGCACCAGTGTTTGGTGACCCATCAATGTTCTTTGAATGCTGGGAGACTTGGCTTCTTATTCTGCAGTTTGCTAATGCGGTATAGGTGTGTTGTCTTCTCCCAAATCCAAGGCAAAGACGGATCCAAGCAAAATTGGACTTAGATTAGAAGTGCAATAGAAAGTAAATGATCACAGAGCGATGTTTATGTTTCAGGTTAAATTATATTCATAAAATCTATGTTGGAGCAAAGTACCTGTGACAGCAATATACCTGTTAGAGTATACACTTGACACCTGTGGAATGCCATTTGTGGAAGATTTCAGCTAACAAATAAATTACAATACAAAAAAACGTATTTACCATCTACTTTGATACTTTTGGAGGGAAAACTTCACTTTTTTGGCTAATATTTAGGATTTATTTGTCATATTCCAACTTAAAGAACTGAAAAATGATTCTCAGAGCTGAAAGGAAATGCATCCTTGAATTTTCTTTATTTTTTCCTAGACTTATTTTTCAACTAGACTAATCTAACTTCACTCTCCAATCCTATCTAATGAAATATTATAGTAGGCATTAACACCTGCTGCAAATTGATTAGGTTCTTCAACATGAAGTGCCCTGGGCAATGGTTAATTCAGAGGAAATGTTCACTGTCAGGGCAGACACAAAAGGATTTTTTGTGAATCTGCCTAAGACCTGTCATCCTCAATCACAGTAGTTCTTGGGATGAAATAGATGCACAGACCATTAAAAGAAGGAAAAGGAATAATAATTTCATAAGACCTTTCATGTTTGTGGGAAGCATCATGCTTGCAGAGAAGGGCACACTCTTTAGCACCCTCAGAGATTAATGATATTTACATTTGATATTAAGTGTCATGATCAAATATTGTTCAATTCATCACAATTAAACATATATACAAAAGTACATTTTTATAACTGAGTTGCAAGTATTTTAATTTATACTTTTTAAGAAGCAGGAAAACATAAGCCAGTAAAATGCTCCCAAAGCTCATGTTTTCAAATTACATGACATTATGACTGCACTTTTTCCTTGAGAAAGTAATCACAACCTGACTTGATAACTGGAAATATATTCTTCCACACAAGGTTGCAACAAGACAAGCAAACCTGTAGAAGGCCATGGAAATGAAATTTGCTCAGTGCTAAAATAAATTGTTTATTGTTTCCTGGTTTAGCTCAACCAAGTACAGCATTAGAAAAGAACAATAAATACCAGTAAACAGAGAGGGCAAAAGGCTGAACTCAATGTCAGTCAAATGTCTCAGTCTTATAAATATTTATTATACTGTCTCCAGATACAAGTTTCTTTAAAACTCATCTGTGCTGATGTATTTGGCAAACACCTTCTTGAGGGAATAAATCGGGTGACCTATGACTAAAGAGATCATGACAATCATTTTAAATAAAATAAATCCAGAGCAGTACTAGTCTGGTCCTTTTTCTTCCTTCAACTTCATTGTGACATTTGAACATGTTGAAGGGAAAGTAAATAACCCTGTCTTTCTGCTTTTACACCTCAGCTGCTCTTCAAAGCAACAGAATATATGATTTTTATGTGCTTACATCTAAAGAGGATCCTTGAAGGTATTAAGGAATTCAGTAGAAATCTGTTATAAATAGCAGGAAGAAATATATAATGGCAAAAATAAAAGAAAGGAAAAAAAGCTCAGAGCACTTGGAGTCAACACACCTGTAGCTGAAATCTGGACTCTCCAAGGTCACAATCAAGGTGCCAGCCAGGTCTGGAGTGTCATCTGAAAGCTAAACTGAAGAAGGATCTATTTCAGCCCTTGTGGCTGTTGGCAGACTTCAGGTTTTTTGTTTTTTTCTTCAAATTTTATTTTAAGTTCAGGGGTACATGTGTAGGATGTGAAGGTTTGTTACATAGGTAAATATGTGCCATGGTGGTTTGCCACACAGATCATCCCATCACCTAGGTAGTAAGCCTAGCATCCATTAGCTATTCTTCCTGATGCTCCTCCTCTCCCTGCAACACCCTGATGGGCCCCAGTGTGTGTTGTTTCCCTCCCTGCGACCATGTGTTTCCATCATTCAGCTCCTACTTAAAGGTAATAACATGTAGTGTTTGGATTTTTTGTTTCTGCAGTAGTTTCCAGAGGATAATGGCTTCCAACTCTATCCATGTCCCTGCAAAGGACATGATCTCATTCCTTTTTATGGCTGCAGAGTATTCCATGGTGTATATGTACCATATTTTCTTTATCCAGTCTATCATTGATGGCCATTTAGGTTGATTTCAAGTCTTTGCTATTGTGAATAGTGCTGCAGTGAACATATGTGTACATGTATCTTTATAATAGAATGATTTATATTCTTTGGGGTATATACCCAGTAATGGGATTTCTACTTCTAGGTCTTTGAGGAATTGCCACAATGTCTTCCACAGTGGATGAACTAATTTATACTCCCACCAACAGTGTAAAAACATTCCTGTTTCTCTGCAACCTTGCCAGCATATGTTGCCTTTTAACTTTATAATAATCATCATTCTGACTGACATGAGACAGTATCTCATTGTGGTATTGATTTGCATTTCTCTAATGATCAAGGATGTTGAACTTTTTGTTAATATGTTTGTTGGCCACATGTTTGTTGTCTATTGAGAAGTGTCTGTTCATGTCCTTTGCCCACTTTTTAATAGCGTTGTTTGTTTTTTTCTTGTAAACTTGTTTAAGTCTCTTGTAGACCCTGGATATTAGACTTTTGTCAGGTGGATAGATTGCAAAAATTTTCTCCCATTCTCATGGTTGTCTGTTCACGCTGATGATAGTTTCTTTTTCATGAAGAAGTTCTTTAGTTTCATTAGATCCTATTTATCAATTTTTGTTTTTGTTGCAATTGTTTTTTGGTGTTTTCATCATGAAATCTTTGCCTGTGCCTATGTCCTGAATGGTATTGGCTAGATTTTCTTCCAGGGTTTTATGGTTTTGGGTTTTACATTTAAGTGTTTAATTCACCTTGAGTTAATTTTTGTATACAGTGAAAGGAAAGGGTCCAGTTTCATTTTTCAGAGCTTGATATTGATCTGTTCAGGGATTCAACTTCTTCCTGGTTCAGTTTTGGGAGAGTGTATGTGTCCAGGAATTTATTCCTTTCTTCTAGCTTTTCTAGTTTATGTCATAGAGGTGTTTGTAGTATTGTTTGTATTTCCATGGGGTCAGTAGGGATATCCCCCTTATTATTTCTGATTGTGTGTATTGATTCTTCTCTCTTTTCTTATTAGTCTAGCTAAGGGTCTATCTATTTTATTGATTTTTTTCAAAAAAACAAGCTCCTGGATTCATTGATTTTTGAATGTTTTTTTGTGTCTATATCTCTTTCAGTTCAGCTCTGATCTTGGTTATTTGTTGTCCCCTGCCAGCTTTGGGTTTGTTTGCTCTTGGTTCTCTAGTTCTTTTAGTTGGATATTACATTGTTAACTTGAGATCTTCTAGCTTTTTGATGTGGGCATTTAGTGCTATAAATTTCCCTCTTAACTCTGCTTTAGCTGCATCCCAGAGATTCTGGGACATTGTCTCTCTGTTCTCATTAGCTTCAAATAACTCCTTGATTTCTGCCTTAATTTCATTATTTACCCAAGAGTCATTCAGGAACAGGTTGTTCCATTTCCATGTACTTGTGTGGTTTTGAGTGAATTTCTTAATCTTGAGTTCTAATTTGATTGGACTGTGATCTGAGAGATTGTTTGTTATGATTTCAGTTATTTTGCATTTGCTGAGAAGTGCTTTACTTTTAGAGTAAGTGCCATGTGGCAATAAAAATAATTTATATTCTGTTGAATTTGGGTGAAGAGTTCTGTAGATATCTATCAGGTCCACTTGATGCAGAGCTGAGTTCAGCTCCTGAATAGCTTTGTTAATTTTCTGTCTTAATGATCTGTCTAATATTGTCAGTGAGGTGTTAAAATCTCCCACTTTTATTGTATGGGAGTCTAAGTCTCTTCATAGGTCTCTAAGAACTTGCTTTATGAATTTTGGCACTCCTGTATTGGGTGTGTATATATTTAGAATAGTTAGCTTGTCTTGTTGAATTGAAGTCTTTACCATTATGTAATGCCTTTCTTTATCTTTTTAAAATTTTTGTTGGTTTAAAGACTGTTTTGTCAGAAAATAGAATTGAAACCCCTTCTTTTCTGTTTTCCATTTGCTTGGTAAATTTTCCTCCATCCCTTTATTTTGAGCCTATGTGCATCTTTGCACATGAGATGGGTGTCTCGAAGATAGCATATCAATGGGTCTTGGCTCTTTATTCAGCTTGCCATTCTGTCTCTTTTAATTGGGGCATTTAGCCCATTTACATTTAAAGTTAGTATTGTTATGTGTGAATTTGATGTGTCATCATCATGCTAGCTGGTTATTTTGCAGACTTGTCTATGTGGTTGCCTCATAGTGCCACTGGCTGGTCTCTGTACTTCAGTGTGTTTTTGTAGTGGCTGATAACCATTTTTCCTTTCCATATTTAGCGCTTCCTTCAGGAGCACACAGGGCTGGTGGCATGCAGGAGCACACAGGAGCAAGACAGGCCTGGTGGCAATGAATTCCCTAAATATTTGCTTGTCTGAAAATGATGTTATTTCTCCTTCGCTTATAAAGCTTAGTTTGGCTGGATGTGAAATTCTGGGTTGGAAATTTTTTTCTCTAAGAATGTTGAATATTGGCCACCAATCTCTTCTGGCTTATAGGGTTTCTGCTACGAGATGTGTTGTTAGTCTGAAGAGTTTCCCTTTGTATACAATTTGGCTTTCCTCTCTGGCTGCCCTTAATATTTTTTCTTTCATTTCATCCTTGGAGAATCTGATTATTTATGTGTCTTGGAGTTATCCTCTCATGAAATATCTTACTGGGATTCTCTGCATTTCTTGAATTTGAATGTTGGCCTTTCTTGCTAGGTTGAGAAATTTCCTGGATGATATCCCGAATGTTGACCTTTCTTGCTAGATTGAGGAAATCCCTAGGTGATATCCTAGATTATATCTTGAGCCAAGAGATTCCAGCTTGGTTCCATTCTCCCCATTTCTTTCAGGTATCCCAATCAGTCATAGGTCCAGTCTCTTTACATAATCCCATATTTCTCAGAGGTTTTGTTCATTCCTTTTCATTCTATTTTCTCTATTCTTGTCTGCCTGTCTTATTTCAGAAATATAATTTTCAAGCTCTTAGATTCTTTTCTCCACTTGGTCTATTCTGTCATTAATACTTGTGATTGCATTATTAAGTTCTCGTGTTGTGTTTCTCAACTCCATCAGGTCAGTTATGTTCCTCTCTAAACTGGCTATTCTGGCTATCAGCTCCTATATTGCTTTATCATGAGTCTTAGCTTCTTTGCATTGGGTTGCAACGTGCTCCTTTAGCTTAGCAAAGTTCATTATTATCCACCTTCTGAAGCCTACTTCTGTCAATTCATCCAACTCAGCCTCAGCCCAGTTCTGTGCCCTTGCTGGAAAGGTGTTGTGGTCATTTGGAGGAGAAGAGGCACTCTGGCTTTTTGTGTTTACAGCATTTTTACATTGATTTCTTCTCATGTTTGTGGGCCCATCTACCTTCAATCTTTGAGGTTGCTGGCCTTTGAATGAAGTTTTTGTGGGGTCTTTTTTGTTGATGTTGTTTTCTATTTGTTTGTTTTTCTTTTAACAGTCAGGCCACTCTACTGTAGGGCTGCTGTGGTTTTCTAGGGGTTCACTCCAGATCCCAGTTGCCTTGGTGTCTCATACCTGGAGGTATTACCAGTAAAGGCTGTGAAATAGCAAAGATGGCAGCCAGCTCCTTCCTCTGGAAGCTCTGTCCCAGGGGGATACTGACCTGTTGCCAGCCCTCACACACCTGTAGGAGGTGACTGGAGACCTCCATTGGGTGGTCTCACCCAGTCAGAAGCAATGTGATCAGGGACCTGTCTAAAGGCACAGTCTAGCTGCTTTTTAGTAGAGCAAAGTATGCTGCATTGGTGGAGGACCCTTCCTCATTCAGACTGTCTGAGTCTACCAAACCACAGAGATGGCAGCTGCCCCTCCCTGGAAAGCTCTGTTCCAGGGAAACATCAGAGCTCTGTGGGTAGAACTCTTGCTGGAGTGGCTGAAGCCCCCACAGGAAAGTCCCACCCAGTGAGGAAGAATGGATTCAGGGTCCCACTTAAAGAAGTAGTCTTGCCACCATTTGGAAACGCAGATGTGTTATGTCATGGAAGACTCTTTTTCATCTGGACCATCTGTATTCTCCACTGCTGGCAGGCTGGAGTGTCTGAGTCTACTGAACCACAGAGATGGTGGCTGCCCCTTCTCCTGGAAACTCAGACCCATCTCAGGCAGACTCCAACCCACTGCCATTGGCTGGCTGGGATTCCAAGCCAGTGGGTCCTAACTTGTGACGTTTTGTGGAAGTGGGGCCTGTGGAATGACACTGCTTTGCTCCCTGGATTCAGTCCCCTTCTGAGGGATATGTACAGATGGATTTCCCACCTTGCCCGGGATCTTAAGGCTGGCACATGTAAAACTCCTGGGTTTTGGTAGGTGCCCAAGCAGCTGCTCAGCTGAGACTCCACACAGTTCCTCACCAACCCAAGGCCCTGGTGGCATGGGCTCATGAGGGAATCTCTTGATCCGTGAGTTGCAAAGACCCATGGGAGAAGCATGGTTTCCTGGGCAGGGTCACACAGTCACTCACCGCTTCCCTTTCTGGTGGTGGGGGTTCCTTTGGCTCCATGCCACTCCCATGTGGGCTGTTATTCTTCCTTGCTCTTCTTCATTTTTCATGGGTTGAGTTATTTGCCTAGTCAGTCCCAATGTGAGAACCTGGATATTTCAGTTGAAGGTGCTGAATTCACTTGCCCCTTTTCATTCTTCTCTGGGAGTGCTGCAGACCACAGCTGCTTCTGATCAGCCATCTTAAGACTTCATTTCTTTAAGGGCTGTTAGACAGAGGGCCTCCATTCTCACCTGACCCTGGGTCAGAAGCCACTCTCCTTTCCTGAACACTTGGCCTCTCTAACAAGGCAGCTTACTTCATCAAAGTACATAAGCCAAGAAGGCACCAGAAAGTTGACTAGCAAAACAGAAGTCACAATCTTATGTCACTTAATCACAGAAGACATTGCATTACCTTTGCCATAGTCTGTGGGTTACAGGCAAGTCATAGGTTTCATCCAAAGTCAAAAGACAAGATTTCATAAGGGCATAAATATTAGTTGGTGGGAACCATCTTACAGATTAACTGCCACACATGGTTTCATCTGTCATGGGATTACTGTGACTATTAAGTCACTCAGTTCAGAGTAAGCATTTTGTAAATATTAGTTCTTGTCCATTGTGAAGGCACCTTCTTTTCCTTAATTGTTGCTGTATCCAATTACTTTTGTTGGAGTTCTGCACATACATTTTCTCAACCACATAGGCTTCCATGAATTATGCTTTAGAGATTGTTCCAGGCAATTACTGAGATTCCTTTCCTAGACAGACCATTTTCCTAGATGCTTTCCTAGTGAACTAATTGAAACAGGAACTCCTTAATGGACTGTAGAAGAGACAATGGACAGAGCAGGAACAGAAACAGAAAGAAAAGAATGCATACAGTTTTAGGGAGAGCAACAGTCATGCACTGGAAGAGAAGATTCCTAGAAGGTTTGTAAGTAAGGCATGATACAAACAAAATAAAAGAATAAACTTTAGAATCATATCTGGATTTGTATATAAATCTACCACTGAATAACTGTGTATTCTTGGACAAATTGTTATATAACTTCTCTGAGCCTCAGTTTCCTCATCTGTAAAGTAGATCAATAAAAGTTTCCTGATTCAGAGATGTGATGTGGAGCTAAGATGAGATAATCCTGGTGAAGAGCTTCACAAAATGCTTGAAATATGGAAAATACGCAGTAAATTTTGTTATCATCATCATCATTGTCATCATTATTAGTGTACAAAAACAATTTGGAATCTGATTATAGGGAACCTAAAATTGCTGTAATGAGAGAAAATGTTTGTTATTATTCAGAAGATAATAAAGAGCCATTTTAGATTTTTCAGAGTTCCTATAGTCAGTGTCCCTCAAAAATCACTGTCTAAAAGGAGGTGTAATAATAGTTTTAAATATAGAGAGCAAAACTTAAATTAATTTTGTTAGAAGGCAAGGACTAGGGGTATGAGTGGGGAGAGCTGAGTTATAATATATTAATGAATAAATAATTGCCCACTGGCATGGATTATTTAATTTAATTATTTTATTTTTTTAATTTTGCCTTGCTTGTACTTCTTTGTGGAAACTGCAAGATCTGAAACATGTCATTCATGAAGTGGATCATGGATAGGTTCAGTCTTGTAGAAGAACCAATAAGTGAACAAAGTCAAACTCACTTTATTAAATCTCCATCTAAAAAAGGTCATTTGAACAAAAACAAAAACAAAACAAAAGGCTGTGCTCAGGTGTCTGCAGGTTTGTGAATGTAGTAGATGTGAAAATGATAGAAACCAGATAAAGTGATAACCCTGAGCAGCTTGTTTTGAACAGCTGCTGTAGAAAACAGCTGTTCCAGGCAGACAGGGGTGCTCAGAGGTTTCCTAGCTTCTCTCTAGTGCTTTGTCATTGTGTTTCTCCCTTAATATCTTCTAACATGTGCCAGAAAATATTAAGAAAGCCATCTATTCATGCACAAAAATGAGGAGTAATTCTATACCCTTTAGCTTTAAATCTGCATGGTCTAAGCCAGTAAGAGATCACAAAGGCTGCCTCTCCCCTGTGAGGGATAACAAAGGTGAGAATAACTTAAAGGTGTAGGGCACTGGAGGAGTGACATCAGCACACACTCAAAATCAGTAAGTCTTTGAAGAGCTCTTGAGGTAAGATTCTACCGTTTTCCTGAATTCCCGTTACATAATCACCAAGTAGAAAGCCGGTTCCCACTCAAACACATCTAGAGGTAAGAAATTCATTTTTTTCCTGGGCAGCCAAGTTCATTTTCAGGCAGTTAAGGTGTTTAACAGGATTGCCTGGCACTGAGCTGAACTTGGCCTACCTACAACTTACTGGTGCTAGTTATGTCCTTCGGAATCAAACAAAGTTGGGCTATCTGTGTCACAATGCAGCTTCTGTATTCATTTTTCAATGGCATCTTTTCTGGTATATCGTGTGTATTAGTCCAGTTGTGTTACTATTGAGGAATACCTGAAGCTGGGAAATGCATAAAGAAAAGAAATTTAATTGGCTCACAGTTCTACAGCTCTACCGGAAGCATGCCAATGTCATCTGATCGGTTTCTGGTGAGGGCCTCAAGAAGCTTGCAATCATGGTATAAGGTGAAAGGGGAGCCGGCATCTCACATGGCAGAAGAAGAAGCAAGAGTGAGAAGGAAGAGGTCCCAGACTCTTCTAAACAACCAGATATCCCATGAACTAACCGAGCAAGCACTCCCTCATCACCAATGAGATGCTGCTAAACCATTCACAAGGGATCCACCCCCATGATCCAATCACCAGACCCCACCTCCAACACTGGGAATCTCATTTCAACATGAAATTTGGAGATGACAAAGATCTAAACCATATCAATCATCCATATTTCTTTTAACTATTTTTTAGATATCATGCTTGATAGACTGTTTACCTCTGAGAACAACAAAGAAAGTAGAAAACCCACTCTGAATCTGGCTCCTAAGACCTAGGTTGTAGTATCCCTTAATGAACAAGAACAATTCAAACAATAACAGACAATGTCACTAGGTGAAGACAAAAACAAGGCCACTCCATATTCAACTCTGAACAAGGAACAGGCTAGGATGCTGTACCACCAGGAAGTAACCAAACACCCCTTTCTCCCTGCGGACACGAGAGACTATTGCTTCTTTACCAATTTCAACTCTAGCTCCACTTCATTTGTCCTGGCTCCTAAATGGAAATTGTTCAGATAGCAGCATTAGCCATATAGCCCAAAGGTGGAAACAACTCAAATGTTTATTAAAAGATGAATGGATAAACAAAATGTGGTATACTCACAAAATGAAATATTGCCCAGCCATAAAAAATATGTGAACTGACATATGCTACTGCATTGATGAACCTTGAAAACATTATGCTGAGTGAAAGAAGCCAGACACAAAAGGCCACATACGGTATGAGTCCACTCACATTACCGAAGAACCAATAAGTGAACAAAGTCAAACTCACTGTATTAAATCTCCATCTAAAAAGGACATTTGAACAAAACCAAAAACAAAACAAAAGGCTGTGCTCAGGCATCTGCAGGTTTGTGAATTGTAGTAGAGGTGGAAATGAATCTGGAAAGTCCAGAATAGGAAAAGCTAGAGACAGAAAGTAGATTAGTGGTTGCTTAGAACTTGGAGAGAGATGAGGGTGTGAAAGTAATAACTACAGGGTACAGAGTTTCTTTTGGAGGCGATGAAAATGTTCTAAAATTGGTTGTGGTGATGGATGCACATGTCTGTTGTGGAAATAAATGAAAACCAACTGGCTGTTTATCCAGAGCTTGCTACAGCAAGGGAGTCGGCCACCAGCACCTGTGTTTGGCAGACTCTCAAAAGGCAAAGCAGCAGCCGCGCCCTGATTGGAGGCTGCTGGCCTGGAGAGCCACTGGCAGGCTAACACAGAAAGGCCTCCTATATGATTGTTTAGGGGTACATATTTGGCTTCCTCTGACTGATCCTGAATTGAAAGTGAGGGCAAAAATTAGGGAAGCTGGAAGTTATTAATCAAATCCTGGCCATTTGGGGCTGATCTTTATTGGGGTTAGGAATTGGTTTCCCGGATTATTTACCAGAGGAAGTGACCTTACTTCCTACAGATTTGACAGAGAGTAGATTGGCTTCCTGGGCAGGTTATTGTAGATAATGGGTTGGTATCCTGTACTGGCTGCTACAGACTGTGGGTCACAGTTTATTTTTACATATAGTCTGGCCCTTGTTCATATGTATATTCAGTCTCTCACTTGAGTATACTAAAAACCATTGAATTGTGCACTTTTAATGGGTGAATTTTATGTTATGTAGATAATATTTGTATAAAACTGTAACAAATTCAAAAGAGGGACATATACTTCAATTATCAAATTGCATCTGCTCCCTGCAACATCCAACCCAGAGCCAATCCTCGCTTCTTTAAGCTTTTCCCAAAATCTCCCAGCATAAGCTCAATCCCTGCAATAAGCCCATCCTTCCTTCTTTTTGCTAAGATATCCATAGTTTGTATGCTGATATCTTGCTGTAACGAGTTAGTAAACTGGGCTTTCTCCCTACTGCAGTTTATCTCCTCTAACAACAGTAAGTCTGTACATATCCTTCTTGCATCATGTTATTGGCAGATCTTTCACACATGTCATCAGATCAGCACAGAAACAAGCAACATTGCCACCTTACTCATTCTTGACACTGAACTTCATTGTGAGACTGTCATCTGCTTTTTTTCTGAAACATCTATCCTCTTAAAAAACAAGAGCCTCAAAGCAGGAAAAGGTATATTATTTTTCCCCATAATCAGGTCCTTTTTTGAGGAACCATTAAAAGACTAATCTAAAAATATTAATAGTCATAGACCATAAAATGATGTTTTGCTTAACAATGGACTGCATGAACATGAACATGCATGAACAATGCATGAAGATGGTCCCAAAAGTTATAATACTGTATTTTTACTTCACCTTTTCTGTGTTGAGATAGGTTTAGATACACAAATACTTACTATTATGTTACAGTTGCCTACAATATTTAGTACAGTAACAACCTGTACAGGTTTCTAGCCTGGGAACAATAGGCTATACCATATAGCCTAGCTGTGTCATAGGCTACAACATCTAGGTTTGTGTAAGTTCACTCTAATGTTTGCGCAATGAAGAAATCAGCTACAGCTAATGATGCGTTTTTCAGAACATATTCCTATCCTTAAGTGACACATGACTCTGTGTGTGTGGGTGTGTGTGTGTGACTGTGTGTGGGCATGTGTAAAACTATACTTCTGAATTGGCTGTAAGCCCATATTAGCTTCCTTGAAGCAACCATTCATATGGAAATGGTCAAACACAAGGAAATTGAGAATCAATACTGAATAATTTAAGTTACTTATTAACTTTATTACATTAGCAGTAGTACATTCATTTCAATTATTGATCTAGCTTACTAATGAGACTTGGCAAAGCTTCTTGTATTGTCTATAACCTAAATGTGAGAGGAGAAAAGGCAGGGAAAGGAAAATATTCTTTTGATCTGCCTGGCCTTCTTCAGGCTTAGGAATTAAGAATTTCATTTCTTGGAGCCATCAGGAGCTCCACCAGGTTTTCAGATTCAAGCTATCAGCACTGCTTCTCTTATTTGGAGAGTAGCCCACGGTCACTGTGCTTCCTACATTCAGATTGTTCATAAGCAGAATAGTAAGAGACCCAGGCTATAAAATGCTGACGCTGACTAAACAAGGGGCATCTTATAGAAAAGCCAGGGGTGAGAGCTGAAAGTAGAGAATCTGCTCACATTCCGCCTAAAGTATTTGGGTGGCCTAAATTATCTGCCCCTCTCTCACCCACAGACCAAGATGCTGTCCTTTCCCAGGTTGTCTAGAGCAGGGCACTGACACATCCTCAAAACCCCCAGTCTCATTCTAGGCTGGGACTTCAGCAGAGCTCCTGAACCAAAGTTACAGCTGAGTCCTAGAAGTAGGAAGGAGACAAGAGAACACAGGTGCATGTTTAATTTTTAATCTTAGGAGAAATGAGATTCAAAATCAAGCCAAAGAGGTCCATCTCTTACATGGAAAAGCAAGCATATAACAAACCAATCCTGCTACAAATAACAGCTATAGACTCTGGGCAGCATATAAAACACAGCTACTGGAGAGCTCTGGAGACTGAACAAAAAAATACAAATTAACAAAAGAATACAAATTATCAAATGAGGTTCAAAACTTGAAACAAGCTGCCAAAATAGAGACTTCTGTAGATTTTTCCCTGTGGCAAGATGGGTGTGGAGCAGTGCAAATTCTGATAGAACATCCACCATTTTTCTTTTCTTTCTTTTTTCTTTTTTTTTTTGAGATGGAGTTTCACTCTTATTGCCCAGGCTACAGTGCAATGGCGTGATCTTGGCTCACTGCAAGCTCTGCCCCCCAGGTTCAAGCAATTCTTCTGCCTCAGCCCCCGGAGTAGCTGGGATTATAGGCACATGCCACCATGCCCAGCTACTTTTTTTGTATTTTTAGTAGAGACAGGGTTTCACCATGTTGGCCAGGCTGGTCTCGAACTCCTGACCTCAGGTGATCCACCTGCCTTGGCCTCCCAAAGTGCTAGGATTACAGGTGTGAGCCACCGCGTTGGGCCCATCCACCATTTTTCTGATCAGAAGACCCAGGATGAAGAACTAGGACAACTAGGTCCACTAGCCAATGAGAGGAAAACCCTAAAATAGAACGAGTGAAGGGAATCCCAAATTCTGATAAACTCAGGTTAAGTCTCTAGCTGACCCTTGAGTCAGATGTGCGTAATAAAATGAAAGCAGCATACAGCTAAAGATTAAAGAATTGGCCTAAGATCTGAAATTTCACCTCCTTTCATTCCTTACAGGAAATTTCAACTTCAGTATGAGTCTAATCAAGTTAACTGACTGCTTAAAAGCAATCGATACTATTTTTCAGAATATAAGAGAATCCAGAATTATATGATATAATATTTACAGGGTCAAGCATTCAATTTAAAATAATTTATATATGATGATTCAAGAATATGTAACCCATTCCAAAGGGAAAGACAATCAAAGTAGGCAACCTTGTTTTGATCCCAATGTTGAAATTATCAGACAAAAACTTTAAAGTGGCTGTTATAACCCTGCAAGTGAGGTAAG
This sequence comes from Homo sapiens, assembly GCF_000001405.40. Taxonomy (NCBI): domain Eukaryota; kingdom Metazoa; phylum Chordata; class Mammalia; order Primates; family Hominidae; genus Homo; species Homo sapiens. The sequence goes on from NC_000002.12 coordinate 108,121,125, forward strand.
AAAAAATCTGCTCCAAATAAAAAAAAAATAGAAAAATTTAGCAGATATGACTGAAAAAAGAGTCAGTGAAGTAGAAACCAAGTAAGTAGAAATTCTCCACTTATAAGAGAGAAAAAATATTTTTTAACAAATCCTCAAGAATTAGTGGGACAAATTTAAGAGGTCTAAGAGTTAATTGGAGTCTCACAAGAGAAGAGAAAGATAATTTCTAAAAATTAAAGATATTAAGAAATAATGCTCAAAAACTTCCTAAATTTTATAATCCACATAAATTCACAAATTTAAGAATCTCAACCAAATATAATTTGGATAAATTTGAAAACCATACCTAGACATAGCATAATCAATGGCTAGCAAAATAAAGAGAAAAAAAATTAAGGCATAGAAAATTACAAACAGGAAAACTATAATTCAGAACTCTACTGAATGCTCATCAGAAACTATGCAGGCCGAAGCAAAACGAAACAATATCTTCAAAGTTATTTTTTAATTCAACCCAGAAATCTATAAGCATCAAAAATATTATTCAAGAACAAAGGAAAGGAGCACTTCTGGAATAATGGAGTAAAGGCTTTCAAATGTCTGCTCCTCCATAAAATTAGTGAGAACAATGAAACAATTATTTACGTCAACTTTTTCATGTCTCTGTGAATTAATCAAAGGCTTCCAACAATCAAAGTAGTGTTTATTCAGGAAAAGTGGATAATTTTCAGGATAAACTGTGAGCTCTGTGGCAGTCTAACTTGCCTTATTCCCAACCCCCTCTCTCCAACTCCATGATAGCCTTGAAAACCAACAGCTTTGCAACTATAGTAATTATGAAAAACAGTAGCATAGCAAATACTGGCGGGGGCAGAAGAGGTTTGGAGCTCCCCCAAAAAGCCTTACTCCACAGACTTGTCACTATTTGAAAGAATACCCCAAACGCGGTCCCTAGGCAGAGAGAATGTATTGCTTCAAGCTAGTTAAGGAAACCACCTAATCATTAGCTGACCACTAAGCTCCAGAGCTAAGAATTCAGTGGCTGCTAAGATCAAAGAATACACACTAGTTGGCTGGGCACAGTGGCTCATGCCTGCAATCCCAGCACTTTGGGAGGCCGAGGAGGGTGGATCACGAGGTCAGGAGTTCCAGACCAGCCTGGCCTAGATGGTGAAACCCCGTCTCTACTAAAAATACAAAAATTACAGGTGGGCACCTGTAATCCCAGCTACTTGGGAGGCTGAGGCAGGAGAATTGCTTGAACCAGGGCGGCGGAGGTTGCAGTGAGCTGAGATCAAGCCACTGCACTCTAGCCTGGGCAACAGAGCTAGACACCGTCTTAAAAAAAAAAAAAAAAAAAAAAAAAAAAATATATATATATATATATATATATATATATGTATTTACACTAGTCAAGGAAAGTCATTAAACTAACAGCAACAATAACAAAAGCAAGAGAAAACGGCTACAGCAAAAACCCTGGGGTGGATGTCTCCAGCAGAGCATCCATGTTATATTATTTAAAATGTCCAGTTTTCAACAATAAATTTTGAGACATGCAAAGTGAAAGGAAGTATGGGCCATACACAGGGAAATAAGTCAGTCAGTAAAAACTGTCCCAGAGGATGCCCAGACAGTGTAAACATGAAAGAAAGATTTTAAATCAACCATTACAAATATGGTCAAAGAAGAAAAGAAAACAATATCTAAAGAATTAAAGAAAAGTTTGAGAATGATGTTTCACCAAATAAAGAATACCAGTAAAGAGATAGAAATTAGATTTTAAAGAAACAACTACATTTTAAAGAAACAACTACAACTAAAATAAATATTAGGATATCAAATTCAGAAATATGTTTTTAAAATAATGAAGTATCACATAAGTAAAGTTGGTTTAACATTCGGAAATCAATCAGTGTAATTCACCATATTAAGAGATTATAGGAGAGAAATCATATTATGAACGCAAAAGACAGGAGAAAGGCTTTGACAAGATTAACAGACATTTGTGATAAAAACTCTTTTCAAACTAGAATAAAAAGCTTTCCATATTTAATAAAGGACATCTGTAAAATATCCACTGCATATTGTAGTTAATGGTTAAAAATTAACCAATTGGACACTTTCTTGCTTAAGAATGGAAACAAGGTAAGAATGTATGTTCTCATCGCTTCTATTCAATATTGTACTAAATAGAGTAATATTTAGAGAACTAAATATCGTACTATGTTTAGCAGTATCTCTTGTCCCTATCAACTATACATCAATAGCAACCTCTAAGTCATTATAACCAAGAAATGAGAAATTGCCAATGTCCTCTGGGGAGGAATATCACCTCCAGCTGTTAATCACTGCAGTAATGCACAAAAACAAAACACATTACAAATTAAAAGATGTCAAAACATCCCCATTAGGCAGATAGCATATTTGTTTACATAAAATTCCTCAGGTATTTACACAAAAATGCTAGTGAATTTAGCAAGGTCACTAGATACGAAGGTAGTATATAAAAATCCATTGCATTATACTTTAGAAACAAACAATTAGACATTGAAATTAGAATAACAACTTATAGCATGACAGATACATAAAATAGTTATTAACAATAAACATAACAAAAGATGTAGAAGCTTTCTCTATGGGGTATTGCTGAATTCTACATGTAGAATATTGCTGACAGAAATTAAAGGCCTAAAGAAGTGGAAGGAAGTACCATGTTCATTGATTAGAATGGAGCAAGCCAATCAGTCATTCCCACAATATGAAAAGTTATATTTATATAAGAAAACTTATTTTAAATTTCCCTAAAATTGTCTTATGAGATTTGATTATGAAATGCAGGTAAAGTACTTAGTATAGTATCTGGCACACAGTAAGCATGCAACAAATCTTACCTATTATTATTATTTAATTCCTGCTTTCTCTGCCATAAAATTCCATCTGTTTCTTCCAGCATTAGCTTTCATTTTTAAAACTAATAGAAACTTCTACTTCCATATATTTTTTTGAAAATCTTCCTGAATCTGAACAGATAGACTTTTCCCACCTTCTGCACGAACTTGGAACACAGAATGCTAGAGCTGGCCATATAAAGCAGCTAATTAATTCCATGACTGAGTAAATGAGTTGTTCTGGCTTCCTTTACAGGTAGGGATGAATATCGTAACAAAAATCAGCCACATCTCCCTTGTCGCATTTCTTGGCTACTAATCTCCTTCAGGGAAAAATAAAATAAACTCAAAGTATGGTTCTTATGAACCAGAAGCACCATAAAGATTAAGAAACAAAAAAATCTTAAAACCACTTTTACACTGCAATAGTATTACATAAAAATTATTATTCAGTGCATAAGTAAAATTAGACAGTGAAGAAAATCTACATAAATTAAATACCCACGGGTTTGAACCAATAGCCCACAAATGTTTTTATACCTTGATTTTTCTGAATAGAAACCCAAGTTTGATAAGACACTATTTCCCACCTCTTTATAGAGAATAGCATTTATGGAGTCTGGTCTTATAATAACTAATTTCACTTCCTGAGGATTTTCTACATGTGATGATGAGGTAAAATTATGAATCAATATTTAATATGAAAAGGTGAAGAGAAATGATACTGTCTTAATAAAATAAGCTAAAACTTGGAGAAGGATCAAGAATTCAGTCTTACTCAGCCTTTCTTGGGACCCTCATTTGACCTTCTCAAGAAAACCGAAAAGAAACAAGCTGTGATGGGTAATTTCTTTTGGAGCTAAGTAATGGAGCCATTATGCAATGATAAATCAAGGGAAGAGTCTTTTCCAGTAATGTGATTAGTAATCCCAGGGTCAGAGGCAGTGGCAAGCAGAGGATCTAATGACGTAAGTTTATAGCCTTCAAGGCCTAATCACGCCTGCTACTACACTGGCTCAAATGGTATCATTTTTATTATACTAGCAACCAACCAACCAGCTAGGTCAAAAGGGGGAAAAACAAACCTGGGGCAATTGTGTTTGGCCACAAATACCTTATTTGGTTTGGTGGCAATTGAATAACAACATCTCTGGTGAGCTGCTAATGAAATCCTCTTCTCTTAGCATCTAATCAAAATTCACAGCCAGAAGCAATATGGAATGAATATTCCAGCTAAAACATTAATTATTCTGGTGATAAAACTGTCTCCACAGTGGGCTTCAAGCAGGCACATTCTTTGTGACCAGAAATGCTTAAAACATCATGTTCACCCTTTGATGTCTGAACGCTTCAAATTAGGAAGGAGGGAGGGCAAGTAAGCCATCTATTCCCCAGCAGGGCCTACTGGGCAGCATGAACATCAGAGAGAGCAAAGCATGTGCATTTATAGCTCTTGTCCTTCAAACTCTGGGGAAAATGACACTAAGATTTCAAAAGTCATGAGCATAGGAACTAAGCCTAATTTAAAAGATTAATAGTTTTATCCCCATTTAGTTAACCATAAGTAGATTGTAGTTGTTCTATATAATTTACCTGCAGAATACTAGTATTTGTTAAAATCAGAACAACCTTACAACTGTTCATTAATTGTAATGTTTTCTCTAAATGTAGAAGTGCCATTGGCAAGGCCATGAACATAAAGTATCACAGGCACCACCACTGTCAGAAAGAAAACACGTCAGCACTCTTAGTACTTGCAGAGTTCTGGGCATGGTGATCTGGAGAGAAATTCAATATAATTTACCCACCATCTGGCCTATGTTCTGCTTGTTTTCTTATGACAACTATACATGGCTTTCATGTATTTTAAAATGTTCATGTCATTTTAAGAACAACCATGTTGTATAATTTAAGGCCAGTAAGTAATGGTAGATGCTCAGAGTCCTGGTTGGGAAAAGATTAGTTTAATATTAATGACAATAATATTAATAACAATAATTAGTGAGCACTGGTGCCAGATACTTTAGTAAATACTTTACATGGATTATATAATTTAATCCTCATATTGACCCTATGATAGGCAGGGCACTGGGCTCATGCCTATAATCCCAGCACTTCAGGAGGCTGAGGTAGGAGAGCCGCTTGAGTCCAAGAGTACAAGACCAGCCTGGGCAACATAGTGGGACTCCCATCTCTACAAAAAGTGTTTTTTAAAATATTAGCCAAGAGTGGTGGTGGTACACACCTGGGGTCCCAGATATTCGGGAGGCTGAGGTGGGAGGGTCTTTTGGGCCTGTGAGTTTGAGGCTGCAGTGAGCCATGATCGTGCCATGCACTCCAGCCTGGGCAACTGAGTGACAGCCTGTCTCAAAAAAAAAAAAAAAAAAAAAAAAAAAAACAACCGTTTGATAATAACATATCATTGTGCTTATTTACAGATGAAGAAACTACATGCTTAAAGAAATGTGCAAGTTAGGTCACATAGCTAAGAAGCTAAGGAACTAAGTTAATAACCTATGGCCAAATGAGTTCAGAGTTCAGTTCATCTCCACCCTCTTGACAGATAAGTAGCAGCAGAAATGAGTCTAACTAACAGGCACTGAGTGTTGACACTGTTCTGAGTGCTTTAACTTATTGAATTCCCACAATTCTGAGATGAATATTAATTCTATTATTATTATTATTTCCATTTTACTGAACAGAGGAAATAGAGACACAAAGAGACTATTAGTTGACCAAGGTCAACACAGCTGTCTAGAACTGAAATTTTAAAACTCTGTTGTCTGTGAAGTCCGTACTATTTGGTGAACTATTTCTAAAACCATTATTCTTTACTTACTCATAATGTTTCCCTTGGTTTTCTAGGCAATTGGAAGATGTATGAAATTACCTTTTTGTGTGGTATGAATTTCAGGGTAGTCTGTAATTTATTTTTATGGGAATAAAATGACTGGGGATCAAAAATAAATAGCCTAATTATTATTTAGGTAAAATTAGTTATAATTAGTTTATGTGACCTTGATGTGTCTTTTCATTTTTCCTGAACTTGATTTCCTTGGTTATAAAATGAAGGGTTTATACTAGGTGACTTATAAGGATCCTACAAGTGAAAACTTATCAATCCTCGCCCTTCTTCTAAGTATATGAGTATGTGAGCACTCAACCTGTTACAAATTTTTTTTTCTCTAAAGTCAAGGCAAGGTTAGCTAACTTTCTTATTGAACGCTGTTTACCTATGTTTAGGGGCTAACCTGATGTTGTACTTCTGAATAGGTAAAGCTTTACTTCCAGGGAATGTCCTAGCAGAAAAATACACATTACCTTTCCTGGGAATCACTTATGGTGTATTTGCAGTAAAAGGCCAGTCAACAGACCTTTCCCTCCATAAGCCTTGAAGAAAATCATTAGCATTAATTAACCATGGGAAAGTGGACTTTACAATATTAACTTTCAAAAGCATCTGTGGAAATAAGTTCTGATATTCAAGCACGCCCTCATTTCATAGATATCCTTAAACTGTCTTCTAAAAGCTAATTTACACTGGGTGGCTCAGGAGATATTCCCCAAGAATGGGTACAAAGAGCAAGACATAATCACCCTTGGGCTTAGGTAGAAAAACGAATCTCAGAAAATGATGAGTAGGAATGTGTTTGAGACAGTGAGGCTATAAAAGACATACTTCCCACTGATTAAGAAATTTGCTTCCAAGAAGAGCTGTACTCCAAGAGGGAGTTAAAGACACTTAAAGGCAAGTGTCATTATTTTTGAATGAAGAAGTACACGAAAGCTATCTATGGCGACTAATTTCTTAAAAAGCATGTTTCTATTCTAAAACTATTCCAAGAGTGAAATAAATGTTTGCATTTTCTACAGAAGTCCAAGAAAATAACCAAAATACATAAAACAGGCGATTGGTTGATTAAATGTGCCAAGACCATACAATGGAATGTTGCACAATCATTAAACTTAATACTCTAGAAATATTTAATAGAAAGATGTTCACTATTTATTTGGATTTAAAAATATGTCCCAAAACAATAACCCAGTGATAGTGCCATTTTCCAATGTGTGAGTGTAGTGCGTTTAAGTATATATGCCAATGTGATAGCTGACTACTTATTATCTTCTTAGTTTATGAGCATTTTATAATTTTTTGGTAATAAGCATGTATTAATTCTTTAATGAAAGCAAATATATATTTAAAGTAGCCTAAGAAGGGAGATCCTGTGTGCAATCAACAAGACATAATATATCTCAAAAGGCACAATTTCTTAGATTAGGGATTTGTTGCTGTACATTGAGGCTTTCCCTGGTGAAGCTGTTCTGAGCGCTGAACCACTTCTGCTAGGCTGTCAATAAAAAACCCCTGCTTGGTAGGCTTAATATGATCCACCTTTGGACATCCACACAATAGCTGAGTGGGACAAGTGTTCATTGTTTATCTAAGCAGGGAGTCTTACGCTGACTATGGCTGTCTCTACGTCAGCGTTGTAACAGCTCTGGGAGTGAAGAATTGTTATGACATGGCTTTTCAAAATGGCAACCATAAAATAACCACTTGAACTCACCCATGATACTTAACCCTGTCCCTGGCAAGATCAGATTTACAGCTGGAGCCAAAAAGTCTGTAGTTTCTCTCCTCAAATCATGCTTTAAAAGGAGAGAGCAGATTAGAGATCAAAATGTGGAACTCTGGGAACACACATCTATTAAATACCTTATTTTGTTAGCGGCAGAAGTATTAGTGACCAGAAAAATGAAAGAAAGCAAGACAGAAGCCACCATATTAAAATATATCCTAAGACAGCTTTAAATCCATTAGAGAAAAAACACAGGAGAAAAAATGTTTGGCTGAAAACTCTTCAGATTTATCCTTTTGAAAATTATTCTTCCAAAATGTGTTCTCATTTTCTAAATGAAAATAAAGTAATAAAATTCAGGTATTACTAAACAAATGCTATATAGGCACTCAAGTAAGATATACCATACAACTCCATAACAGTCAAGCTGACAGCATTGCACAAAGGCAGGAGTGCTTCACAGCAGGCTGAATAGATGGCAGCTCCTGGAATTGGGCAACATGACAGCACCAAGTGACCTTCTGTATCCATAGTACATTACAGAGCCGTTTCCCCACTTACAGATTGTATTTGGTTTTTAGAAGTACCCGGTGAAGCACATAGAGAAATGATGATTGCTCATATCCCATTTTTCAGGTAAGGATGCTGAGGTTAATGAAGTACCCACAACCAGAAGCACTCAGTGTTTGAAAATGAGATTTTTGACTCCCAGGTGAAAATATCTAACTCTCAAAAACACGTAAATGCCAGTTTAGTAAATTATTGTTCTATTACCCATTATATAAAACAAGAAAATTCTTGAGTTTTTTAAAAAATTAAAGTTCTAGAATGTTTTCGCTTCCTGAATATCTACCACCTTTTTTATTTTTTCCAGAAAACAGTTTCTTTATATTTTTGAGGTAAAATTTATATAACATAAAGTTATTCATTTTAAAGTGAACAATTCAGTGACATTTAATACATTGACAGATTTCCCCCACCAGCACCTGTATGTACTTCCAAAGTATTTTCATTACCCAAAATAAAACTTTATACCCATTAAACAATTAGTCTCTTCCCCCCACCTTTCTGCGTTCTATGTTTATGAATTTACTTACTTTGGCTATTTCATATAAATAAAAGGATACACCATGTAACCTTGTGTTACCCTCTAACACATAGCTGGGGAGGAGGGGGATGAGAAATTCTAGTTAATCGTTTTCCAGGGAGATAATATAGCCCTCAACTAGGACACGGAGAGTGAGAGATCTCTGTGTCTTCAGCTGCACCCACACAGAGTGGAGTTTCCATTGTATTGAGCTGAAAGAGGGTAATAAAGAGGTGAGTCATAATTCAAATCCCAGAAACTCCAACTATTCTTACCAAGTTGTAGTAAATGTTCTTTTAAAAAAGCTTCTGCATTTGTATATGCTTTTAGGACGATCTCCAGAGAATTAAATGGTTGTTTGTTTCATGTTAATTTTATTAGTTATGCTAATTTTACAGAGGAACGGGACAACAGAGCTCTGGTCACTTTCATTGTGAAGTAGAACTCTGCTCTTTGCTGTTTTGATGCTGGAAATGTACCTGGTTATCGAGCAGACCCAGGTAAAAAAGAGTATCACAAAATATTTGGAATTGCTAAGAACCTTAAAGGTCAGCTAATATACTAACTCAACCATCAGTATTTTTTACAGATTTTTTAAAGTGGATATTTAGAAACAATAAGGAGCATCCTAGCCACACAGCAATTTAATGCCAAATGGAAGAGTAAAAGGAGGTCATATATGGGGAAATTTGTAGATTCCACCTTAAAAAAGGTGCTATATTTATCATGCAATAAGTTTATTTCTTATCCTACTAGATGGTTTATGTGACTTTCTAGACTCAACTTCCCAAGTGGCTCCTGAGTGGCTTCTTTTTGGTGCCCTGGTGTACCAAACAGTGCATTTGTTATTAGCTTCAATGCGTGAGGCACAACTGAAATAAAACCGGTTTAAATTTTATAAGGAAAGGTGCAGCAGTATTGTAGAGTTGTTTCTTTTATGAGCACTCATACCCTCACACATATAATTTGCATGTGTATTTTAAATACAGGTATGTTATATTCATAGGAAGATATAGACATGTAAAAATAACAGGGTGGCTTTTTTTCATTTCTCATAGGTCCAGAAAAAATAACACATTTAAGGAATGTTTAAACTCATAAAGAACAATTATGTTATAAATGTGTATTCCTAAAGGATAAATTAAGAATTTAATGTTAAGTCATGAATCTCAGTTTAATATTATAATACTATTTTTAGTATGATCCCTAAAATATTTATCTCAATATCCAATAGATCAAAACAGAATGCATCAATGTATTAGTCTTTTGAAAAGTAGCTCAAATAAGTCACTCAATGCCACCAGGATGTTTGTGAAATAGGACAGTAAAAATGAAAATATTTTGGAAAATGTATAATAAAATGTACTCTGCCTAATAAAAATATCCTGCCGAGAAAAAAAAGCATATTGAAGATCTACATGCATATTTTAAAAATACTTCTAGTTCATAGGATTAAAGAGTCAAAGAAGATAACCAAAAAGTTTTGTCTTCTCTGCTGAGTAACACTTCCAGTGAGCCCTGAGAGTTCTCCTTTGCTAACTTTACAGAACTGTGGTAAAATTAAGATTTCTGCATTCTTCAGTTGAAGATTTATGTAGTGGGCTTCTGGCCATGTTACTACATGATTGCATAAAATGAAAACCTATCGATTCTAATTTATGTTCATATTATCCAACTTAAAAAATTACCTATCCTGATTTCACTTGAAAAGGAAGAAATTTCTCAAATGTCACAGTAAAGATTACTGTAACAATAAGACAGCAACTTCAAAATTTTAGATAAATTTACTTATTTTCTTCTGCCTGAAGGAAAGAGAAAAAGAGAAAGAGAAAATAAGGTACTGCAGATGAAAAGCTCCACTCACTCATCTGTTCATGTCTTGAAGTTGTAAATATTATTTTATATATCTTAATGCAGAAAACATGTGAACAACCAGCCAATAACCTGAGAAAGCTATCTGGACTTTTCCTCAGAATTGTCTGGCTCTGTGGCTATGGGTTTGTGTTTCCTAGAACTGTATATTTATTTTGCATGGCCAGGGGTTTCTTGTGCCTCAGGAAAGCCATAGGACACAGAGGATCACATGGTAATTTACACTGTTTGTCACAAGGAAGCTTTGGATAAAGATGCTCTTTGATATATTAGACAGGGAGTGAGTGGGCTTGACACAACTGGCAGGGAAGAAATAAATGAGACAAAGTTTTCATCCGTGTTTAGTTATGGAAAGAATCCAGAAACTTTCAAAAAATAAAATCTGTATATCGATTTCATATTGTGAGATCAAATCTTACAAAAGTCAGGCAGCCATCTAGAAGGCTTGATGTAGGCTATGAGAACTCACTGGAATCCATAAACAGGTGGTCTATGACTTCCTTAGTATCATATGTAAAATGTGATGTGTTTTGTATATATGCTAATATTTCCACAGGGAGAGTTCATGTCTTCCATAGTATGCAACTCAGAGAGTTCCATGATTTATTCAATAGTTGGTCCCTACTCTGTGCCATGCTAGACACTGGGTGTGCTTGTATCTATTATCTCTTTTTGTTTTAAAAAAAAAAATCCCCAGGCTCATTGGCTTACAGTGGTACATTAGGTCTTTCTTGCACTGCTTCAGTGAAATACCTGAGACTGGGTAATTTATAAAGAAAAGAGGCTTAATTCACTCATGGTTCTGCAAGCTGTACAGGAAGCATGGTGCTGGTATCTGCTTGGCTTCTGGGAAGGCCTCAGGAAGCTTACAGTCATAGCAGAAGCCAAAAAAAGAGTTGGCATATCACATGGTGAGAGCAGGAGCAAGGGGAGAGGGAGGTGTCACACACTTCTAAACAACCATATCTCATGAGAACTTACGTGAGAACAGCACCAAGCCATGAATGATCGATCCCCATTACCCAAACACTTTCCACCAGGCCCCACCTCCAACACTAGGGATTACATCTCAACAGGAAATTTGGAGGGGTAATCCATACTATATCATTCTTCCCCTGGCCCCTCAAGTCTCATGTACTTCTCACATTGAAAAATACAATCATCCCTTCTCAATCATTCTTCAAAAGTCTCAACTTTTGCATTTCAGCGTTACTCAAAATTCCAAAATCCTAAGTCTAAAGTTTCATCTGGAAATGAGTTATTTTTGCCTAAAAATTTGCAAAACTGAAACAAGTTATTTACTTCCAAGATACAATGGGAGTACAGGCATTTGGTAAACAATTCTATTCCAAAAGGCAGAAATTGGCCAAAAGAAAGGGGCCTCAAGGCCCCATGCAAGTCTAAAACCTAGCAGGGCAGTCATTAAACCTTAAAGCTCTGAAATAATGTCCTTTGACTCCATGTCCCACATCCAGGGCACACTGCTGCAAAGGGTGGGCTCCCAAGGTTTTCAGTGGCTCTGCCCCTGTGTCTCTGCAGGGTTCAGTCCCTGTGGCTGCTCTCATGTGTTGGAGCTGAGTTCCCAAGACTTTTCCAGGCACAAGATGCAAGCTGCCCATGGATATACACTTCTGTGGTCTGGAAGACCTGGCCTCCTTCTCACAGCTCCACTAGGCAGTGCCCCAGTGGGGAGTCTGTCTGGGTCCTCTGACCCCCACATTTCTCCTTGGCACTACCTTAGTACAGGTTCTCTGTGAGGGCTCCATTCCTGCAGCAAGCTTCTGCTTGGGTCACCAGACTTTTTCATACACCCCCTGGAATCTAGGCAGAAGCTGCGAGTCCTTCTTCACTCTTGCACTCTATGTGCCTTCAGGCTTAACAATACATGGAAGCTGCCAAGGTTTATGGTGGGTTGTACTTTCTGGAGCAGCAGCCTGAGCTGTATCCAGGACCCTTTGAGCCTCAGCTAGAGGCAGAATGGTCAAGATGCAAAGAGCAACCTCCTAACCTCCTGGTGTGGTATAGAACAGTGGCACCCTGGGCCACGTTCAAGAGACTATTGGGTTCTCCTTGGCCTCTGGGGTCTGTGATGGGAGGGGCTACCTAGAAGATTTCTGAAATACCTTCAAGACCTTTTTCCCATTGTCTTGGATGTTAGCCCGTGGCTCCTTTTTAGTCATGCAAATCTCTCTAGCAAGTGGTTGCTCTATAACTCTCTTGAATTCCTCTCCTGATAATGCTTATTTTTTCTCTGCCACATGTCCAGGCTGCAAATTCTCCAAACTTTGATCCTCTGCTTTCCTTTTAAATATAAATTTCATCTTTAAGTCATTTTTTGTCTCCCACATCTGAGCATAGGTTTTTAGAAGCAGTCAGACCACATCTCGAATGCTTTGCTGATGGAAATTTCTTCCACCAGATACCCTAAGTCATCTCTCTTAAGTTCATACTTCAACAGATCCCTGAGGAATGGAGATAATACAGCCAAGTTCTTTGCTAAGGCACAACAAGGATGATCTTTGCTCCAGTTCCCAAAAAGTTTCTCATTTCCATCTGAGACCTCATCAGCCTGAACTTCACAGTCAACATCACTATCAGCATTTCAGTTACTACCATGTAACAGTCTCTAAGGATTTCCAAACTTTCCCTCATCTTCCTGTCTTCTGAGCTCTCCAAACTCTTCCAACCTCTATCTGTTACCCAGTTGTAAAGCTGCTTCCACATTGTCAGGTATCTTTATAATAATGGAGGGATGACCTAACACAAAAATTGGTATCAGAAGTGAGTTATTGCTGAAAAGAATCAGATCTTGTGAAAACTCATTATCCTGAAGATAGCACAAAGCCATAAAGGGTCTACCCACATGATGCAAACACATCCCACTAGGTCCCCCCCTCCAACACTGGGGATTACATCTCAACATGAGATTTGAAGGAGACATCCAAACTATATCAAGCAGTAAGCATTTACTTTTTCTTATGAATCTATGTGTCACCTGGGCTGTCCTTACAGCATTTCTCATGTATTTGTGGACAGCTGGTATGCTGGCTGAAATTGCGAGGTTTAGGACAGCCTCCCACACATGCCTGGCAGTTGTCTGCTGGGGGCAATGGTAGTGGCTGAGAGATTGCATGCCTTTCATCATCCAACAGGTTAGCTTAGGCTTACTGATATTGCAGTAACAGGGGTCCAGAAAAAGATCAAAGCATGCACAGCATTTTGAGGTCTAGGCATGAATTCAGAATACCATATTGTGCCTTTTTTTTTGCCAGTGCAAGTCACAAGTTTAGCCCAGATTAAAGAGGTGGAGAAACATAGTCTACCTCCTGATCAGAGAATGTTCAAAATCACACTGCAAAGAGCATGATACAAGGAGTAAAAAATCAAGGGCATGTGTGCATAAAAATCAAGGGCATGTGTGCATTCTCCCAGTGATTGTTCAAAAATTGGCTTTAGTTGATTACCATGCCTTTTATCCACACCATTGCCAGAGTCTCATCATGAGCACATTGCATTTCCTCAGTCTGGCTTTATTGTTGCCCATGTACCTTGATTTGGCTATAACATGCAGGTGGAAGTCCAAGTGTGTCAATTCTGAACCTAGGCCTTAGGAAAACTTGTCTGTTCTGCTTGTCCGCTTTTTATTATTTTTATTTTTGGTGGGTACATAGTGGGTGCACATATTTATGAGTTGCATGAGATAGTTTGATACAAGCATGCAGTCTGTAATAATCACATACAGGTAAATGGGGGTATCTATCCCCTTAAGCATTTATCCTTTGTGTTACAAATAATCCAATTATACACTTTTGTTATTTTTAAATATACCACTAAACTATTTTTGACTATAGTAACTCTATTGTGCTGACAAATACTAGCTCTCATTCATTCTTTCTATTTTTTTTTTTCCCATAAGCATCCCAGATTCCTTACACACTCCCCCACACTTCCCAGCCTCTGGTAACCAAATCTCTACTCTTTATCTCCATAAGTTTAACTATTTTAATTTTCAGTTCCCACAAATAAGTGAGAACACATGAAATTTGTCTTTTTTTGCCTGATTTATTTTACTTAACAAAATGACCTCTAATTCTATCTATGTTGTTGCAAATGACAGGATCTCATTTTTTAATATGGCTAAACAGTACTCCATTGTGTATATATACCACATTTTCCTTATTCAGTCATCTGCTGGTGGACACTTAGGTTGCTTCCAAATCTTGGCTATTGTGAACAGTGATGCAATAAACTTGGGAGTGCGGATACCTCTTTTATATACTAATTTTCTTATACTAATTTTTTAAATACTAATTTATATACTAATATACATACCTAGGAGTGGGATTTCTAGATTTTGTGGTAGGTCTATTTTTAGTTTTTCGAGGAACCTCCATACTGTTCTCCATAGTGATTGTACTAGTTTATATTCCTAGCAACACTGTATGAGGGTTCCTTTTTCTTTGCATCCTTGTCAGCATTTGTTATTGCCTATTCAGATTTTGGATTTCTTCATGGTTTAATCTTCGTGGGTTGTAAGTGTCTTTTATCCACACTATTGCCAGGGTCTCATCATGGACACATTGTAATTCCACACTCTGGCTTTACTGTTGGCCATGTACCTTGATTTGGCTAAGACATGCAGGTGGAAGTCAAGGAATTTATCAATTTCTGCTATATTTTCCAATTTATTGACATATAGTTGCTCATAGTAGACACTATTTATCTTTTAAATTTCTGCTGTATTAGATGTAATGTCTCCTTTTTCATCTCAGATATTATTTGAGTCTTCTCTCATTTTTTCTCAAGTGTGGCTAAAGGTGTGCCAATTTTGTTTATCTTTCTTAAAAAACTTATTTTATTTCACGGATATTTTATATTGTTTTCTTCATTTCAAATTTATTTATTTATGGTATGATCTTTATTTTCTCCTATTAATTTTAGGTTTGGTTTTCTCTTGCTTCTTCCATTCTTTAAGATGCATTGTTAAGTTGTTTATTTGAAGTTTTTCATGTTTTTTGATGTAGGTACTTAATAGCTATAAACTTCCCTGCTTGTCCTTTTTACATCTTGTCATTGCCATATGGAAAACAAGTCCCAGAAGAAGGATGAGAGAAGTGTGGAGCAAGATCCAGCCTGCTGAATTGCACTGTGAAAAAGATGATCCCAACCACCACAGCCTCAGAAGAGACATCTCTGCTGATCCACAGGTTCATAAGTATGGACAGCATTATTGGCAATGGTTGCAATAACTACATGATATACCAAAGAGATTATAGTGTGAAAGATACACAAGATCACTTCCTTCATGGAGCCTGCAATCCAATAGGGAGAAATACATATAAATGAATAAACAAAAATATATTAAAATAATTCATATTATGAGTAAAGTGAAATGAGCAAGAGGCTGGTAACAGAGCTTGTTTTACAAGGGTGACTAAAGACTGCTCACAATTTTTTTTTGCATTTTTAAATACATGTCGGTGGTGTCAACATAGCTTCAGTCACAGAAGCCTGTGCTACAGAAAATGGTTGTCACTTTACTGCAATTTTTTTAAAGATGCCCTAGTTCTTAAACTTTAACTGTGGCTCTGACAATTCTCAATATAGTTTAATATTAGTGAATAATAAAATGACTGGCATATGGTGAATATGCCAATAACTAAAAGTTGGTATAATTTTAGAACATCATAGTGGGTTATAAGTAAAATATTGCGGCTCATTTTACTTTTGTTAATGAGTCAGAAAAAATTTATGTATGTTCAATGTTTTACTCGCTTGTTCTGGCATATTTGGGCAAACTGAAATTTATGTGCCACTGTGCCACTGCCATCCTTGAGCACACCACTAGGTTTCACTGAAAATGAATAATTACTGCTTCTTGGCCAGATGGACAATTCCAAAATAAACAGAAGAAATCCTAAAGCAACATTAGCTTGGCTTCCAATAATGAGTTTTAGAGAAAAGAATAAAGCTTTCTCACCTACAGTGATTTTGATTCATCCTTTAAATAGAAGATATTCCACATTTTCATTTAGCTTACTTCAGCCCAATAAGTATTTATCGAAAGCTAAACAGGAAGAAGAGAAGGAAGAGAGAAGGGGAGGAGGAGAAGGAGTAGGAGGAGAGAATTAGGAGGACGAAGAAGAGGAAAGACATAACGGAGGAGGTCAGTCTAAAAGGTAAGAGTCAACGCCTATACCAAAAGGTGAAATAGAAGATGTCTGAATCATTAATTGTCATACCACCAGCTTATCCCACAATGAGCTCTGATCATTATAAATTTATATTTATACCATTTTGACTAAATCCCAATTTCTTTGATATTACCAATATATTAAATATTTAATATATTAAAAGTGAGTGTCATCATTTTTCCAGGCAGCCTTTCCTGCCTAACTATACCCCACAATTACCAATATCTGACTTTAAGTTTGATTTGTAGATCACATTCTACCCATTAACTCTTTTGGATTTGCCTTTTTGGTGGTTCAGGATTACTCTCTACTCAGTTTGTGTTGGTTTACTCTATAAAGTTCTTCTATCTCCAAAGGAAAGATAAAAAAGTCCACTTCTTCTTTTGCCACTGAAGATGCCTAGATCTTTGCTGGAAACAAGCCAGTCCCCATCACTGGAATCTATCAGCATGCTGGAATGAATACGCAGCAAGGCAGACTTGACATGAAGCAGAGAGAGTTAACATATTGCTCGATCACCACTGTTTTCTAAATCAGAATGTGGCCTTGTCCATATGCACGTGGCCCGCAGGCCTAGTCATTATCCTTCCTTGCCCTCTGTGTAGGACAGACAGGCACAGTTGGTCTCAACTTTCAGACTTTGACCTACTTCATTCAAATATTCCTATAAAATGGTTCCTGACTTCATAATTTTCATCAGTTTCTTTGCCTCCAGAAATGAATGACTTCTGTTAGAAGCAATGATATGTTAAAAATTAACTAATTGCCAAATAACACTTGGGAAATCATTATTACAAACAAGTATCAGTTGCCAGTAACTAGACTTTCTGTTTCTTATCTCAAATCTGGATTAAGGACATCTACTGGTAAATAAATATACATCTCCTCAAGACATCACTATCACAATTGCTATTTCATGCCTGTCTGGAGTCATAATCTTTCCTTTGGTTACAAACTTATACCTTTGCTTATCCTGAAACCTTAGTGACATTATTTTGCATAGGAAAATGCAGAGGAAGTTTCAAATTGTTGGAAAACCATCTGGTACCAGGACGTGAGGCAGACACCTAATAGTTGCAGAGCCCATGAGCAACAGGTGGGCAATCACTGTTTATTATTATCCACCATGTGGGAAATCATATTTTATTTGATTTTTTTGAGATTTGAGCTGTTGTAATGATTCCCAGAAGGAGAATATGCCCTCACTAGACCTGAGCTGGGCTCATGCCTACGGTCATGTTATGCTTTCCTGATGATGTGGTCCCACCATGCTCACATCAAAGTGACATTTCACAGTCTGGCTTCCACCTCTGTCTGGCTCTGAAATAGAGGAGGGCCCACAATGCCATGCACTGGCCCTGATTTGAAATGCACATAATTTTGAGGAAAGTGTGACCACCAAAGGGAAGAGAGGAAATACCATGGGGAGCTATTTAAATCATACTTATGCAGAGAGGTCTGGATAGAAGGGGTGGGAAAATGAGAGAGAATAGGGAGAATAAAGCAGTGAGGAGAAAGAAAAGGCCCTATGTCTTGAGTCCATTGCTCCAGTTTTCTAACTGTGAGCTTCTTAGTAATGTCAGTGCTCCCATCATAAAACCCCAAGGATTCTTCAAAGATTCCGTGAAGAAATACACAGCTCCTGGTCACATTTTGGCTGTTTCTCAAGAAAGCCGGAACTCTTCTCTCGAACCCCTTGGTTATCTCAAGGACTTGCACAATAGAAATGGAAAAAAAACACCACATGAAGACAAATTTACACACCCTGTCTCCCTTCCTTATGTAGCACCAACACTATTATTACCAGATAAAAATTAAATACTGATAATTTGGGGCCCGGACTCAATTTTATTATTTATTCAAGATTCAATTAGACATTAAGTCATGTCTGCTCCTCCTGCTACATGCTGGGATTTTGCTTTGAAGGGAAGGCAAAAGAAGGGACGGGGCATGATAGAAGACAATATACCTATGCAGAACTCTTTTCAGCACCATGGACAGTTGTCCTTAGACTAGTTGTCCAGTACCTGTGAGAAACACATTTGCAAAAAATATCACCTATCAATTCCTTTAAAGTTATCCTTAAAAATCATTTTGATCTTTACTACTCTAATTTTTATATAGATCCCTTTGGTAGTCAAAATTATATCAGTAATGTGAGAAACTTTAGGGCCAATTTAGCAAATGATGTTAGCTTCTTTAATAGAAATTTTTCGAGTGCAGCATTATTTCTTTTCAATAAAATTTAATTGTATCTATGACCTCATTAGTAATATAACTTGCTTTATATAAATAAATGTTTACATCTACTCCATATACATCTACTCCATTTTTATAATTAGTGTAACACTAAGGAAACATCAGGAACTTTGCATGCTCTGGCCCACTGACTCGCATTAACAGTTTAAATTATAATGTTCAACAGCAGAGTAGGGTGACATAGATAGCAACAATACATTGTGTATTTCAAAACAGCTAGGAGACAGGATTTGAAATGTTCCCAAAACATAGAGATGATACGTACTCAAGGTGATGGATACTTCAAATACCCTGGCTTGATCATTACATATTCTATGTATGTAACAATTACTCTCATGTACCCAATAAATATATAAAATAATATGTATCAATAGGTTTATATGTTAAAAACTAGAGGTTCTAGAGTATCACCCTGGACCAACCTGGACCATAATTTTGAAACTGACTCCTGGGCCAACCATGCATTTAGAAGAAGCAAAGGAGCTTCTTTAAATCACCAGTCTCCCCAATTATTTGTTCTAGTTTCTAGTTGATTTTAACTCTTGTCATGGCTATTAGTTACATGTTGTTATATGCTGAGCTAAAAGAAAAGAGATGTTAAACATAGAACAATGAAACAAGGAAAAAAAGTCTTTGGTTTTAACCTCAGAAATGATATTAACTAGCAAGGTGATCTTGGCAAGTCATTTAACTCTTTGGACCTCCATCTCTTGAAATAGAGTGCTTTAAATTTCTACATTCCATTCCAGCTGAAAATAGGTATATTTGTGTATATTTTTAGTAGCCAAATTAATAACCTAAAATTAATCACATTCATGATTTTAAACCATTCTACCATCAACTGGAATTCAGCAGCATTTCAGTTTTCTGTAGCTAGTTTAATGTTTAAGGTTTAATGTCAATTATCATCATGACAATTTTCAATTCAGATAGTTCTATTACATATAATGAAAACCTTAAACCCAGTTAATAACTTCTATAAACAGAAAGGAAAGAAAGAATTGTTTTGTGTTATACTTAATAATAAAAGCTATGGGGAGAGCAAGATGGCCAACTAGATATAGCCAGATGGAAGAGCTGCCACTGAGGGACTGAGACAACTGGCATACTCCTAGCATCACCCTGATACCAAAACCTGGCAGAAACACAAAAACAACAACAAAAAGAAAATGTCAAGCCAATATCCTTGACGTACATAGATGCAAAAATCCTCCACAAAATACTGGCAAACCAAATCCAGCAGCACATCAAAAAGCTAATCCACCATGATAAAGTAGGGTTTATCGCCCGGATGCAAGGTTGGTTCAACATACACAAATCGATAAATGTGATTCATCACATAAACAGAACTAAAGAAAAAAACCACATGATTATCTCAACATGCAGAAAAGCCTTTTGATAAAACTCAATATCACTTCATGTTAAAAATTCTTAATAAATTAGACATTGAAGGAACATACTTCAAAATAATAAGATCCATCTATGATAACCCACAGTCAACATCATACTGAATGGGCAAAAGCTGGAAGAATTCCCCTTGAAACACAAGACAGGGATCCCCTCTCTCACCACTCCCATTCAACATAGTGTTGGAAGTCCTGGCCAAAGCAATTAAGCAAGAGAAAGAAGGGAAACCAAATAGGAAGAGAGGCAGTCAAACTGTCTCTGTTTGCAAACAACATAATTCTACATAGTCTCACCACAAAAGCTCCTTAAGCTGAGAAACAACTTTAACAAAGTCCCAGGATACAAAATCAATGTGCAAACATTACTAGCACACTTAAACAACAATGAAAGTCAAGTCAAGAGCAAAATCAGGAATGCAATCACATTCAAAATTGCCACAGAATAATAAAATACCTTGGAATATATCTAACCAGGCAGGTGAAATATCTCTACAAGGAGAACTACAAAACACTATCCAAAGAAATAAGAGATGACAGAAACAAATGGAAAAACATTCCATGCCCAGGAATAGTAAGAATCAATATTGTTAAATGGCCATACTGACCAAACAATTTATAGATTGAATGCTATTCTTCTTAAACTATCAACAGCATTCTTTACAGAACTAGAAAAAACTATTTTAAAATTCATATGCAACCAAAAAAAAAAAAAAAGCCCAAATAGCCAGGACAATCCTAAGCAAAAATAACAAAACTAGAGGCATCAGGCCTGGTGTGGTGGCTCACGCCTGTAATCCCAGCACTTTGGGAGGCCTAGATGGGCGGATCTTGAGGTCAGGAGATTGAGACCATCCTGGCTAACATGGTGAAACGCTGTCTCTACTAAAAATTCAAAAAACTTAGCCAGGCGCAGTGGTGGGCGCCTGTAGTCCCAGCTGCTCGGGAGGTTGAGGCAGGAGAATGGCGTGAACCCGGGAGGTGGAGCTTGCAGTGAGCAAAGATGATGCCACTGCGCTCCAGTCTGGGCAATGGAGTGAGACTCCGCCAAAAAAAAAAAAAAAAAAAAAGCTGGAGGCATCATGCTACCAGACTTCAAACTGTACTGCAGGGCTACAGTAACAAAAACAGCATGGTACTGGTACAAAAACAGACACATAGACCAATGGAACAGAATAGAGAACTCATAAATAAGACTGATATCTACAACTATTTGATCTTCTACAAACCTGACACATACAAGCAATGGGGAAAGGACTCTCTATTCAATAAATGGTGCTAGGGTAACTGGTTAGCCACATGCAGAAGATTGAAACTATACCCTTTCCTTTCACCATATACAAAAATTAACTCAAGGTGAATTAAACACTTAAAATGTAAAACCAAAGTTAAAAAAAAAACTCTGGAAGACAACCTAAGCAATACCATTCTGGACACAGGAACTGGCAAAGATTTCGTGATGAAGACATGAAAAGCAATTGCAACAAAAGCAAAAATTGACAAATAGGATCTAATTACACTACAGTGCTTCTGCATAGCAAAATAAACTATCAACAGAGTGAACAGACAACCTACTGAGTAGTGGGGAATTTTTTTTTTTTTTTTTTTTTTTGCAAACCATGCATCTGACAAAGGCCTAATACCCAGCATCCGTAAAGAACTTAGACAAGTTTACAAGAAAAAAAAAAAACCATTAAAAAGTGGGCAAAGGGCATGAAGAGACACTTTCCAAAGAAGACATACATGCAGCCAACAAGCATATAAAAGAAAATTCTGTATGCTGTGAAATTATTCTCCAAAGTGAAGGAAAAATAGAATCTGTCTTGACAAACAAAAATTGAGGGAATTTATTGTCAGTAGACCTGCCTTGCAAATAATGTTAAAAGACATTCTTTAAAGAGAAGAAATGTGAAATAGGTCAGAAATTCTGATATAGATAAAGGAAGAACATTATAGAAAGAATAAGTGAAGGTAAAATAAAAAGTCATTTTTTCTTATTCTTAATTGATATAACATAAAACATTATGACCAAAAGATAGTAGCAACAACGTATTTGAGTTATAGCTTATGTATAAGTGAAATGAATGACAGCAATGACACAAGACATGGGAGGAAAAAATTAAGAATAGCTTGTTATCATATGTTACTTAAATTATCCGTGAAGCAGTATACTGTTATTTCAAAGTGGACCTGGATTAGATGTTGTATATTACAAACTCTATAGCAACCACTCAAAAAAATAAAAAGAGAAGCATAATTGGTGTTCTAAGAAAGGAGATAAAATGAAATCATATAAAATGAATTAAATGTTCAATTAAAATCACATATGACAGAAAAAGAGCAGAAGACAAGAACAATGAATAGAAAACAGTAACAAATATTGTAGATATTAATCCAATTATATCAATAATCACTTTAAAATTCAACCATGTAAATACAGTAATTAAAAGGCAGAGATTGTCAAAGTGGATTTAAAAATAAGACTTAATTATCAATTGTCTATAAGAAATTTACTT
Source organism: Homo sapiens (assembly GCF_000001405.40). Classification (NCBI taxonomy): domain Eukaryota; kingdom Metazoa; phylum Chordata; class Mammalia; order Primates; family Hominidae; genus Homo; species Homo sapiens. The sequence continues at coordinate 108,143,909 of NC_000002.12, forward strand.
GAAATATAAAGACACATATATATTAAATGTAAAGAGATGGAGAATGACTCCAAGCATATCACATTGTGGAAAAGGGGAAATTACGCAGACGGTAAAAAGACCAGTGGTTGCCAGAGGTTAGGGAAGGAGAGGAAAGAATAGGCAGAGCACAGAGGATTTTTAGGGTAGTGGAACTACCCTGTATGATACTAGGCAGGTGAATATATCTCATTCTACTTTTGTCACAAGCCAAAGAATGTGCAAAACTGGAAGCATATCTTAAGCTAAACTATGGACTTTGAGTGATAATGTGTCAATACAGATTCAGCAACTGGAACAAGTGTACTACTTTGGTGCAGAGATACTGATAGTGGGGGATGCATGGGTGTGTCAGGGAAAGGGGCATTGAAATATCTCTGTACTCTCTGCTCTATTTTGCTGTGAATCTAAAACTACTCTAAAAGCTAAAGAATATTTTTAAATTAAAAAAATAAAACCTGCCAAAAATATTTGACAGACCAGATACAATTAGTTAGATAATCTGCCAAGATAAAAATATCAATTATGTTTTTACAAAGGTATTCATTTTCCTCCAAATATCTCTCCATCGGGATCCATTAAGGTCTTTGAGGCTATTGCCTAAAGCCAGGGGGAAAGAGGTGATTGGCTTGGCATTTTAACTCTGCTCTTGTTTTCTCAAATGGATATCAAATATAGCAACTGATAAGACATGTGGGGATAGATGTTATGCCACCTCTTCCTTATGAATGCCTAGTAAAAGAGTTTGCTGTGTCATAGGTTGCTTTGCAAACCAGTTCTTTCTGCAGCTCCTACATCCAGCTGACAAAGGTCTTTCATAGTCAGGGATGGGAGTTTCAAAACTGACTCTATGGAATTCAGAGGATGAGTCCGCATGGGGTAAAGAGTGTCTGAACCTACACAGAGTAGGGCCTCGACAAGTTCTGTGGAATTACAAAATGCTACCCAACCTGAAAATATAATTTGATATGCAAATAAATAAGTTTGCAAATTCTACTGAGAATCTTGATGAGCAATAAAAGGAACTGTTAATGCTGGTGGGAAAATCCTGGGTGCCTACACCATTTCCTAATGAAACTTGAAGATTTGACCATTCTGTCCATTTCCATCCTTGTTTGAGTGGTGTATAAGTGTTTTACCCCGCATTCAGTTCTACCAAAATTAACTGTGAGCCATCGTGTTGCTACATTGTGTTTATCCAATTTGTGAATAAGTAAAAGGGAGTAATATGACCAAAAACATCAAGATACAGACCCAAAATGGAAACATTTTAAATGTTAAAATAGTACCTTACATCTACTCCACATTTCTACCTTGAACAATTACCATGTTGATGGGTTAACTTTTATAAACCGTTAGAATCCTACTAAGATGCCTGTTAAAATTTTATTTTCACTGTTACTTAATTCATGATGAAAATGTCCTTATGTACATTAATAGACTAAATCCTGACATTAAGAACTCTGAAGTAGAGCAACAGCATATCTATACAAAGATTTCTAATTTTATATTATCTTTGTTCCATACACTTGCTGTGACTTTACTTGGAATAGTCACATTTCTTCATCAGCGTCATTGTCCATAGGTTTCCAAATTAAATGCAATTACTTAAAAGGAATCAATAACACAGCTAAGACAGCTCAGACCCTGGGTGGTTCCTAAAATAAGTTTCTATCTTTTTTACCAGAACAATGTCTAGTCAAGTTTGAAGAATATTTTAAGAGGCCCTAAATCAGATTAAGTGCTGGCTTTCAGGTCTTGATATCTCGGAATGCTGCCAGATAGCAATCTCTGCTATTGAGTCATTTTACATTAGGAGAGCTTGTTCTGATGATGCCCAAATGACTCATGGCTTCTAATTCTCTTAAAGAGAGCCATGAGACCTGCAATGTTAATTACATTATGGGACCGGGTGGAGGAGGACCATTTCTTTAATGGAAATGGATCCAAATTATGCATCTCAGGCTCCTGTGTGCAGAGTATTTTGGAGTACAGGCTTGTTCTAACAAGGAAGGCATTTTAGTCTCATGGCACCAGAGTTGTTACAGTTTCTACTTTGCAAATATATCTTTAATGAATGAAATACTAATTAGTATGACCAGAGTAATTAGAACATGTGGAATTTGGCCTCCTCTAGCCTAGGATGCCAGGAAACAACTGTATTGGGCAGCAGCTCCTGGGTGCTTGCATGGTGTACTGAGTGCAGAATTCATTCTGAAAGGACAGTTTTATAGGAAATAGCCATTTACCCTGAGTATGAATGATGGGTCTGGTACCCAGCTTGCTCCAGACAATATTTGTTTGATGGAAGGAGATTTTGTTATGCCTTAACCATAAAGACACTACCTACATTAATCAAGAATTATTTGAATTTTGTGTTTTTAAAAGAATGAATCAAAGGAGTTTTATTTCATGAGCTTTGTCTGGAAATACTGAGCTTTATCCACAAGAAAATCTCTTCCACCTCTCATTTCATACATCTGCTTTGGTGGTTCACACTGAAACAAAGGAATCAAATTATATCAATTCAAAAGCCATATTCCTTAGATGCTGTGTAGGTTGTACAGATACTGAGTTTTATTTTCCACTTACCCAGAGCATACCTGGATTATGGGTTATCAAATGCTTTGAGAGGGTTTTAGCTTTGTAAAGGCTATACAGAATGTATTAAGTTTAGTTCTGTTAAATAATGAGAACAACCTTATCCGCCACTCTGAGTTTTAGGAGCAACTTGTGACAGAAGACAAAATGAAAAGGTACTAATTCATTAATTTGCAACCTTATAAGTCAAAAGACTACCTTTCCCTAGATACAAAGTTGTAAAACCAAACAGAGGAGCTGGGATTAGCTGACCTTATAGCCGGGAAGAAAAGGCCCCAACATGTCTGACCCTCTAAGTAACACAGACAAAGGGAGGATCCTACAGAGATAGTTTTCCTGAAGACCAGGAGAGATCAGCTACTCAGGCACAGAAAAGCCATGCCTCCGAGACACATAGATAAAGGAGAGAAGCCGAGAGAAGCCTCTCTTGAGTCTGCTGTCTCAGATTCCACTTTGGGAGGCTTGTATTTGTTTTGTTTCATATAATTTAAACTACACAAATAGTTAAAGAACACATTCAAATAACAGAGTTAAAATGAAAATTCTCCTTCATTGTCCTCTCCCATATTCCAGGAACCTCCCCAGAGATGACTATTGACTATTATATGGTAAACAATAATTAAGTTCATTTCTTTTTTATGTTTTGCTGACTTTCAGTTATATACACATTTTGTTGTTATGAAAGCATATTCGTAAACGTAGATTATATATGGGTGTCTATATATGCATTATAAATATATACACACACATAAATATGTTTATTAGTTTGCTTTATTTTAACTGTTCAAATATATGGTACACGGATCTCCACTTGTACTCCTGCCCTGCAAAAGGGTTGGGCCTGCCTAGTCATTTCTGACACTATATTTTGTTTTATTTTGTATATTTATATTTGTATCTCACCTATGTTCAAAAATTTCAGAGGTAATTTACAAAAAAAAACATATTCATATAGATACAGTGTAGCCAAAGATGAAGCTATCAGAAATTATATAGTCTGTTTGCCAAAAATATTCACAGTGAAATATTATATAAAAGTATATTAAAATATAAAAAGCTCTAGAAAGTCAAAGAAAATAATTTAAGTAAGTTAACAACTTTTAACTTTGTTGCAGTGCTTGCTGTTACACTGAGCCCAAACAGAAGCAGTAATGAGTTTCTTCTTAATGGAAAGTGGGAAACACAAATTCCTTAAGCAAAATTCTAAAATGATATTCTCATGTGGAAGTCTACAGTAGCATTTTTATAGCAAATGTAATAGTGAATTACGTATGACTTTTATTTTTGGTGTAGTCTTACAATAAGAGTTGAAATAAATTAAAATGCAGGTTATGAAAATGATTCTGTTATCCAGGCAGTGACCTGGTTATTTAATGTGTATTAGAGAAAGCCAAGAGTTTGCCATCACCCACAAATTTGATGGTAGTTTTCTAAATCTCTGATGAATAGGGCAGGCCATAACCAGGGAACTATTGTTTTTGACTGTTCTTGACTGAGCACAAGCAGATGAAGAACTAGAAAATGCTCAGTGCCTGGTAGATTTCGTTTCCGCAGACCTGAATAGGATCAGTTCCTCTTGGCATAAAGGGATATTGGGTGATGCTGTTACTGAATGCTCTTAGCCATTCTGGAAATGTTACTGGCTGGTCTGGAAGTTCCACCAATTTTTCTGTCCTTGCCTTCCTTCTGTAATTTCCCCCAGAGCCCTTGGTCCAAGTCTGAGAACAGAATACTTTTGTATTAAATTTACCTTAATTAAACCAATGTATACACTAAGATAAAAGAGCACCTATTGCCAGCAAATCCATTTAGAGATTTAAAAATATTTACCTCTTACTAAGTATGGCAGGCTCTGCATATTTAGTCAGAATGATAAAATTTTCTCAAAGACTTACAATCAGGTTCAGCTACAGTAGTTTTCATTGTGGGAAATATAATTTAAAATTATTATGAAGGGAGAAAATATAATAAATTCATTATTCCATTCCTGCCCCTTCAAAAACAAAAAACAAAAATCAAAAACCCTTTTTCCAGACTTGGGCTCATCACACAGTCCCCATGTTAATCCCCACATTAGACGTTCTGACAAGGTACTCCATCCTCTCTCAGCAGGGTCTATGTGTGCGGCACACTTTGAAATCTTTGATTGAAGTGTTGCCACTTTATAATTTCATTTTTCGTGGATAACAAATATGAGAATTCATTTGGGGATCAAAATAGAACATCTCGATGCTAGACTTGACGTTATCATTGTCGAGCTGTCAAAAGAAAAACTGATGAGATGGCAGATTATCTTGTTAAAAGAGCCTCAATTCAGTGGTTTGGAACTTACAAGCAATTTAGCCACACTGTCTGCAAGCCCATCTAATAGTGGGGCATCATTTGAAACAATACATACATGTTAAATATGGGTTTTATTGATGAAACAAAGTCCATGAGCTCATTAAGTATGGACAGGTTTGGGGTCTCACATAAGTAAGATCACTTTTAATATCAAGTTTGTAAAGATTTAAGAATACTACTGTGCAAGACTATTCCACAATGTAAGGAATGTAAAGATCTTGCATAGGTTGTACTTTACCATTGAAAATAAATATTTGATATACAACCAGGTACTTCATTATTTCAAATCTATAGTCATTTTAAATACCCTTTAACTCAAAATTTTTACATTGTTGACGGTTGTTATAATAAAGTCAATTAAAGATTTCAAAAGACATTATATGCATGGGCCACCTTCTCTTTTCATATGCAACAAGAAGTAAAATGGGAACCCTCTTTCAAACCAGCAACTGCTCACAACTAATAGTGGTATGAGTAGGTATTTGTATTTCCACTGAGCATATGTGTATAAATGTTCATTCATTCATCTCACCAACAGTTATTGTGTACAATTTTCTTCTGTGGATGTAAGCAAAGTTCATTAGGCTGATGGAGGGCAACTAATTTTTGCATTAGGTCACACTTAGCTCCCAGATCCCTCACGTCTCTCCTTTCTACTCTGCCTTCTGAACACACTACATCTACCAGCTCCTGGGTTTTTTTTTACACTCTTCCATGTGGGAAAGGGGAGCATTTATGATTCTCAAGAAACTGTGATTTAAGGTTTTTAATCACTTTTTATGATATTGTACTTCTTTAAAAGACTATAGAAAAGGACCTCAAAAGAATAAAAAGTTTGATGGTAAAATTTCAGGTCATGAAATATTTCTCCTTGAACTAGAAATTGTCTGAATCTTTTCCAGTAATTCTTAAAATCACTTGTGCAAAAATCACTTGTCCTTTATTCTTTCAATATGGTCCATTTTGTTAACCTAACCATAAACCAGTCTCACTATTTACATATGCGGTGTTTGAAGAATCCCAACATCTTATTCTCCACTGAGCTTGGGATCAGTTGAGAGATATAAATGAGTGTTGGACAGAGTTTATTGTTGATCAAACTGGAACAGAAGATTTGTTTTAGATGTGCAGCTGCAATGGACCAAAATAAACATATGTCCCCAAACTACAGGCAAAGCAAGAAGGTAGACCAACCATTCTGCAGGCAGACTGACTCAGAGAGAAAAGAGGCAGCCAGGACAACATTCTCAGCTGCTTGTCCTAAATTCATCAAGGGAAAAAGTCATTCTGCCCACCAGGGAGAGTAAGTAGAGTGGGCACAGAGGGCAGGAGCTTAGTCTAGCTCATGAGATCAACGAGCAAAATGGAAGAAATGTTACATTTAATGAGCACTTACTGAGAGCCTGAAATACAGTTCCAAACTTTATCTTGAGTATCTTGCTCTATTTTTGTTAAAGTCCCATGAAATAGGTATTATCCTCTATTACACTTTAGGAAAGAGAATCTCAGAGATATGGTAACTTGCCCAAGTAGCAGAGCTAGGATTCAAACTCAGATTTCTCTTAATCAAAAGCCAGAATACTACCTATCTCCATGCATTGCTTTCCAGTACCTTATCAAGAAAAAAAAAAATTTCCTCCCTCAAGATGTGCTCATATTTTAAGTGGATAAAATATGTATGTATATTATTTTCAGTATTGCATTAGTGACAGCTGTAGATTGTTTTCAAATCAAAAATCTTGAAATGAACTCTATCAAGAAAAGAAGAAGCAGAACATCTACATGGGCATTCAGTTCCCACTCGATCTGTTGGTGGTCACGCCTCTCAACATCTGTCTTCAATAGCAGCAGAAAGTAATCACCATAAGATCACTATGCTTTCTCAGTCGGCTGTATCAAATATCTATAATTGCTCTTTAGTTAGATAAAAGTTACCGAGAACAAATAGAAACATTACTGTTATGCCTCATTTCTAAATTAAATATATATGTATTTTAGAAGACACTGAGTTATTTTAAATTATAGATATATATGAAGTGTACACCAGTGGGCCTCTCATCCTTAGGATCACAAAAATAAATCTCAAAATTCAGAGGTATAAAGCCTGGAAAAAAAAGTATCTTTCAGTTTAGGCTTATTAAATGATATGCCTAAGTATTATCACCAGTTGATATCAACTATATTTCAAAATTAAAATTGTGATTAATTGGGTAGTTCAAATTCACTCTAATTTTTTAAAATGATGTTTATTTTCCTTCAGTAAGTCTTTGTGAGGCCCCGAGCCTCACAGATCTGCACTGTGGCATCTCAACTAAATCTGTTCTTATATCCTTCCACTGGGAACCACTTAATAGATAAACTGGTCTCTTTAAGAAAGAAAGGTTGATGGAAAGAGGTTCAAGAAAGTTGTAAAAGCTGATGAAATATCAAACAACACAATTTTTAAATTACTCTTCAAACATAGTGATGAATTGAACAAGGGATGAGACACTAACTAGACTAAGTAAGCTAGAAACATGTACAACAGCAATCTGGCTTCTGGGGTGTCCCTAACTAACTTAAAGGAGAACAATATCAAAGATACAAGCCAACAGTCATGCTCAGTCTCATTTCTCTACGTTGGCCAGAAGTAAAAAATCTAGCCAAGATTAAAATGCTAGCCAAATAGCTATCACAAGATTACAAGCAACAGAAGATCAGATTCTGAGACCAAAAAGGCTTGGGATCAACGCCTGATTTCACCTTGGATTTTCCAATTATAAAATTAGGAAATTAACAAGTACCTTCACTGGGCTGCTTGGACTTGCAGGAGTTCATATACATGTCAAGTACAATGCTGAGACACTGAAAATATTCCTTTCCCTCTCCTCTTCCTAAAGACGCATATCTCATTTCATTCTTTTTTTTTTCTTTTGAGATGGAGTCTCACTCTGTCACCCAGGCTGGAGTGCAGTGGCACAATCTCAGCTCACTGCAAGCTCCACCTCTTGGGTTCAAGTGATTCTCCTGCCTCAGCCTCCCGAATAGCTGGGATTACAGGTGCCTGCCAATATACCCAGTTAATTTTTGTATTTTTAGCAGAGATGAGGTTTCACCATGTTGGCCAGGCTGGTCTCGAACTCCTGACCTCAGGTGATTTGCCCACCTCGGCCTCTCAAAGTGCTGGGATTACAGGCATGAACCACTGTGCCCGGCCTCATTTCATTCTAACAATAACTCTATTAAGTAGATACTCTAGTGATGCCCAGATGAGAAAACTGAGGCACAGAGATTTGTCCCAGTTCACAGACAGAAGTTGTGCTGGAACTGGGAGTGCTGCCTCTACTCTGAGTGGGGGATATGACAACTTTTCTTACAACAAAAGGGCAAGCCAATACTTAGCACATCAGACACTGGTAATAGTTGAGTTCATTAATTAACAAAGTATTCTTACCAAAGCATCTACATTTATTTAGCTTTTGAACTTTAAGCTTATATTTGTCACATAGAGAAGATAATGTACCATGTTTCCATAAAAAGGTAGCATCAGTTTAACGCTCCATCGACTAGATCTGTACTCTTTTCACGTTCTATTTTCTGTTGTTCTCCAGCACCCAGCAGAGTACCAAGACTGGCCTGATTGTCCAGGGGCTGGAGCCAGGCCTGGTTCTGGTGAGTTAAGATGGAGCATTCCTGGTCAAGGCAGAAGACACCTATAGCCAAATGGATGGACAGAACTTAAGCCTGCAGGAGAAGGCTAAGGCTTTTGAGAGAGCACAGACAACCACCAAAGAAGAGTGAGTGGCTCTGGACCAAGAGCTGACAGCAAGGTAGAGATGAGGAAGGTGGAATGTGGGCACAAGAGAAGGGGGAGGGGCTGTAGGCTGCCCAGAGTGCTTCCCTTGAACACCAGCTGATCTTTGAGATGCAAATGTGCAAGCCTAATATTTCTTGATACATAATTGAGATATTTTGACTTAGGTTTCAGAATATCTGAAAGGTGGAAATGGTTTGTGCTTAGAACTGGTCTCTCCATCTGACATGCAGAGTCTAACACGGAGCCAGCTCCCAACTGGAATCAAACCCAGAAGTAAAGAACCAGCCTCTGTCAGTCTGATCTCCCAAGCCCAAATCTATGAAGTGTTTATAAGTGCGACCCCCTTCCAACCCCTTCAAAATGTATGTTTTCATGTCTAAGAGAAAAGATTTGATTAAAAACTAAGGAGCTGCGTGTGGTGGCTCATGCCTGTAATCCCAGCACTTTGGGAGGCTGAGATGGGTGAATAGCTTGAACCCAGGAGTTTGAGACCAGCCTTGGCAGCATGGCGAAACTCTGTCTCTATAAAAAATGCAAAAAAAAAAAAAAAAAAAAAAAAGCCGGGTGTGGTGGTGCAGGCCTGTAGTCCCAGCTACTCAGGGGGCTGAGGCAGGAGGATTGCTTGAGACTGGGAGGCAAAGGGTGCAGTGAGCAGAGATTGAGGTGTTGTACTCCAGCCTCAGCAACAGAGGGAGAGTGTCTCAAAAAAAAAAAAAGAAAAGAAAAGAAAGAAAGAAAGAAAAAGAAAAAAGAAACTAAGGTAATGGTAATGTATTATGTTTATGCAGATATATAAACATAATTTTATACATAATTTTATATTAAGATCTCAAGGTCCTAATGCTCCCTCGTCTCTCCCTGCCTGGTGAGTACAGAAGACAATGACTCAAATAATGAATAGGAAGGCACATACCAGAAGGTCCCTGTGAATCTGTGGTGACCCATGGCCTTCATCAAGGATATCCTTTTCTAGGAGAGCTTGGCTTTCATCAAGTATGTAGTCAGTAAGAAAACCAAGAGTCTGTTATAAAACTAAAGCCGTCCTGGAAGAAGCTGAGATACTTTAAACAGTGTCTGGATCTGACAGATAATACTGGCTATCAATTATTGAACAATTAAGTTCATGCTAGATATCATTCATTATATGCATACATACACACACCCACACATGCACATGCATGCACATACACACGTACACATACATGCATGCACGTACCCACATATACACACACATACACACATTATCACACTTATCACAATATCATATTCACTCCTTAAAGTAATCCTATCAAACTGAGGATATTATTTTCTCAATTCTGATTGATGAAATTGAGCTTCAGAAATGTTGAACAATACACCAAAATATGCACAACTGGTGGATCTATGCTTTAAAGCCAGACTTCCAAAGTTTATCCTTTTAACTCTTGTGCTATACTGCATCTAGGCAAAATGCCCACCTTTGGGACTGTTTCAGAGTGTCTGTTGTTTTCAATTCCTTCAAACTAATAAGAACCAGCCTGAGCCCAGGTCCCTGTCAACCCCACATGTTTCCCTTTCAGTCCCAAATCTGTCCCTGGAGGAGGTAAGCTCCTCAAATCTGGTTACATAGGAATGTGCAAGCCCAACCTGTATCTATTCTCAGTCTTTTTCATATTTATCAACAACATAAATTTTTTCTTAATATACGGCTGGGAGACCTACAGCAACTCAGCACTGAAGCAGTTAAGTTTATTATGTTACATCTAAGAGGAGTCCTGAAAACTTACTCTTGGCTTTTTCCCTTTTCTTTTTTCTTTAGTCAACCCCTGTAATCAATCACCAGTAGATCATTATACTGGCCACAAAGCAAACACATCACAGTCGCAGTTGCTATTTCCATTGACTGAACATAAAGCCTGTGAGGCGCAGCATCCGGTGGAGGGCCAGGGATTCAGCATGGCTTAGCATTGCAGGCACCCTTTCCTGTGGGCTCTAAGGAAAGCAAGCTGTCTTTCCTGGCACCTCTTATTTTGTCCTACAGGAACATTGCAGGGTTGAAAATTTAAAATAATCCAGCTAATGCAGAATATTTCCTCTGCCCCCCACTGAGCCTACTCTGAATTTGTGCCAAAATAGCTATCAGTGGTGACTGAAAGTATGAGATGGCCAAGATGACATTCTCTCAGGAACAAAGAGAGAAGCACCTTTCCACCCTGGGCTCATCAGCGCTAATGAAAGATCAGCAAAAAGCCCAGCCAGGAGTAGGATAAAGAACCAGGAGACAGACAGCTCAAGAACATTTCTTCTGATTAATTCATCAGTTGCATGTGATATGAAAGAATCAAGCAGAGTATTGTTTTTTTCACGTTGCTTTTTTGATGAGGGGCCAGAGGAAAAAAAAAAGCAAAATTCGAATTTCATCTATTGCAAGTAGACGTCATCTTATTCTAAAGCAAAGTCAGTTAAAGCTATTGTCACCTACACATGACAGATTCTAGATTATAAGTGGCAATCTCTGCTTAGAGCTACAGAACACAGGTAAGAATTGTGGCAAAATGGTGTTGCCTTGGCTCATCCTAGGAGCATCTAGACTCCCTGCAGCCATGGAGTTATAACCTGAAGCAGGTAGAGAAAGATACATCCAGTATTTCCTCCTCGCTTTATTTAGGTCCTGAATCAGCAATCAGATTGAAATCTTGGCTCGTCTTCCTGGAAAAATCTATCTAATTCTGGGAAAAGGGTTAATATCAGGCCTGCAATGGTCTGTCTTTTTATAGGAATGCCTGAAAACAAAGCTAAGAAAAATATGGAATGTGTGCCTGCCTTGTTTGTTGTGAACATTTTTTTTCCTGTAGGATGGCACCTGAGCTTGGGAAGCTGTGAGTTGGCAAGTGAGCACTGGGCCTATGATATAGAATTGGATAAACATGGTGGAAATCTTAGCTTCGCTCTGTCAGCTTGGCAAGCACACCTTGGCTCTCATTTGCAGCAAGTATACTTGCTCCTTATGGGAGAGGGCATTTGAAATCCTGATTACTTGGTAGCTATTGTGCTATGAGACAAGATGCAGTGTGGACAGTGTTTCCTACTGTATGTTCCTGTAAGGCTCAGTATGTGCCGTATTAGATTGAAGCCGACTGGATCTTGTGAGTTTGGTTGCCAGTTAGGTTGAACCCTCCTTACTCACTGCAATGCTGGTGTCCAACTTTCCCTTGATCCTGGCAGCCTTTGAGGGACCTAGGTGAGCTCTATTAATTCCATTTGTCATTTTAATTAAGTTTATACCTATATTGACTTAGAAATCCAAGACAAACTTGATGTTCCAATTAGTGTTGAAATAGCTTTATTTTCCCATTTCAGCCAAAGGGAAAGGCAGCCAAAAGGGTTTAGGACTTTTATATTGAGTCAGGTCCTCAGTCAAATGTTCTCAATCAGATAATGTCACAAGGAACAGCCACATAAGACCCACTTTTTATTGATAGCAAGTTCTGACTATGTCATCTTGAACATTTTTACATTGTTACTAGATGCATTAATTCTGAGACTAATAAGACATTTCTTAAATCAAAATTAGCATGACTGATGTTCATGGAAGTTATGGATACCCCTGGCTAAAGGAAGTAGTCCTAACCTCAGAATATTTAGTAGCTTCTCCAAAGAGATGGAGCCCAAAGGTCCAGCTAAGATGTCACTTAGTATTATCTGACATTGCTACACAATGTTCTCATCCCATGGGCTTCATAAAACTATAGTAACCCTCAAAATGTGGTTTGAGCATATCAGCAATTATTCAAGAAAAAAATCTAAGTGTTTTAACTATCCGTAGTATCAAAGAACAAAGGAACTTACTAAGAAATCACTGCACACCTCAAATCCATTATCTGCCTATGGGTCGATGGGTCCAGGAGCCACTGCTGCTACCAACAGAGAATAATGGCTTCCCTTTCTCTTTAATCTTCCAAATATCATTCAACTGCTTCTTACTAGTGAAAACGTAGGCCAGAAATGTCAAAAGAATATGTAAAATACAGGTTTCAGGTTTCTAGCCATTAGGATACAAATTAGAGTTTAAAGGATTTGAGATGGTATTAAGTATCAATAGACAATATCTAGCATACTCAGAAGAAAAGACAAACCACGGCAGAAGATGCAAAAAGGATGCCAAGGAGTATTCACCTATACTATATCAATGAAAAGTAAGAATCCAGAGAGAGCTGACAATTATGACATCAACAAGATGATCATAATTAGCATGGCAACTAGGTAAGCAAATAAAGGAAATATAATAATGTAAGAAAGAAAAAAGGAAGGAAAGAAGGAGAGAGGGAGGGAGAAAGGTAAAAGAAGTTAGGAACTAAGAAGAACTCATTCTGGAAGAACACATTACCCATGGAATGTAATAAAACCTACCAATGCTTTAAGATATAGCAGAATTTAAGAATGCGGATTCGTCCCAGCTACACGGGAGGCTGAGGCAGGAGAATGGCGTGAACCCGGGAGGCGGAGCTTGCAGTGAGTCGAGATCGCGCCACTGCACTCCAGCCTGGGCGACAGAGCGAAACTCCGTCTCAAAAAAAAAAAAAAAAAAAAAAAAAAAGAATGCGGATTCAAAATCCAGGTGATAAAACAAAAATATAAGAAGAAAAAATTCAGAACAAAGAAAGCAAGTTGAAAATTAAAAGACAATTAGATATTTAATTATCATATTAAGGGGAAAAACAAGGACTAAATAAACTTGCTAAGAATCAAATTATTGGAATAAATTGATTAAATTATTGGATAAGAATCAAATTATTCCAATAATTTGATAATTCTCCTGAATTCCAATAAGATTAAAAGGAGAAGAAACATTTAAAGAAATTAGGTAAAATATGAAAGAGAAATGAAAGATTTTAGGTCTGGAGAAAATAACAAATCTTGGTTTTTCATCTGTTCACTCGTTTCCCCTCCCAAAACATGACACCAACAAGAAGGACAGATTAATCTACAGAAGGCTCATGCCTTCCGCATTCCTACGAGAGTGAGAAAATGCAACTATGGTCATGTGGAAAGCACAACGTATAAATGATGAACTTGGATATTAACTGAAAATATTTTCATCCAAAGCGTTGAAGGTACAGCGTGGTTTCTTTTTGCTTCTTATATAGTAAAATATTAGAAGAAAAAAAAATTGAGGGGAAAACTGTTAAGCTGCAAGGAAGCAGAAGTAGATAGATGGGCCATTTTTAGACATTCCAAATATCAAAAGTCCTTAAAATGAGGAAATTTACTCTCAGGAAAGCATGCCCTGGAGAGAAAGCCAAAGGTATGGCTAAACAGCTTGGTGTGTCAGAAGAATGAAAAGGTCAGAGTATTTAGACACAAAGAGGATTCTTTGAAAACATTGGCATGTTATTTATGGATCCTCTCAGTCATCTAAGCCAGAAGATAAAAGTAGAGATGGAATTATTCAGGTAAAATCTGTGAAGGAATCTCTTATCTAGTAGGGTGAATCCTGAGACATACACAGGAGACCCACACTGTCCACTGTCCGTCAGATATGATACCAACAGAAACATTGCGAGCTCAAAATGAAAGAGACGTAAAGAGTATAACATGGAGGAAGAATGCTGGACAACCAAAATTCTACAGACTGGAAACAGACTGATTAAACTATTCAGCAGCCAGAATATGCTAACCCTCATGAAATTAAAATGACTCCAAGGACAGAGCCATAAGCCCAAAGAGTGGAGTCATGAACCACAGAGGATTGCTTCCAGTCCTCCAAAGCCAGCATTGTTTACCTGGCTGGATATTAGAATTGCTTGGGGCTGAGAATTCGTTATTTCTTTCTGTTTTCTATCCTTCTGAATAAAAATGTCTGTAATTGTTCTATTATGCCTATCTCACCATTGCATCATAGATGCATATAATTTGTTTTCTAGCTTTATAGGTCTGCAAATGAAGAGAAATTTTGCCCCAAGATGGATTACACACAGAGCCTCACCCATACCAAATGCAGATGATTTAAATGATGAGATTCGGGAGTTTTGAGTTAATGACACTTAAATGAAATTTTTATTTGATGGGTGATGGCATAATGGGCTCAGACTTTTGGGGGACCTTGAAATGGGGTGAATGCACTTTGCATATGGGACAGATGTGAATCTTTGGGAGTCAGAGGGCCAAGCTGGGATGAGCAAAATGATGGCTCTCTGCAATGATGACTGCCTCCTAATCCCCCAGATCCTGTGAATATGTCAATTTACACGGCAAAAAATGCTTTGCTGATATGATTAAATCAAAGACTTTGAGATGGGGAGATTTTCCTGGATTATCAAGGTCTGCCCAATATAGTCACAAAAGTGTTTGTAAGGGAATCAGGAGTGTTAAGATTCAGAAGGAGACTGACAGAGGAAGGAGAGGTCAGAATTCTGTGAGACCATGAGTCAAGGAATGCAGGCAGTCTCTACAAGTATAAAAAGCAAGAAAATGGCATCTTCCTTAGAGCTTTTAGAGAAATGCAGCCCTGCCAACACACTTTAGACTTTTGGACTCCAGAACTCTAAAATAATAAATTTCTGTTGCTTTAAGCCATTAAATTTATGGTAATTTGTCATGACAGAAATAGGAAACTAATGCAGATTTGAATCTTTAGCAGTTAGGGTTGAACCAGGAAAAAAAAAAAGAAAGAAAGAAAGAGTAGGAGACATACATAAAGAGATTTATTGCAGGAAGTTGGCTTATACAATGGTGAGGGCTGAGTAGACAAGTCCATACCACAGGCCATCAAGAAGGGCAGCTGAAACTCTCAGGCATGAGCCAAAGCTTCTGTCCACAGGAAGAACAACTATTCCTTCAGGGAAGCCTCAGCTCTGCTTGTAAGTCTTTTCCACTGATTGAATCAAGCCACTAAGATTATTTGGGAGTCTCACTTACTGAAAGTCAACTTTAGTCATATATACAAAAAAAAAATACCTCTAGTGTAACACCTAGATTAGTTTTGACTGAATAACCAGGGACTGCAGCCTAGCCAAGCTGATGCATGGAACTGACCATCACACCAGTGCACCAAAATTAACATCATCCAAAAGTGGACAAATAGACATCAAGTGATTCCAGACAAGAGACTCTGAAAATGACACAACCGACTATACAGTATTCATGGCAAAAAAGCAAAACCTGTATCTAATCCCAAGGATCTATCAAATTCAAAGTGAGAATATTGTTTTTAAAAAATTATTTTTAAAAAATCAATGTTTTAAAAGGCGAAAATAAAAAGGTATGGAAATGTTCCAGATAAAAGAAGGCCAAAGAGAAATAATTAACTGCAGCCTCGGTTCCACACAAACCTATACTAGAGGGGGGAAAATGCTTATAAAGGGTAAAATTGGAATGTAAGTGGTAGATTAATTAAAATATGTAAATGTAAAGTTTACTAGCATTGATAACTGTGCTATTTTTAAGTAAGATAATATGACTTTCTTAGGAAATATACCTTGAAGTACTTAGAGATTAAAGCCATGGGTAGGTAAATCATCCTCAAATGGTTCAGAAATAAATTTCATTCTCTCTCTCTCTCCCTCTGTGTGTGTGTGTGTGTGTGAGTGTGTGTGCACAGAAAGAGACTGGTCTGGAGAGTTCTCAATGATTATTTACACAATAAGTGAAGTATCTCAAAAGGCATAACAACTGGTATTTTGGATGATGAAAATTTAGAAAAATCATGGTATTTAAAGGCATGAGGTAAAGACAAGAGATAAAATAAATATGTCATTCATAATTAACACAGATTTAAATTTTCTAGAATTTTTCTAATTAGCACTTTCAGATTCTTTGTGCTATATTTGGTGACCTCTGGGTCTTCCAAGAGTAATTATAACTACAATAATAATAACTAACATTCTAAAATCCACTAGTTTTGACAACATACAAATTGAGTTTGTTATAATCCAATTATGGTGCTACAATTTTGGTTTTATAAAGTATATAAAAATTTAAATGAAAATTCAATGTATGCTTACATGCATAAATTTGACAAATTCTAAGAAAGTCAAATTTCTATCAAAAACTTGAATATTCAGATATTAAAATAACACCTTTCTTTTATGGTATAAATTATTCTTCCTATTTGATTGATTATTGCAAAATTCATATTTATACCTTACATTATAAATTCAATATATGGCACCTAAATTAGGGTAATGACATATTCATGGATAGGGGAACAACTTTCCCTTTGTGCAATGGTTGATTAATAGTAGTTTCTAAAGAAGTATAAGCAGCGTGAGATAAAATAACAAAGCCTGGAGCAAGACAAAAGCAGTATCAACTACCACTATGTTTTCAATTCTACGCCATATTTTGTTTTTGTCAAACTCAAGCAAGTAGATTTCAACAGTACTGGAGAAAGTCACACTGTCCACTCCACTCAAAACTTTCTTTGCCATAATTATATGTGCATATTTTTATGTCCAACCCCTCAGATTCTCATGGATGTGGACTGTAGTTAGACTCAGAAATGACTTCAGACTCTTCTTGTCATACAACAGGTATAAAAACATCTCTGTTTATCACTTGAGAGTGTTTTTAGAAATAAGAAAATATTTCTGGCATGTTTTTTATGACCTATGATAGTCCATAATTTTTTCCCACTGTTTAGTCCTATAGCCCTGACTTTTTAATAAAAAGTACTGTGGCCATTGGCTCAAAAGCAAAAATGTATGTTCCAATCACTCCAAAATGTCATATAAAATCTAATTTAATCACAAGGATATTGTATCACTTCCCTGTTGCTGCATAACAAGTTATCACAAACTTAGTAGCTTACAACAACATCCGGGACACAGGCTCTAAGGTTTCCACTGCTGAAGAGAAGAAAGGGTCATGGTCCTAAGATAGGCCAGCTAAGTTATTTCCTCAAACTCTTTCCACTTATACATCAGACAAATCACTCTGTTTTCAGTTCAGAAAAGGACTCAAGAATATTGCACAAGCTCAGACAAAGAAAACTGCTCAAGATAGTATTGCTGGTATGTAGCAAAGAAGAATCTCAAACTTGCTTGTCTCACTTCGGTGCAGTGCTAGTTCCTTTGTGTGGACTACTTCTTTCTTTAGATGTGTGTTTATTTTCTTAATTGAATAAGAAAATGTCTAAGGCAATTCATTATGCAGCATGGAATTACCTAAAGCTTTACCATTAAGGTTACACCATTCATTGGGTTTAAATGAAGAAGAGTTGTCAGATACATCCTAATATCCATCAGTTACCATGTATCCTGTGATTATTCATTCTCACACAGAGGGATATCTAAAATCCTCTTGGTAAGTAAGGATTTCAATATCTTTCGTTGTATAAAATTTTAAATTTATAGCAGGACTAATATTGTACAAGGTGTCTGAGCTCTGAGAGCCAGATCCTTAAATCCAGATAAAGTACTTTGACATCACTAGAGGACAATTACCCAATGCACATTTTTTCTTTTTTTTTTGTTTCCCTGAGTAGCAACATCTGCCCAACAAAAGATCATCTCACATATAAGACCTGTAGATGAATGAAAGTTAAACTATTTAGACCAGGTTTCTAAAATGTATGATGCATTGTCATAGTGTATATAAATTTATTCAAATTATTTTATGATATATTCTCATAAAAACAGAATTAAAATACTAATAAAGATCTTAATGAACAGGGAAGACAAACACATCATGCTGGATATCTAAATTGTAAAAAAAAAAAATAGGCAAAACTTTAAAAAATACTTTTTTATTAAGGAAAAATATCAGAATATAAAGTTTCAGGCAGGTAGCATTATTAGCCAGTAGAATCTTTTGCTGTAGGATTAAAGTTTTAAAAGTACATTTATTTGCATTTCATTTTTGTTATTATATTGTTTAATGCCTGGAAAAAGTCAGGAGCACAATTGTTTGTTTGTTTGTTCAATGGAAAAGTTGAATATTCAGTTGACTCCAGATGGAAAGAGAAAAAAGTATAGATCTTTTGATTTTAGAAATCCTTTTTATATGTTTCGAAATACTAAATCCCAGTTCAGTGGAAGCCATAATCTCCATGTTAAAACTTTTTTTCTAAAATTAAAAACAGATAAGGAAAAAATATCAGGGTTTAAGCAACAGATTATATGGAACAGTGACTGGAACCTCCTCTGCAGCTCATTCTACTTAGCAATGGAGACATGACTGGAGCCCAGGCATTGTACCATGGTCATCACAACCTCTGCGCACCACCTGCAAATGGGAAATACCAGCAATCTGGATGCATGCAGTTGTGCTTTTGGACTTCCCTCCTGTTTTTACAGGACACTTCCATCTCTCTCCTCCCTTCCCCACCTCCACCACTTTATTCATTCTTCTCTTCAGCCCCCCACGCCTTCCCCACAGGACTATTAGGGTTTTGCTTGGGATCAGGCCCTGCAGAGACAGCCCAAGTGCTAAGGATGCACCCACTGACCCCAGCTTTGTCAGAGCACTCTCAAGGGCAGCTCATGGGGGTCAGAGAACTTCTTTGCATTCCAGCACTGCTCTTTGCCATTTGTATGACTTTACCCCTCCATTTACTCTTCTGAATACTGAAAAGATTTAACAGGAGCATCACGCAGGCACCTTCCATTTCTAACAGCTCTAGGTCCAATGCCTCTAAGAACAATAAGACTTGGAAGTGCAAAAGCATAAAGCTAATGATGGTGTTCCCAGGGCCAGATGAATTCTAGGCCTTTGTTATTCCAGAGCAGAAGGAAAATCCCTGAAATAGAAGAAGGGATAGGAGACCTAAGCCACAATCTGGGATAACCATTCCAACAGTTCAGGGTGACTTGGAGAGGATGAAGCAAAAGACGCGAGACAGAGCAGGCAATTAGGCAGTTTGGAAAGTCTAAGAGATTGGCTTCGAAAAAATACTTCTAGTGCAAAGGGGGAAACTAGTGTGAGATGTTGCCAATTTAGATGAAGTGATACACGGAGTTTGAAGTGCCTTGCATTTGTTTACGCATCAAAGAAATGATACCATGTATTTAGTGCCCAGCATTGGTGATGGTCCAGGAACACAGGTGCTTTCATAATAATGCCTCCTCACTCTCTAAGGACTATAACAAAATGCTATGATTTCACAACACAGGGTCCTTTCCTGGCTGAAACATATGCAAATGCATCTGCATTAATATGAATACCAACTAACCAGAACAATGGCTAGAAAGGCATTTTCTAGCTGTTCTGAGCCTCATACTTGACGATACTTTAGGGATGGAAAGGTGGAAGTTATTATTGCAGCATAGTCAGTTCTGATGGGGCTGTGTTGATTTGTGAGTCAGCCCAGCAGGCTATCCTATACAAAGAAAACCTCCTGCCTACCTTTCTGGCACTAGAAGCCTCCAGTAGGCACAACTGTGCTAGAATATAATCACTAATACTTGTGATTCCCTTATTATTTTCAGAACTACATAGAGACCACTTGAGTAGATGTTAAAGAGAAGAAATTATTAGTGACTCCTTGGCATCTATAAATCCAATATAGGAAATTTCAATAATTTAAGCTGTTTTTTTGCAAAACTGTCAAGTTGTGCTACATCAAGTTTAGAAGCCTTAATTCCCTTTCCAAAAGAAAAGAAATATATTTTTCTTGCAATCTACTTACTACGGTGAAGAAAAGAATAAAACTTCCCAATTCCCCACCTCCATTACCTGTCATTCACTCTAGCAATTAGAAATAACACAAATGTTCAGTTATTTCTGTCAACCATTCCCACCTCTTGAGATGAGCTTGCACACAATTCTCTCTTAAATCAATTTACTTTACATTACAGAGCTGTTTTTCTTGGCACTGTAAAATTCATGGTGGAAGTTTCCCAAATAGCATGTCTTCTCACAAATCCCTTTGGCCGCGTTTATCATAACCTTACTAAACCCAATGGGTGAAAAATAACCTCTACTAAACTCCACATTAACATATGTGCATGCTGGGTAACCATATTGATGTATGGCTCATATGTAACACTTCAGAAAAATAATGCAGCTGTATCTTTCCATAATAAACATCCAGGAATATGGAGAGAATTTCATTTCAATCAGTGTTGCCTTGAAAATCTCCCAAGGAGATTGATAACATGTAACTGAAGACTTTAAATTATTAATTGTTTTCATGGGCTAAAATAAAATGTGAAATCAGGATGAAAGCCCACAGTGAAGCCAAGCTTACAGGGCGTATTACAAAATTATGAAAAACAGAAATACAGCATCAATAATTCAACACTATGGTAGATTAAGTGTGCCATCCATACCAGCAAGAAAAATCACACCCAGTTTCTGGCTTTTAGGATTTTAGGAAAGCAATTTATTCTTTTTTTAATTGGAAAAGACAGCAGGGATATGTCTATCTTCATCTTTCTCCTTTTGCCCTGGAAAGAAAGAGGACAAGGCAGAAGAAGCAGATAATGTACAAGACACTGAGGTGGTCATTTTTATCTTTCAAGAGGGCATTGGCTCTGTTAAAAGTCAGATAGAAAGACAAAAAAGTATAGAAAATTCTGGCTGTCTACCCAGAAATAGAAATAGTCATTTTATCAGAAATAATACAATTGTTTGTGGATATTTATTTATTTATTTGTTTATTTATTTATATTAGACAGAGTCTCGCTCTGTCTGTTGCCCAGGCTGGTATGCAATGGCACAATCTCGGCTCACTGAAACCTCTGCCTCCCAGGTTCAAGGGATTCTCCTGCCTCAGCCTCCCAAGTAGCTGGGATTACAGGCATATGCCACCATGCCATGCTAATTTTGTGTGTGTGTGTTTAGTAGAGACGGGATTTTGCCATGCTGCCCAGGCTGGTCTCGAACTACTGAGCTCTGGCAATCTGCCCACCTTGGCCTCCCAAAGTGCTGGGATTACAGGTGTGAGCCACCATGCTTGGCCAGTTTATGGATCTTTAAAGAGTAGAAGAAAACTGTGAGAAGTGGTTAGCAAGGACCCCTTATGTATTAATACAAATATTAAATATAAATATGAACATAAACATGTCTTCCTAAACATCCAACGCTGCTAGGTACTTATGTTCTTTCCCACTGTCTGATTACACTGTGGGTTGGGACCTGATGTCCTGTAGCAGCAAAGTCGAAAGCAGTGCAGCTTTGGTCTCCTACTAAACCAGCTACTTCTCTACTGAGGGCTTCACCATAATTCCCCCAGCACTAAACAGTGCCAGGGCCCAGAAACCACTTTCTTCCTTCTTCTGTGGACAAAGCCACAGAGAGCAAGCGGGTTAGAGACACAGTGAAAGTAATTTCTTCCACCCACAGCTGGTGCATGCTGGCTGAATATCTGTACACGAGTTTTGTATCGACATGCAGCACAGCTGGGCTCTGGGCCCCTTCTGAACTGACAGTCTTGGTGATCTCACTGCCTTCACTCATCAGCCCTGTTCATGCTGCAAGGTCAGTAGCCTCATGCTCCCTAGAATTAGAAATTCTGCCCTAGCCTCTTCTTGGTTTATATATGCCTCAGACATGTTCTACACCATCTCCAAAATTGTAAACTCATTTTAAGGCAGAATTCTACCAGAGCCACTGGCATTATATTCTCATTAAATGAATGCTGAATACATGGCTACAGCCCCTTCAGAAGGCTTAGATCTATTATCTTATTTTGTTGCAGTGATATGGGAAACTCGAGGGACCACAATCAGAGGGTGATTGGTAGTGGTTTACCCTCTCTGATTTCAGTTTCTGCCTCTGTAACATGGAGGAGGTTGAACTGGATACTTCCCAGGTCCTTCCTGAGCTATAGTCCTAGTTACTATGCCCAGAGGCATTCTGGAATGATTTGGGTCCCTGTGATGAGAGGCCAGAGAGCCAAGAGCATATTTTTCCAATGGGTTAAAGAAATTCTATATAGTAGATGTATTTCTGTATCCATCCATACAGCACTTACTATGGACCCATGTTCCAAGTACCTAACAAAATTTAACCTACTTATATTTTTATTTGCAGACGCCGAAGATCCAAGGGATGAAAGTAAAAGCCAGAAATCATATCCAGCTGGTTCTCTTTCACCTAAATGGACTTTTAAGGGGTTCAAATTTGAATGACACTGGATGAAATCCAGCCCTCCAGTAGAGCCCATTCCCCACCACCCGGTAATCATTCCCTGCCCGGTTCCTGTGTGTGTCTGTGATGAGAAAGTATCTGCTGGGCACCTGGAAAGGAGTAGTGTAGGAGGATCTGACACAGTTTCTTACTAATAACTGGAGTATTTTCTTATTTTGCTTAGTAATATGGGAAATGAAACAATAAGGAGAATAAGGGATGGTGCTGTGGACAGTGACCAGGTCCAGAGACCAGGTTGAGACCAGCTAGGGAGACCAGAGTTTCAACAAAGTATGCTCAGAAGTCATGTGCCTGATCAGTTTCTGTTTTTTACATAATATAATGAAAATATAAGGGACAACAGCTACAAAAAGAGAAGTTCCAATGTCAGCCACAGAACAGAAGTGAAGTCACTGTGAAGGAAATAGTACAGAGTTTATTCAATGCTATAGAAGACATTAAGCATGATGACTTTAAGGAAGGTATGAATATCATTCATGAATGAGGGGATTGGCCAGGAGTGTGTAAATGGCACCCACCAATGAGGAGGTGGAAGACTGCATACCTTCTATTATGCATTGAAATGGGATGTTACAAAGGGTTATAAAAGAGTGCTGATTTGCAAGAATTAACAGGGAGCTAGGATAGTGCTAACCCTTCTTTTGACCCCTGTAGTTCATGGCAAATAGAAGAAAGAACAACCTTCTAATGAAGAGCTGGTATCAGTCACTTATAACTCAGTATAGACTGTAGAGACTGTATTTCTTCTCTGAAGATATTTGCAAATTAAATTTAAGCCCTCTTTAGACCATGAAAGCTGGTAGGTTGTCTGTTGTGAATGGCAGCAAACCTGAAAGTACGTCACTTGCACAATTCTGGAGACTACCTTCCTGTTGGCCTCCAGAGCACTCTGGCCTCGTTTTCTTCACATCCTTGGAGCCTTTCCTGCTCACTCTATTTTGGATAATTCTCTTCTTTCTCCCACAGCCGAATGTTGGGCTTTTCCAGAGATTTGCCACAGCTTTGTTGTCAGTAGCCCAGTACAGGTTTTTGTCTTTGCAGTGCAAAAGAATTTGAAAGTGAGACTACAGTGAAAGTACAGAAGCTTTAATGTGGAGCAAAAGCAAGCATACACTCAGGAGTATGTGCATGTGTGCTCAAAAGAATGAGATATGCACAACATGGTCAGGGCTCAAATACTATATGGGTAAGCATAATGAAGTCACAGAGTATTCTATAATAAGGGGAAGGATTTTCTGGGAAATGGGTAGGCAATTCCCAGAATCAGGGGGTGCCACCCTTTTCTTGACTAAATGTGGTAAATCTGGTCATGG
The DNA here is from genome assembly GCF_000001405.40 of Homo sapiens. Classification (NCBI taxonomy): domain Eukaryota; kingdom Metazoa; phylum Chordata; class Mammalia; order Primates; family Hominidae; genus Homo; species Homo sapiens. Next base: position 108,168,050 of record NC_000002.12, read on the forward strand.
CATCAGGTGCATGATAAAAGTGAGAGGCTTCCCCATGGAAATTTTATGGTAATAGTGTCATACATTTTCTGATAAAAGGGTCAGCAGTAGATCAAGATTTTGGCCATTTTTAATTTAACCAGTTGTGGTCAGTTTCATCTTTGCTACAATCTTACTTGTGCCTAAAGCACGATGACAGCAATCTCTCTACATTGTTACAACCTGTTGTAACAGTTCCTTTCTACTAGAGGGAAGGTCCCTGTGCTAACCAGTTTGGCCCAGTTTGTTTTGCTTTTAGCCACCTGTAAGTAATTATGCCTGTTCCCCCCGCTAACTGCTTGCCACAGCTTTCTATTCCTACTCCAGCCTGGGTGGTATCATCTATTCCTGTGGCTTCACTCATGTGCCAATGACATCCAGAGGCATCTATGATCCATAGTTCTCCAGACCCATGTGTCCAGCATCACCATATAAATTCTTTATTTTGTATTTTTTTTTCTGGAGGATACATCCCCAAAGTTATAGAAACTTCTGAGCCCACAAAACCTGAATCAACTCTTTCTCTCCTTAGTGCTGGTCTCCCTCCCATGCAGCAAATCACTCCTTCCTATTAATCTTATTCCCCAAATATCTCTCAAATACAAGAGGAATCATCCCTGTGGCTACTGCTGTATGTCAGGCTCTCATAATTCCTCCTAGAGTTGCTGCTAAAAGCCCAAAACCTGAGTCTCCATACCTCATCCTGCTCCCTTCAATTCCATTCTCCACACCAAAGGTACTGTGAGTTTTCTGAAATTGAAATCTACCCATATCATTCCTCTAATAAAAATTACTTAATCCTTTTGGTCTTCAATATTGAATTTAATGCCTTGGCATAAAATACAAGGCCTTTGATGATCCAGGCATCGTCCATCTCTTGCTGCTTTATACACACCAGAAAACCTCAATTACTTGTAGTTCTCTAAACATACCACATCCTCTCACACCTCCAGGCAGTGCTTATGCTGGCCTTACCTGGTGCATCCTCACCCTCCCTGAACTGAACATGCCATCTTCCGAGTCCTGTGGCCCTACTCGTCCTTCAATGACTCAGCTCAGACACCAAACCCTTCTGAAAGCTTACCCCACTTCCCCACCTCCTAACACAAGCACCCTCTATCTGAAAGTATGTGCATTTTCTTAACTCTTATTATATCTTGAACATGTTTTAATAGCATTTATGCCATTCTGTGTAATTGTCTGCTTATCTGTCCACTCCCCCATAGCACTGTGATCTTATGGGAAGCAACCTTTTTCTTTTGTGCATCTTCAGCACATGACAAATTTTGGGAAGCAGTTTGGAACTTTACAAATGTCAATTGAATGGACTAAATGGAGAGAAACGGATGGAGAAAGATGCAAGTCACATGGTGTCTCTTCAAACTTTTCGCTTAATTCATCTTTTTTATAAATACAAGGATGACTCTTACCTGTTGTAACAGTGTCTGGAGGGATTCAATGCTTAGTGGATGGCAGAGAACATTCTAGTAGTTATCCCAGATGCTGGCATTGTAGTCTTCTATAGGACCAAAAGTGGCATTAGTACATACATCTTTTTGCAAGGTCAAATACCCTACTTTAGCAAGGATGAAATTCCACACAACAATTTACTCTTAAAAAGTGCAAACATGGAGTCTGTTCAGGCCAGTTATTCTGGAAAATCACACTTCTTTTCAGGAAAGAAGGGAGGAAAAGAGGAGTAACCAGCCAGATTGAGTAGTATAATATCATATTAGCTACTGGCTATTGAGGACTTGAAATGCTAGTCATCTGAATGCAAAATATTTCATTAAAAATTGTATTATTGATTACATGTGGAATTTTTAATATTTTTGATATATTGGGTTAAAGGAAATACTTTATTAAAAGTAATTTCACCTTTTATGTTACTTATTTCAATGTTACTTCTTAAAACTTTAAAAATATATATGTAGCTCCCAATATATTTCTATAGAATAGTGCTGATTTAGGAGCTAGAAAACATACTTTTGCTACCATGCTATTTCTATCTTTGGTAGCAAAGCTTTGGAGTTCATGACAATGCATTCTTCTTCATTCAAAGAAGCCTTATTCTGTTCACTTTTCCAATTGAACTCAACCAAAATGTAGTTATTCAAAACAGTGCCATCTACTGAGAGAAAACAGTAACAGCTTTGAAAGTAACTGCTATTTTGAGTCCCGGCATGGGAATTTCTCTCCTACTCCTATTTACGATTAAACAAAAATACAGCAAACCCAGAGTAAGATCATTGTATCAGCTGCCACATTTCAACCTCTGATGGTTGCATACATGCATCTGCCTTCTTTTTATGTCTCTTTATTTTAAATAGCACAGGACAGCAGAAGGCATGGCCAGTCCCCAGCTCAGACCACCTGGGCAGGCTGCATGCCTGGTTGATGATGAAGGGAGAGATGGTGTTCCCAAGCATTTTCTGTAAGAGGCGCTAATCCTTAGTTGTGCTTTCTCTGTCCTGAGCAGATCCTCCTTTGGGGCATTATAGTGCTTGGAGCCTGCCTCTCTGGCTTAAGATAATTTTTTTTTATTATACTTTAAGTTTTAGGGTACATGTGCACAATGTGTAGGTTAGTTACATATGTATACGTATGCCATGCTGGTGTGCTGCACCCATTAAGTCGTCATTTAGTATTAGGTATATCTCCTAAAGCTATCCCTCCCCCCTCCCCCCACCCCACAACAGTCCCCAGAGTGTGATGTTCCCCTTCCTGTGTCCATGTGCTCTCATTGTTCAATTCCCACCTATGAGTGAGAACATGCGGTGTTTGGTTTTTTGTTCTTGTGATAGTTTACTAAGAATGATGATTTCCAATTTCATCCATGTCCCTACAAAGGACATGAACTCATCATTTTTTATGGCTGCATAGTATTCCATGGTGTATATGTGCCACATTTTCTTAATCCAGTCTATCATTGTTGGACATTTGGGTTGGTTCCAAGTCTTTGCTATTAACACTTCCAAGTGAAGTCTCCAAATCAATTTTTACTCTTGAACACATTCTAAACATCTTTAACCTTAACTGCCATTTCTTAATGACCCCTTTGGAGCCTTTCCTATAGCACATTAGTGGCATCTGCCTGGAGGGCAGGGGGACAGAGGAATAGGGAACAAGGCGGTCCTTAGAGATATTTTGAGACTACCCACCTTCCTCCTCAAGCACATTCAAAACAATACTTAAAACAGAAGACTCTACATCACTCTTTGGAAATATATTTTCAGAAATTGCATCACCTTTTAATTTTTCAGTGGCAAAACACTTTCTATTGACAACATTCCCTATCTTAAAGGAGAATTACTAGTTAAGAACAACCAGATTGGTCTTGTTAATAAAAAATTAATGCTAGCCATCTTGGCTAATTATATATGGATACCTGTGTGTGTATGTGTATGTGTGCAAACATGGCTGTGCATACACACGTACACACACACTCCTTTGCCCTCCCATCAACATGAAGCATTTCATCTGTGAAATGGGATTACAGATGATTTTGCTAATTCCCATCTTCATAAATTTCTACATTTCTAAATTTTCCACAATTAACGTGATTAACGTGTATTATGTTTGCAATTTTAAAAAATAAAAAAATAAAGTAGAAAAAAGAAAGGAAAAACAGAAGGAAGAAGTAGGGAGGGAAGAATGAGAGAGAGGTGGAGCAGAGACAGAGAGAGGAACAGATAGAAAGAGGGAAGGAGGAAAAGAGAGAGAGCACACTCAGCGAACTGCTAGCTCAAGCCTACACTAGTCAGAACGGGAAGTTAGTCACCCTAAAGCCCTTCTCTCAGACAGCTTAGAGGAAGCATTTAGGAAAATTCTGTAATGCACTCACATGCCATGCATCTGCTCTCTTATATCATCACTAAAGACATTCTCCCCAGAAGGAATGGGTATTAGTGTACGCAGAAAAGATTATTATTTTTCTTTATACTCATTCAAAACAAAGGCTGTTTAGTTGCTTCTACTATTGCCAAACATAAGGTCTAGCCAGAAGCTCTTTGTTTTTTGGCATTGATTTTAATGCTGCCTCTCCAGCTCAGCCTTTGGACGCCCAAAGGTAATAATTTTTTTAAAGACAACCAGAAAATTAATATCCGAGCTCTGCATGGTTTCTTCCTACAAGGAGACATACAGGGATGGTTATATGGTCAATGAAAATCAATACTTTCAAGAATGATATTGACCTGCTAACAAGTGAACAGAATTTCTAGGAGAAAGCAGGGTGCTCTCAAAATTCAAGCTGTATGCATGTGTTTCAGGTTTTTAAAAATGCACTTTATGTTAGAATCCTTACCAGGCACTATGACCTGCTGCCTCTGGACTAGCTACATCAATATGAAGGACAAATTTACATCCCAAGGAATGGCCAGTGACAGTCTCTCCAAACCCAGGATCAGACCTGTGGAATGAGCACCAATTTATGCTGATTGATGGCCTTTTGTCACTCTGTCTTAGAGGTTGTGACCATTTGAAACTTCAAAATGGATGAAGTCAAACAGAACAGGCGCTCCTGCTCAATGAAGCAGAGAGACAGGACCAAGAAGCCAACCATTCTGTCAAAAAAGAAAATGTTCTGCCCAGAATAATCCATCAGGGTTTCAAACCTTCTGACACTTTTCATATCCAATGCATACAAAAATATCTATGATGAATGCAGACAAAACAACTGATTGTGTTTCTTTTACATTAGTACATAAAACTTTAAAAAATAAATAATCCATGCAATCTTTTAACTCAGTAAGTACACTTGCAGGTAATTTTACTTCAAAGTATTTATTATAAATACATAGAATTTTTTTCTAAAATTAAGGGGCTTGATAGACTACTGTTTACAATTTTTTAAAATAGGAAATTGGTTATAAATTATGACTAGTTAAAATAATGTAACAACATGAAATCACTAAAGATTACATTGTAGATTATTTAAAATATATTCAAATAATATAGTAATTTTAAAAAATTCCAAATTGATATCAATGTTATATCACATATATGTATCAACATATGTAAGATATATAGATTTTATAACATATAGACATAGAAATATATATATGTAAACTATATGTACATCAAGAAAAAAAAGCACTGACATAATACATACAAAAATGTTAATAATGAACATCCCAATAGTGGAATTACAGATGATGTTTTAGTTTTCCTATATATCTAGATTCCCCAAAATTACCAAGTTAACATATAATGTTTATATATGTAAAAATGTTCATAATTATAGTCTGTTAATTTCTGTTTCAGTATATACTTCTATTTATTGGAGATCAGTATCTCTACTAAGGTCTAAGAAATACCATATGTAAACATATTTCTTATTGTAACAAGACTTTCCATGCCGAGGGTGGCCCGACCACCAAAGGGTTGTGGACTCATGCCCTTGTATAAATAAAATATTAACAGAGCTCTGCTTGGGGTTACAAAGCTGGTAAGGAAGGACACCTGTAATACTTTAACAGTATCAAAGAGAAGAGTTTATGAACATTACAATGCTCAAACAGATTTACACTATCAGTTACCATTAACAAGCAAATATCTCTTAATCACAATTGTATTAAGCATGAAAATTGGATACTTCCAGGAATATGATTTCCAGAAGGCATGAATTTAAAGAGATAGAAAAAAGAAGTAATTTAAGCATGGAGTTGTAAACTCCCTCAACACATCTGTCTTTACCCCTTCATCCCAGGCGGCATGGCAGAAACAGAAATGCATAAAAATGCCTAGATTAATGTTTTCTCAATATAACGGGGATGGGGGGAATTGGAAAGTTTACAGCTGTGGGAGCAATGCCTACCTTCAGTTACGTCCAGGAAGCAATAAGATTTTCCTTGGTCAAAGAGTAACTTTACAAGTCTTGGACAAATTCCAAATAAAGTTTTGTTTCATGTTTCACTGATGAGAATTATAATGTATGAGCCTCTGAAATGTAAACTTGGGATGTTGTATATTGACTCTGATTTTTTAATGGATTGCTGGTTATTCTCCATTTGCATAGTTCCATTCTAGACCATTTGCCAATCTTTTCTATCTTTCTGTATTTCCTGAGAGGCTGATCTACACGAAGGACATCACTAGGGCTCCCTTGCTGATTGATTTCCAATTGGTTTCAGCCAGCGAGCAATCACCAAAAGACCAGAAGCCAGAAGACAGAGAGTAGGGCATTCTTTCCTGCTTCCTCCTGTACCATGCCTCTGGTAGCAGCCATGACCTTTCACAACTGCAGCTGCCTCCAGGTGGCCCTTCTTCCATGGCTTCAGCTCCCACAGCAATTCCTCATGCCCCTCTGCTTTAGGGTTGTCAATCACTTATTCCCCTACGAGTCTCTAGGTGTCTAATCACTGCTCCAGGGAATGGAAGATCTTGCTAATTAATACCCCTAAATATTATTTATAATTATATGCATATATGTATACATATTTTAACATAGTATATATTACTGATATATAAGATATTAATATCTTATATAAATCATGTAATGTATATTCTATAAATGTGAAAAGAATTATGGAAAATATTCTCAAGGAAGACACTGTATATGTATACATGTGTGTGTGTATATCTATATATGCATAGAGAGAAAGAAAGAGAAAGATGGATGTACTACCTCAAAAATTTTGGATTTGTTGTTTAGCTCACATAGCTGGGAGTGGCTCTAACGATTTGGTTGTTTGATTAGTTGAAGCCTGCATCTGTGGTGGCCTGTAAGCACAGTTGAGATGGAAGCTTCCTTGGCATATTGTAAATTAAGGAAACTGGAGGCTTAAGTAGATGGACATGGGAGAGTGGACCTCTCATGTGCAACACGCTTAGCTACCTCCTAACCTCACCCCATAGCAAAGCAAAGAGAAACAGATTGGCGAGAGTCTTCCCAGGGTCTCTGAAGAGCTCTGTGTGGCTACTCTATGTAGCCTTGAAATGATGATGAGAGATTTTGCCATTGATCTGGCTGTTCTGATTTCAATAGCAATGATGCTATTTCAGGGTGGCAGGGACCCAGTTGTGAGGCTTAATTATCAGAGACAAAGTTGGCTCAATTTCTGTGATAGACCACAGAGATGCAGTAGCAATCGGAGGGTACTGACACTTAGAAATCTGTGGAGGCTTATTACTGGCTTCCTATGAATAAAATAGATGGGTGGCCAAAAATGACATGACTTGATTAATATAATCCAGAAATCACTATCTCTGATGGAAAAAAATGCAACTTCACAGAGGTGCTGGTATAAATCCATAGGCAGAACCCATACCTAAGCCAGTTTACAGATCCTGAGCCCCTTGAGTGAGGAGAGAGTCGAGGAACTATTGGGATAGTATCCTGAAACTTGACCTCAAGTATGTGCTGTAAATCTCCCCAGTTCTTTCCCAGAGTAACCTGCATCTATTTAAAGACTGACTATGTGAATGAGAGATGCCCAGACCTTCAGGGGGTTCTTAGGTGTTAGCTCTGAATTGACACTTATCCTAAGAACACAATGGTTGAATGGTTACAGTGAGGATTTATGGGAAGATGCTCAATAAAGAGTATATCTAAATTTGTCTCACAGTGGCCCTGTAGACTGCCAGATCTATTTTATGGTATGTCCATGGTTTCTGCAGGTATAATTGGAATAAATGCATTTAGAACTGGTATTACTCCCACGTCGATCCCCTGCAGTCTGGAGTAAAGACTACCATGGTAGAAAGGGCCAAGTGGAGCTGTTGGACCTGCCTGTTCCGCCTCTAGACAAACTGGTAAATCAAAAGCAATACTGTACTTCTGGGAGAAATAGCATAGCTTAGTGATACCATAAAGGACTTTTAAAATGCAAGAATGGTGAATCCGAATGACACTTAAGAATAGCTGTGATGGCCGGCTGCAGTGGTTCACGCCCGTAATCCCAACACTTTGGGAGGCTGAAGTGGGCAGATCACCTGAGATTGGGAGTTCGAGACCAGCCCGACCAACATGGAGAAACCCTGTCTCTACTAAAAATACAAAATTAGCCAGACATAGTGGCACATGCCTGTAATCCCATCTACTTGGGAGGCTGAGACAGAAGAATCACTTGAACCTGGGAGACAGAGGTTGCAGTGAGCCAAGACTGTGCCATTGTACTCCAGCCTGGGTGAAAGAGTGAGACTCCGTCTCAAAAAAAAAAAAAAAAAAAAAAAAGAATAGCTGTGAGTTGTTATAAATTTAGTCAAGCTGTGATTTAAAAGTAATGTATTTATTGAAGAGACCAACACAACCCCTAGCACCTGGTATGCTAATATTTACTAGGAATACACTTTTCCCCGAACTCAATTAGTCAATACAAGTAGAAGTGGTTTGCCTTCACCTGGCAGAGACGGCAGTACATCCTTACTGGCTAACTAGTCATTGGCTATGACAACTGTCCTCCTTTACCTTATATAGTGGGCAGACCTTGATCATCTGATCCAGTATGGTGAGTAAATTATATAGATAGCAACAGGAAATACCAAATAGCCCAGTTATCTTGTTGTAAGAGTGAGAAAAAATAACACATGAAATTCAAAGGCATAACTCATTAGTGAAGTTTCCAGAGATCAGCGGTCTTGGTTAAGCAGATTATAACCTCTAAAGTGAAAGAGTTGCTGCACTTAGCACTGACTATGAGAAATGTACATATTTGGACATATTTATAGTTGAACTCCACAGGAATAGAGATGGCAGCTATTATCAGGAGTATAGCTTGTGCAACTATCCTGAGACAGAAAAGAACTTGACTTGTACTAGGAATGGAGAAAAAAAACAGGGTGACCATAAAGTAGGTAGCAGAAAGGAAGGTGAGTATGTGATGAAGTTGAAGGGTTAGGATAAACCTGGATCCCAGGCCTCACAAGCTGCAGTAAAGACTTTTAATTTGATTCCAAGTGCAGCTGCAGAGTTCTAAACCGGGAGTGGGAGCAAGTGGGTCTGGTGCAATTTGATTTGTGTTTGTAAACAGTGAGCCTAGCTACAAAGAGAAGGATTGAAAGAAAAGATTAGGAAGATTAGAGGCACTAATTTGACAGAGGAAATAAAGGACATAATACTAGATTTGGTGTGTTGCCTTATTTATTGGTAAATTGTATAGGTGTGCTGCTATCATTAGCTAAAGTCTCAAGATAAGATATACTTTGAGCGGGAAGTATCAACAATAATGGATGTAACTAACCTTGCATTTCTAATTTATTAGAATGGCATCTTGTCAGAACTAACGAAACTGTCATTAATTTTACCATGAGATGGCTGACATGGAACTCATACCAAGAGTGTAAGGGTCAATTTGACTACTTTCTTATCTTTTGCTTGTGCTTCAATTACCAATATTCAACTATGTTTTGCTTGTTTGTTTTTGCAGGACTTTTTAAGTTGTTGTCTACTTTTTTAGGTTAGTTTAGGTAAAGGTGGTTACTATAACTCACAAATCCATTTGGCTGATTCCAAAAAATCTTCCATAAGTCACTATTCACCAAAAGCAAATGGCATGACAGCTATGACAGCCCTACCAACATAAAGGCCATGAGGAAGAATACCAGCATTAAAGATAATAATGGCTAAGTTAGTTTTGCTGAAACAAAAATAAATGGAAATGAAAATTTCAATATATTCTTCCTCCAACTCTATGAATCTCCCATGCCCTGAAGTGTGCACACCCTGCTTTGGAGAAGACTGACTTAAACCAGAGGGATATTCAGTGGTAGGAAGTTAAGGAGAGTTTAGAATATTGAGCAGAGATGGGTTCCATTTCCAGACCTCCTGGGAAAAACCCAGGAGCACTGGATAAACTAAGTAATAAACTCCCTTCATCAATTATCCTAAATCTTCCCCAATTCCTCAAAGTTTAGGGGATAAAATCAAGAGCCTGCTTTCCATCTTTTTTTATACCAGGTGGCAACATAAATCCAGCTAAAGCAAAACACATAGTAAGATGCTCAGCTCACAATTCTTTGGGCCTCACAGCAGCATTTGAGGGAGAAAGGGGCACAATCCTACCTCCTCAGAGTTATCCAGCTAATGGGAAGGTGGATTATTAGCTGGACTTGAGAAGTTGTAAAGTAAAACACTAGAAAGCTAAATTTAAGTGAATAAACATTCTCCCACACTCAGTCTTTGTATTCAAAGACAGAGACACTAGATAACCTACACTCTGAGGCAACTGGTTTCTGATAGCAAACAGTAGTTGCCATTTTTGAGTGCCTCTTTGGTAACAAATTGTGGGCTCTACACCTTAGGTGTACAGACTAATTCTCACTACACCTCTGCAAGTCATATTCATCTCACTTTCTGCAGAAAGAAGGTTGAAGTGAAATGGTCTAAGGTCATTATTTTGTCCAAAACATATTTATGAATGTCTACTAGTTGACAATACTTACTCACTTATTTATTATTTTAAAAAGTAATATCAAGTGTATCTGTTGGCAACCATTATAAATCCAAGCAGAGATTGATTTGATGAACAACCTGCCATCACACGGAAATAAACAGCAGGGAGTCAAACTGGAACTGAGCTTTCTATTCCCTCTGGACCATTAGTCACACTTTCTACAAAATAATTATTGATGGAATCAGAAGTTTTGTATTATCTTTCTTAGCACAGTCTCAGTATTCAGCCACATTCTCTATTTCTTCACTTGAAAAGGCCAGAACATTAGAAGACTAGATGGTTCTTGGACAAATGTTGTGAAAATCACCACACACTGGAACCAAAGGCAAGACATAGAAAAACACAAGACACCAGAAGTGTGTGCAAGGCACTGTGAAAAGCAGTGCAGGGATTGCAAATGGCCACACAGACCAGCCTTCCACTTGCTGGCCCTATGACCTTACGAAGGCTTCTCTTCTTTCTCAACCTTGTTTTCTCATATAGAGGAAATAATCACACATAATTTAGCAGTGACATCAGGTTTAAAGAAATGAAAAAACAGCAGCATATAGAGGTTAAGAGAGTGCTCTGGAGACAAACATGTTGGACTTCTATCCTGAGCATTGCTCCCTACCCCTGTGATCCTGGGTTAGTTAACCTTATCCTTCTGTTTAAGTTCCTTAATCTATAAAATGGGTAATGACATTACTCACCTTTAAGGTTGCATTGAGGATTACATGAGTAGACACGTGAAAACTCCTACTGCAGTGCTTACCACATTGCTAATGTTCAGTAAATGTCAGCTGTGATTATGTTAATGATGATGATGATGATGAAGATTCTGAGAAGAGCAAGAATAATTATTATCATGTGTGAAGTGGTTAGAAGGCTGCAAATATATGTAATTCTTCCCATAATCAATGATCCACATCCAAAATCCCTCCTTAAGATTGAAACTCCAATTTAAGCCTCAAAATGGCAGCCCAATTACCCCAAATTGTAAAGATATTCCTGTAGAAGCCTAGCAATGTTTTCCAAGGACTATCAATGCCCTAAACCAGCTCATCTCAAACTTTTTAAAAAATAATCAAACTATTTTATTCTTTAGTTGTGAGAGTGTTAGAAACCCAATGCTTTGGCTATAAAGTTTCATACAAAATAATCAAAACACTCCAGGAGCTAAAATATCACCAGACACTTTTATGGAGTCTGATGATGAGTGAGAAAGATCCATCCAGAAAGACCTATGAAAAATCATTATTATATTATACTCAACTGCTTTCATGCACCACCTACAGATGCTCAGGGAGAAGGAAATGATAGCTCTATGTAACATGATTTAAGCATTCCAGAGACTGTTGGCTTTGCCATGAAACATCAATTTCTTGGCACTTTCACATTACTTGTTCATGTTGTCATATTTTTGGAGAAAAATAACAAAACAGTTGGACCAAACAATAATATTTCTCAAACAAATACACCTTCTGCCTTCTCTGGTGTTTTTATGTTTACATGCTTGAAAGAGCCAATAGTCATTACTACATCCAGGCAATAATATTGAAACTGGAAATGTACTTGTATCTTTGCAATAAATCACAGAAGAGAGCTGCTCTCTTAGTAGAGAGACCTAAAGATGGTAAAATAAATAGATAACTTGTCTTCTGTGGGAAAACAAAAAGTTTGTGTATGTGTGTGTCTTGGATACTACCAAAAGATGTCTATTTTTTCCTCTTTTTATGTGTTATATTCAGGCTTCCTTATATTTCTATCTTGATATGCAGAAATATATATTAATAGGTTGGAAAAATGATAAGTACAAACACAACAAAGAGCAGTAGTAATTTTCGAATTTGCTTATGCATCAAAATTACCTGGAGCTTTTTTTTAACACAGATTCCTGTGCCTAACCCCAACAGTTTCTCATTCAACAGGCCTAAGACAAAACTGAGACCTTGTATTCCTAATCAGTTCCCATCCAGGTGAAGCTGATGCTGCTAGATCAGGGACCACCATTTGAGAACCAGTGATGGAGAAGAATGGTCACCAACCTTACTTGGTATCACAGAACGAGTGTTCTGGTCTTAACACTTCTGTGTGACCCAAAGCACAATATTTAATTTCTCCAGATTAGTTTCCCAATGGTGAAATGAGGAGTTTGCACAAGACAAGCTTCGAGATTTTTTTTCAACACCAATGAACCATGAACGCTAAGCTTTCTCTGTGCCTTGTAGCCTCTGAAAGGCACCAGACTGATTCAGGTGCTGCTCCTCCATCATGCACAGGGATTCTGTCCTTGATTTGGTCTCCATCAATGATTTGCAAAGGTTGTCAAAAGCAGCAAGGGCAGTTAAATAGATGGCATCCTATTTCTAAAAAGTAAAATGTTTACAACTTGTTAGCTCTTCCTCCCATGTGTAGTAGAGAGAATACATCATCGGATTCGGCTTCAAATGAACATCCTTCATAGTGTCTGTCTTAGTAGGAGAATTGACATAATAACAAAAATTAAAATTTATATTTATCAAATACTTACTATATGCCAAACACTATAAGGTCTTTATATACATTGTCATTTAGTCCTTATTGTAACCCCGTAGGGCATTCAATATTGTTATGCTCAATTTAGGCAGCAAAATGTACTCAGAATAGCCTTTCAATCCACTCGAAGTCACACGGATCAAGCAGCAAAACTGAGATGCAAAATCAACCTAGTCTGATTTCAGATCTAGGGCCCCTGATCATGGTGAAAGTTTAAATTTTATTGCATCTATATATATATCATATATATAAAAATATATGATATATATAATATATTATATATGATATATCATATATATAAGATTGCATATATATAATTGTGTATATATATATAAATGTAATAAAATATATATAAAATTGTAGTATAAACTGCAGTTATACCCTAACTTAGGGTGAATATTTGGTTCCAACAACTGATCAGGTGAAAGGATGAGATGGGAGAAGTGTGAGGGCAGAAATTCAGTGGGCAGAGCCAGTGAGACTCATGCTGAAATCCAGGTAGATTCAAAACACAAAAGCCATCAAAGTAGGTCAAAATCAAACCCAGAGCAGCTAATGGGCTACTGGGAAGATATAAGAACGGGGAATTATATGGGAGCTAGTCCAAGATGGTTCCTGGAATAAGACTTGTTAGTACTGAAGAAGGAATCTCATTTATCTAAAGAAGCCATCCTTTGTCCTAGAGCCTGACCCTGGCTTATCACTTAACCCACTCCTACACATGGGCAAAACAAACACTAGGCTAAGAAAGGCCAGTAATCCACGGATATTATCCCAGTTCTTCACAGGGAGAAGAAAATTGACTTGATTCTTAAATTACTCAGCATCAAAATCATTTTAATTTTACCAACAAATAAAATAGGATTTTTTTTTTTTTTTGAGACAGAGTCTCACTCTATTGCCCAGGCTGGAGTGCAATGGTGCAATCTCAGCTCACTACGACCTCCACCTCCCAGGCTCAAGTAATTCTTCTGCCTTAGCCTCCAGAGTAACTGGGATTACAGGTGCGCACCACCACACCCAGCTAATTTCTTTTGTATTTTTAGTAGAGACGAGGTTTCACCATGTTGGCCAGGCTGGTCTTGAACTCCTGACCTCGTGATCCACCCGCCTGAGCCTCCCGAAGTGCTGGGATTAGAGGCCTGAGCCACTGCGCCCAGCCAAAATGGAATATTTTATATTTAGAGGACTCTGAGTGACTTACTGGAAATCTGCCCATCCTCAAAGCTCCGAACAAGTTACCAGCCAGATTCAGCGCTCTTTTGCAAAGGCCTTTTCGGCAATAGTGGCTCCTGATTTCCTCAGTAGGTCCTAAGAAGGGCCATTCTGGTTGAACAGAGGCTGAGAGACTCTTTAAACTGCATTTACTTATTCTTTTATAGGATTCTATATTTATTTGGGGTGTGTTGAAATGAATGTCTGTGGCAAGTCCAGTGTTTTAATTTTTTAATGTTACGTTTGTTGAAGATCAAAATATGCCACCCCAACATAAGCCACTTTGGCATAAGTGTTATTTTGAACTGGAGGCAAATGAGATCCAACAGATGCATGTGCCTTCCCGGCACAACCCTGATCTGAGTAAAAGCAGAAACTCCTGAGAAATGAGAACTTCCATCAACTCCTTTCATAGGGAAGTTTTCTGGCTATGAAAAGAACAAAAAGTCGGCACTGAGATGGACCTGCACAAGCAAACCTTACTCCATGAGCGCCCCCATGTGTTAACCTTCTGCCTCGGAAGGCTAACGGTCTTGTCACCACTACAAAGGCATTGCTCTTTGCTGAGATGCTATGTAAGCCCAAGTTCTAACCATCCCTTTGTGCTACTCATCACTAAGATTCCTCCTTGTACCCTGCACAGGATAATAAGCTGAAAAATCTGTTTTTCTCCTGTTACGCCGTCTTCTGTCAGTCTGATTTGCAGGGCCCCAGCAAATAACCTAAGACTGGTAAAGGAAAAAGACTTTTTACCTCCCTTTCCTGTTCATGATATCTGAGGGACTGAGAAGAGAAGAAGGAAGTTAAGCCTCCGCCTCAAGCTATCCCCTGGACCACCAACACTGTACATTCTTAGCAGGCATGCTGGAGGCTTTCCTCCATTCCAGGGGCTGCACAAGGTGTTTTCCTAGAATGAGACCCCTACTAACCTTCCCCAGGGGCTCGCAGACATATAAGGCTGGCAGACACATCAATGATGAGCTACCATGGAAGCAGAATTATATCAATAATTTTTCTCTCAAAAATACCCCCATACAGTCTTCCCCATCTCAGTAAACAATAAATGTAAATGTTATCGCAATGTTTACAATATTTTCTACATGTTTTACGTATGGTAACTGATGAAAGCATTACAACCACACTATAAAGAAATACTATCAGTAATTCCACTTTATAGATGAGGACAGTGATGCACAGAAAAGTAACTTGCCTGAGGCTGCAGGAAGTATATAACAGAATCAGGAATTAAGCCAGAGCAGTATGGCTCCAGGCTCATCATGCTAATACACATGACTCCCTTTCTAACTGGAAGCTGCATTCCAGATGGGCAGGCCCAAATGCTTGGCTCCTTCTCTTTTTCTTCCACCTTATTCCCGTTCAATTTCAAAACACATCTCACCTTCTCCTCCACTGCCTCCCTGGTCCAGGCACCGTTGAACCTCACCTAGATTATAGCGACAGCTTTTCACTGGTCTCCCAGCTTCTGCCCTTGAGCCTCCATGGTCTATTCTAATAACAACAAGAGTGACCTGGACCTGGGCTCCAAAGCCTGTGATGCTGTATGAACTCAAGGTAAAAGCCAGTTCCTCACAGTGCCTCACAGTCTTTTCAGGGCCTCCAGGTGTTCATGCCTCACTGATGGCACATCCGGGAGCTTGCATGATGACCTTGCATTGCCCACCTCAGCCTCCATACAGCCATAAGGCACAGACTTATCAATGGCACACAATCTTATCAGATCATGTATATGTTCTGCTGAAGCATTGTTAGATACGAATTTATCACAGAGCCCTAGCCATCATTAACAGAAGGTAATAATTTATAAGTGATGGACTGACTACACAGTAGGAGGCCATACCCCAGAAGTCATCCCTTGAAGGAGAACTGCCTAGAAAAGCTCCACAACCACTAACATCTATGTCCGGTATTTCGGCTACCGATACTTTGAGTTTATGTGCCGTAGCAACTGCTATAGGCAACTCAAATGGTAGTGAGAGCATAGGCTTTGGGATCAGACTGCCAGAGACTGTATCTTAGCTCTATCATTTACTATAACCTTTGCCAAGTTACTTTACCTCTGCCTGCCCTAGTCTAATCATCTGGTAAGATAGCTGTCATGAAAGTCCTGGTCCAAAATGTCAAAGTGATGAACAAATGGGCCAATATATGTAAAGTACTCACAACAGAGTCTAGTGTCTCCTAAAAACTCAAAAATGTAAGATATCATTATTAGTATTATTATAGTATTGAGAGAATATACTCACAGTCCTTAGTAGTCTTGTCTTGAAAATGATATTTCAAGGAAGTTCAAGTAATCAATGTGCACTCTAGTATATCACATCCTTGCACACGTGGCTAGAATGAACCATCTGTAGATTGCAAAGCTGAGAACCAGGCTCTGGAACAAGCAGTCTTCTCTAACATACTGCCACCAAGTGAGGGCCTGAGTGAATGACAAGCTTTGATTCCTGTAGAACATTTTATCTCTCCTGAAAAAGAAACAATCATAGAACGAATCCAATCAAATATTGTGAAACTCAATTTTAGTAATTTTAGTTCCTCTTGACAAAACAAATTCTGGGCCTAAATTTCCTAGATTATTTCTTCAAATTTCTGTATCTTATCACCTGTATATACCCAGTAAGAGCAATTATATGGAAGTAGCAAATGACCTAAAAAGACTGTCTTGAAGCTGAACCGTGAAATTACATTTATTTTTAATTTTCAGAAACCCTGGATCCTACCCTTTTATTTTATTCTTCTTTCCATCAAATGAGCCTGTCTTAGTCTGTTTAGGCTACTATAACAAAATACCATAGACTGGTCAGTTAGAAATGACAAAAATTTAATTCTCACAGTTCTGTACTGGAAAGTCCAAGATCAAGGCAACGACAGAGTCAGTAAGAGCCTCCTTCCTTCATGGACAGCAGCTTTGGCTCTGTAACCTCACATGGCAGAAGGGACTAACTAGTTCTCTAGGGACTCTTTTATGAGGGCACTAATCTTATTCTTTCAGGCTCTGTTCTTAGGACCTAGTCATCTCCCCCTAACCCCTTCTCTTAATACCTTCACCTTGGCGGTTAAGACTTCATTCAACATTTGAATTTAAGGAGATGCCAACAATCAGACTACAGCAGAGCCTAATATCTTTACATCAAGGAAGTAAAAGTACTTATTATTTATTTATTTATTTATGAGATGGAGTCTTGCTCTGTCACTCAGGCTGGAGTACAGTGGCAGGATCTTGGCTCACTGCAATCTCAACCTCCCGGGGTCAAGTGATTCTCCTGCCTCATCCTCCAGAGTATCTGGGACTATAAGTGCACACCATGCTAGCTAATTTTTTTTTTTTTTTGTATTTTTTAGTAGAGTTGAGGTTTAGTCATGTTGGCCAAGCTGGTCTCAAACTCCTGACATCAGGTCAGGCCTGCCTTGGCCTCCCAAAGTGCTGCGATTATAGGCATGAGTCACCGCACCCAGCCAGTAAAAGTATTTTAAATAAAAATTTAAGAAGTTTAATGTTTATGTGTCTCTGAAAATAAAATAATAAACAAATAGTGATTCTGAATCTTTGTTGTAATTTTACTCTACAGTTGTAATATTATATTATTTATCATAAAAATCAATGGTTTATCATTGTAACCTTGTGTGAATAATAAATTGTTCTTTCTTAAACATTAAGATGAGTTAAACTTTAACCAGATTTCAATACTCAGGAAGACAACTTTATAGTTTTTTATTGTTTTCTCACATTTGCGAATATGTTAGCTATATATAGGGATTGGGTTATGTATATGGCACTGCTAAAGTCATGTATCAAGGTTAACTGTAATTTACTGTAAAGACTGTGGTCAAATCCCCAAATTAAAAAGATTTTTAAATTGGAAGAAAGGAATAAATTTGAAATAAATTTAACTATGTCACAGTTTTAAGAGTTCTTTCACTGTACGAAATACTTTATATGAAACAAATACAAAAACTTTTCCGCTGCAAATCTCTGTCCTGACCCAAGGTCTACTTTGAGGCCATACTCAGCATTTGGCCACATCTCTTAAAACAAAGAAACTAAAATGAAAGAATAAGTGATTCAATGCCATAGTGCATTAATGATTGACAAGACTTTCATTAAAGGTTTTGCTGAAAGACAAATAAGATGGTGTACATTTCACTGTTGTGTACAATAACCATTTCATAAAAATCCCTATTAGCTATTTCTGTTCTCCCTGTATGGTTCTCTTTTCTATCAGCTCTACTCTGAATTGCTTTCATTGGCTTTCCTTGATATTTCAAGATCCCTAAAATCTCCCCCTATTAACCCAAGCAAGCCACTCTGACTTCACGCTATTCCATCCAACGAAATAAAAGCTCCTTTGAAGCAGCTTAGAAGCCATCTCTGGTTCCCAGCCATGTGGCTTTTTCCGTCATTTAATGATCAAAATAAGTTAGATAGATAGAGAAATTACTTATTGTGCTCTTCTGAAAAGGAAATAAGTATTTTTAAATCACCATTCATAAACTTCTCCATTTCTTATCAACCAGATAATAACAAACAAGATATTATTTTCCCCATTTTTCAGAGAAACGACAGAAAGATTATCCTGCCAAAGGATATCACACTACATATGATGAAATGGCTCATTGAAGCTCCATTCATTCTATTTATCATTGACGAAGTTGGTAAGATAAAAGTTACATATTCTAGGCTATCGTATAGCATGGAGTTTGCATGTAAATTTGATTCCACCAGTTAGATATATTCCCATGAGATTAAGAAGGTGGTGATGAGGCTGTTTCTCCTAATCAGCAAGTTCCTGGCAACATGAAGATATTCTTCAGCAATATTTCAGGATCCGATAAAACACTAAAAATAAAAACAACTTTTGAAGACATTGGAAAGCTACTGAATCAACTGAGATTAAAAAAACTCTTCTAATATTTCTCAATGGGGGGTTGGTCTACCACAGCTATTCCATCATAATCAGAAGGAGACTTCCAGAATGACACAAAACTAGCCCATCATGGGAACGACTTCAGGTGAAAATGCCACTGAGGTTATTGCCAAAACTGTCTCATACACAGCAATCCAGAAGATGGAAGTCAATGGTAGATTAATTGAAATATTTAGACTGAAGTACAAAGTGAAACAAGGCAAATACAGAAAAAGCATTAAGGCCAGAGGCAGTGGCTCACACCTGTAATCCCAGTAATTTGGGAGCCCAAGGTGGGAGGATCACTTGAGCACAGGAATTTGAGACGAGCCTGGGCAACATGGAGAAACCCCATCTCTACAAAAAAATACAAATATTAGCTGGATGTGGTAGTGCACGCTTGTATTCCTAGCTACCTGGGAGGCTGAAGTGGGGGGATTGCTTGACCCTAGGAGGCAGAGGTTGCAGTAAGCTGTGATAGTGCCACTGCACTCCAGCCTGGGCAACAGAGTGAGACCTTGTCTCAAAAAAAAAAATTCATTCTACTTGGCATTCTGCAAATGCCAAGCAGAATGAATATAAACAAAAATATCTCTGTGTACATCATAACAAAACTACTGAAAACCAAAGGAAAGATCAAAATCTCAAAAACAAGGTGGACAAATAGACATATTACCCAATTCCTTTTGACTTATCATCAGAAGCTAGAAGACAGTGTATTACATCTTAAAAGTGCTGATAAAATATATCCAACAACCTAGATTTCTATACCCAGCAAATAACATCCTTCAAAAACATGGAGGTGAAATAAAAATGTTTTGGAAAAACAAAACTAAACTCTGTCGTCAGCAAATCTAAACTAACAGCAATATCAAGTGGAATTCTACAGGCAAAAAGAAAAGGATTCCAGATAAAAGGACAGAAAAGCAGAAAAAAAAGAACAAAGGAAAGAGTATCCCAATAATAATGTCTTATTATTATCTTATATAATTCCATTTAGCCCCTTATTTAATTCCATTTACCAAAAGGGTATTCTACCAAAAGGGGTAAATGGAATTAAACTATTATAATATCATAGTATTGTCAAGGACATGGTAAAGTGAAACTTTATATTACAATCTCAAGGTTAATGATTAAAAGATTTAATATGAATATATAACTAACAGTAGAGTCTATTATATTTAAAATATTGTATTAATTCAAAATAAGGCAAAGACAGAGAAACCGAAATGTAAAACAAATTGAATGAAATCAATAATAGCAAGAAAATGAATAAACCCAAATACGTCAGTAATTACATAAGTTTAGCAAGAAGATAAAATGCTCCTAAGCAACATACAGACAATAATATACTCCTAAAATATATAAAGCAAAAATTGATAAAACTAAAAAGGAGGAATAGAAAAATCTATAACTAGAATTGGAGGATTTATCAGCAACTGATAAAACAAGCAAACAAAATAATTGACAAAATATTAGAATATAAGGAATTTATAATTAATCTAATTAATAAATATAAGAAACTACAACATGACAGACTATGCATTTTTTTCCAATACACATGGGATATTTCCCCAGACTAACAACAAGATAAGCTAAAAAGAAGGTCTCAAAAAATGAAAAGAATTGAAATCCTTCAGAGTATGTCTTCTGACCATAATAAAATTATGCTTAAAAAACCCAAAAATATATATGACTAAAATCCTCAGTTGTTGAAAATAAAGTAATACACATTTAAACATAAAGAAGAAATTTAAAAAATAATTAGAATGTATTCTAAATGAAAATGATAATAAAATATAACAAAGCTTATGAAACTAAGAGTTGTGCTTAAAGGAAAATTTATAGCTTTCAGTTCTTATATTAAATAGAGAATGTTGAAAATCAAGTTTTAATTATTCATCTCAAGACATTAGGAAAAGAATACCTAATGAAAAGCAAAGAAAGCAGCAGAAAGAAAATGAAGATAAAAGCAGAAATTAATGAACAAAAAATATCAATAAAGCCAAAGGTTAGTTATTTGTACTGATTAATAAAATGGATAGACTTCTAGCAAGTCTCATCAAGAGAGGAAGATAAAATCTTCAAATTCCAATATTTGGAATGAAAAAGAGAATATTATGAGAAGCACCGATATATAATAAACAGATAAGAGAAACTAGTAAAAAACTTTTTTCTAATAAATTTGAACATTTACTTTAAATAGTTAACATTCTTTAAAGAAAAAATATCCAGCTTACTAGGTGTATGGGTCTATTTCTGGATTTTTGTTGAAAGCCAAAAGAATGAGGGTAGTGCAAAACTCAGTATACCACTGGAGGCTATATGAGTAAACAGCAAACTGTTCTCATGACAGCAGGATGTTAGCAAACTGACACACTGTGTCTGCTGCCCAGAAGGAATGCTGAGGGCAGTCACCACCAAGGCACAAGTGTTTCTTGTGATTAGGCAAATCTGAAGCCTGTTAGTAATAATATGAACCTGTGATCAATCAAGCAGCTGACCAGTCGTTAGCTCCTCCTCCCTGCTCTTTCTACCCAATAAATACAAAGGACTGCAGAAGCTCAGGGCAGCTGCTTTTGCTCACTAAAAGCACAGAGCCCTCTTCTTCCCCTGGCCCCTTTTTTAAAACAGTTTCTTTTGTTTTAAGTTTTCATTTCTGTATTCATCCCCCTTTGTTCAGTCTCGTAATGACCGTCTCAAGTAGTAACAGTAATGACTATCGTAGTGACGGTCTCAAGTAGTAACCGTGGCAGTCTGCCGCAGACCTTCTATTCTATTTCTTTAATCTGTGTCTCTCCTGCCACTTATATAACATAGCCTTGACTACTATAGCCTTGTAATGAAAGAAGAATTCAGAAGAAATGGAAAAGAATGCCCCTATATTTAATAATTTGATTTTTAAAACCGTTTTGCAAAGATATATCCTGGCCCATAGGTTTCACTGGTGACTTTTTAAAAACAATTCAGTAACAAATAGCACCACTGTTACATAAAATCACATAGAAAAGAGGAGAGAGACTTCACAGCTTATTTTATGAAGCCTACATAACTTTGATATAAAGACTTGACAAGGATATTACAATAATAATTACTTGCCATTTCTTTCATAAACAAAAATATTTGTAATTAGTGAACAAAGTCCAACAATTTATAAATGTATGATAACAAGTTTTTTATCCTAGGAATATAAAAATGGCTAGAAAAAATAAGTAAATATAGATGGAAAAGAAGTGATAAATTTCAATATTTATTATTGATATTTTATTTTATTTTTAACATATTTCTTTTTTATAATCTCAACTTTTATTTTAGATTCAGGTGGTACGTGTGCAAATTTGTTACATGGGTATATTGCAAGATGCTGAAGTTTGGGGTACAAATGACCCCATTACTCAGTTAAGTTAGCATAGTACCCAATAGGCTGTCTTTCAGACATTGCTCCCCTCCTTGTCTCCCCTCTCCAGCAGTCCCCAGTGTCTGTTGTTCCCATCTTCATGTCCATGTGTGCTCAGTGTTCAGCTTCCACTTATAAGTGAGAACATGCAGTATTCGGTTTTCTGTTCCTGCATTAATTCACTTAGGATAAAGGCCTCTGACTGAATCCATGTTGCTGCAAAGAACATAATTTTATTCTTTTTTATGGCTGTATAATATTCCAGGGTGTATATGTACCACATTTTCTTTATCCAATCCACCATTGATGGGGATCTAGGTATCTAGGTTGATTCCATGTCTTTGCTATTGTGAAAAGTGTTGTGATGGACATATGGGCACTTGTGTCTTTTTACAGAATGATTTATTTTCCTTTGAGTACATACCCAATAATGGAATTGTTGGGTCAGATGGTAGCTTTGTTTTATATTCTTTGAGAAATCACCACCCTGCTTTCCGCAATGGCTGAACTAATTTACATTCCCATTAACAGTGTATAAGTGTTCTTTTTTCTCCACATCCTTTCCAGCATCTGTTATTTTTTGACTTTTTAATAATAGCCATTCTGATTGGTGTGCAATAGTATCTTATTGTGCTTTGACATGCAGCTCTCTGATAATTAATGACATTGAGCATTTTTTCATATGCTCTCTGGCTGCTTATGTGTCTTCTTTTGACAAGTGTCTATTTATGTCCTTTGCCCTCTTTTTAGTGAGGTTATCCATTTTTTCTTGTTGAATTGTCTAAGTTTCTTGTGGATTTTTCATATTAGAACTTTATTAGGTGTAGATTGCAAATGTTTTTTCCCTTTCTGTAGGTTATCTGTATACATTGTCGATAGTTTCTTTTGCTGTGCAGAAGGTCTTTCATTTAATTAGATCCCACTTATCAACGTTTGGTTATGTTGCAATTGCTTTTGAGAACTTAGTCCTGAATTTTTGGCCAAGGCCAATGTCCAGAATGGTATTTCCTGGGTTTTCTTCTAGGATTTGTATAGTTTGAGGTTTTATATCTAAAGATTTAATCCATCTTGAGTTAGTTTGTTTATATGGTGAGAGATAGGAGTCTAGATGCATTCTTCTGCCTATGGCTAGCCAGTTATCCAAGCTTTCTTGCCAAACTGTGAATAAAAGAGAACTTCCTCAAACTGGTAAAGATTTTTTTAATTAAAAAATAATTCTTAATGATGAAATGTTGAGATGAAGGTGGAGATAAAGATACCCACTTTAACAATTTCTTTTCTACTTAGAAGTGAAGAATGAATCAATGTTATGAAGTAAGAGAATGAAATAAGAATTATAAAGACAAAAGGGAAAAATCATTATTTGCAGACATCACATTGTATATGTAGAAAATCTGAAGGAATTTACAGGCATATTGCAACTAACAAACAAATTAACAAAGGTTCTAAAGTACGAAAAGATGTAAAAGTAAGTGTATCCTCGTATACCAAAAACACACAAAAGGAATGTATATTTTGGAAATTAAAAATACGACAATATCCATAAATAAATCTAACAAAAGATATCATATAAGATCTCTGCATTATTATGTTAATCTAAATAGAGGTATATGTCATGTTTGCATATCAGAAGACTTAATAAAGACTTACATTCTTTCAAAAATAATCTTTAGAGTCCACACTCTAAATACAGGGTCTCAAACCAATTCCCAGAAAAGCTGTGTTATAGTAATTAAGGTTGTGTGCTGTGGGCAGTAGCAGAGACAAATAAACCAAAGGAACTAAACAGAAAATCTAGAAACACATCCCCACACTTTATTATGGTGGAGGTAAATTGTAGTGCAAAGAGAAAAGAAACGTCTCTTCAAATAATAGTTCTGGGTCAATTACACCTTCACATGAAAAATGTCAACATTGATTCCTACTTCACAGTTGATTAAAAAGTAGACTCCAGATAGACTGGAGATCTGAGTATGAATAGTAGAACAATTAAACTACCAGAAGAAAACATAAGAGAACATCCTTGTGACCTTGGAATGAGCGAAGATTTCTCAAGCACAACAAAAGAGCTGCAGTTACTAAGAAAAACATTGATAGACTGGACAATAATCGATTTGTCTCTCAAAAGGTACAATTAAAAGAGTGAAATGTCAGGTCTATGCATTGGGAGAAGATATTTGAAATAATCACAATTCACAATGGACAAACACCCAGAATATGTAAGTAACTTCTACAAGTCAAAAAGAAGAAAACATTGTAGAAAACTGTTTCACAAAAGAAAATATCCAAATGGCCACTCAACATATAAAAAGATGCTTGAGGCCGAGAGCAGTGGCTCATGCCTGTAATCCAAACACTTTGGGAGGCCGAGGTAGGCGGATCACAAGGTCAGGAGTTCAAGACCAGCATGGCCAATATGGTGAAACCCCGTCTCTACTAAAAATACAAAAATTAGCTGGGCGTGGTGGCGTGCGCCTGTAGTCCCAGCTACTTGGGAGGCTGAGGCAGGAGAATCACTTGAACCTGGGAGGCAGAGGTTGCAGTGAGCCGAGATTGTGCCACTGCACTCCAGCTGGGGCAGCGGAGTGAGACTCCATCTCAAAAAATAAAAAATAAATAAATAAATAAATAGGTGCTTGATTTCATTAATTGTTATGGAAATAAAAAGCGGAACCACCATATAGTGTTATAACATACCTATAAAACTCTCTTACACATCTTAGGGGTTTATAAATTGGCACAACCACTTTGAGAAACATTTTGGCAATGTCTGCTAACTGCACACAACCAACCAAAAACTAGAAACTTCCTTTCAACGGTTGAATAAAGTAAAAGTAAATAAAGGTTTATTTACACTATGGAATTCTATTAAGTAATGAGAAAGAATGAAATACAACTGCATACAAATTGGATGAATCACCAAGACAAACTGAACGAAAGAAGCCAGACACAAAAGGGTACGCACTGTATGATTCCATTTAAAGTTCAAAAAAAGAATAGTGTTTGAAATCACAGTAGTGGCTGTCTTTGATGTCAGGAGAAGAAGGGAGTAGGTCAGGAAGGGAACATAAGGGGGACTTCCTGGGAGACAGTGATGTTATTTTTCTTAATCTGGGTACTGGTTGCAAAGATTTCTTCACTTTGTGAAATGTAATCAGTTGTATTCTTATAATTAGCATGCATTTCTGTTTGTCTGCTATTCTTCAGTAAAGTCTTAAAATATTAGTAACAATATTATGTGTAAAAACTTGTCAAGGGATTTTTTTAAATGAAAAACTAGTAAACAGATAACAAAAATTTACATTTTCCATATTGGAAGCAATATATAACGCCACTTGTTCATTGATGAAAAGATAGGCTCCACTTTAATAATAAAAGTGCTGTTTTTTGGGGTGATATAAAAGTGTGCTTGCATCCTATCTGAGCCACAGAATAGGTGCAAACTGAGCTGCAGTCAACTAAAAATCCAAATTCCTCAGAAAGAGCTCTGATTGTCTCAGCTTTTTAGGGTATCTTTGGCCAGAGAGAAAGATCCTGTTTTATAATCGTAGATAATCCTTCTCGAAATATGTGAGAAATTCCCAGAAAAATAAAAAAAGCAAAGTAAGAGTTAGCAGTAATTGGTGGTGGATTCATTTGGGTTATGTGGATGTTAACTTGATTTTCTTATTTTGTGACCTAAGTGGTTATGTTTAGAATGTACATTTCAAGCACAGTGCACTTTTCCCCAGCATGTGGAAAAACAAGGAAACATCTCAAGTGTTCTAACATCAAAATCCAGGCAACCAGATGGATTCCAGAACAATGAAGCTGAGTTTTTCTTTTCTCCTTCATTACTTCTCTTAGCTTGACTTTCTCAAAAAGCTGAGCCTAACATAGCTTATGAACCATTATTTTATTAGAAGCACACTCCCACATAGCAGAAATGAGGAACAAAGCTAGTAAAACAGAAGAGGCAGGGGAGCCAAAACAAGGACACATTACGCAGCTGGCCCTTGATAACTGTGGAAACTGAGCCCTTGCTCAGTTAGTGGAAGCATACCTGAAAAAGCCATGTAAAGACCATGCGATGGCTGGCCCTCAGAGGAGGCAAATACAAAAACACCTTTTAGAATATGAACTCCCCATACTTTGGGGCTGCACACACCTGGGCATTTCTGGGAAAGACGGCTGAGTGTGTGTTGTGGGCAGGAGGTGAAGGACGGCTAGGTGGCACCTGTAGAGAGCCCAGACAGAGCTAGAATGAGAGATGGGGGAGGATAAGTGGGTCTGAGGGGCATAAGAGGAATCTGGTACGATGCCATTAGCCAGATTAGAAAAACATACCATTGTTGCTGCAGCTATGGAAAGCAAATTCAAGGAAAATTTTCATTACCGGTATCATCTGTGATGTGTTGTCTTAGAAAAGATAACACCAAATCAATCTGAATTTATCTCAAGTTTAATATGAGTGTATTCACTTGAACATTCTGTGTCTGAAAATCAAAAAGAAAAATGTAAAGTCTCCCTCTAGTGTCCAAACTGTTATTTTACAATTCTGTTGGCCGTTAGACAAATAAATTTTGACAACAAAATATTGTTTAATCTTGTAGAGAAAAAAAATTGTCATTATGTGATATCAAATTATTAAATGTAAAACAGGAATCAGTAATGTTTTTTATAAAGATTGAAGGGTAAATATTTTAAGCATTTTAGAGCACATATAGTCTCTGTTGCATATTCTCTTTGTTTTGGTTTGTCTTATTTTAGCAACCCATTAAAAATATAAAAATCATTCTTAGTACACTGACCATACAAAACAGGCCAGACTAGATTGCAGTTTACTGACACCCTTGAGGGATGCCACCTGTTGCTAAAAGATACATGTAGTTATTTCTATATATATTTAGAACTAATATTTATTTACTTATTGTATGCCATATACATATTTTGATATGTATGTTTATAAAATTAGGAGGCATTTTGTCTTTAATGGCAAATAGTTACAATGTCAATTGCTTTACAAATATTCTTTGTTTCTAATGGTTTATGCCTAGGTTAAAATTCTGAAGAATCCTGATATTTTGGCAGACTCCTGGTATTTAAAAGAAACTTTATCTCATGCAGAAATTCTTAGCACAGTATTTCTAAAAACAGAGTCTTTTTACAGCTGGCCAAAATGTTTCCATTATACTTTTTTCAAGACTTCCTGTCTAATAACTAGATGGCTCTAGTTGTGTAAATTTCTGAATTTAAAACAGTTTGTTAAAATTCATTTAAAATTTTGATCTACATGTGGTAATTTTGCTCTTAGAAGGTACTCAAGACTGAGCTCAGTGGCTCACCCCTGTAGTCCCAGGCAGGCAGATCACCTTGAGCTCAAGAGTTTGAGAACAGCCTGGGCAATATGGCGAGACCCGATCTCTACAAAAAATACAAAAAAGTAGCCGGGCATGGGGGCCTGTGGTCCCAAATACTCCAGAGGCTGAGGTGGGAGGATCACTTGAGCCAAGGAGGCGAGGTTGAAGTGAGCAGAGATCAGATAGCGCCACTGCACTCCAGCCTGGACTACCAAGCAAGACCATCTCTAATAATAATAATAATAATAATAATAATAATAATAATACTCAAGCCTGTCCACTCCTTCTTCCATGTTTATGATTTCTAACATATTTCAAGATGTTATAATCCCCCACCAGTTTTCCCAGATTTCCCTTTATCTGAGATTTTTGAGATGCCACAAGCAACCAGGTTGTAGAAACTTATCTTTGAATTTGCTGTTTCAGACACAGTGCCTGCTTTTAATAATTATTAGCCTTATTACTTGGAATAAAACATTTATACTCCCTGATCTAGAGAGAAGCAAAATGGCAAAGTGGTTAAATCCAAGCACTCCAATCATAAAAATGGAGATCAAATCCCTACTATACCTCTTATTAGCTGCAGGTTACTTACCACCACTGTACCTCTGTTTCCTCATCTATAAAATATGAATACTAATAGCACTAACATCATAGGTTTCTTGATAGGCTTATTGGCACTAACCTATGTAAAATGTTTATTTAGTGACTGGAACATAAAAACTTCTTAATAATGACTTATAATTTCATATATTTTATCAATAATTATTTGTACATGTAATTTTAGTGCCTGATTAATATTACATCATAAATATGTGCTATGACTCATTTAACAATTTCTAACACTGAGATAATTTTTCAGTTTTGCATTTTAATTTAACAATGCAGTAAACATCTTTGTATATAAACTGTGGTCTCAAAATGAATTAGTATCAAAATAACAGCTATCTATGACAAACCCACAGCCAATGTCATACCAAATGGACAAAAACTGGAAGCACTACCTTTGAAAACTGGCACAAGGCAGGGATGCCCTCTCTCACCACTCCTATTCAACATAGTGCTGGAAGTTCTGGCCAGGGCAATCAGGCAGCAGAAGGAAATAAAGGGCACTCAGTTAGGAAAAGAGGAAGTCAAATTGTCCCTGTTTGCAGATGACATGATTTTATATCTAGAAAACGCCATCGTCAAAGCCCAAAATCTCCTTAAATTGATAAGCAACTTCAGCAAAGTCTCAGGATACAAAATCAGTGTGCAAAAATCACAAGCATTCTTATACACCAATAACAGACAAATAGAGAGCCAAATCATGAGTGAGCTCCCATTCACAATTGCTTCAAAGAGAATAAAATACCTAGGAATCCAACTTACAAGGGATGTGAAGGACCTCTTCAAGGAGAACTACAAACCACTGCTCAATGAAATAAAAGAGGATACAAAGAAATGGAAGAACATTCCATGCTCATGGGTAGGAAGAATCACTATCATGAAAATGGCCATATTGCCCAAGGTAATTTATAGATTCAATGCCAACCCCATCAAGCTACCAATAACTTTCTTCACAGAATTGGAAAAAGCTACTTTAAAGTTCATATGGAACCAAAAAAGAGCCCGCATTGCCAAGTCAATCCTAAGCCAAAAGAACAAAGCTGGAGGCATCACGCTACCTGACTTCAAACTATACTACAAGGCTACAGTAACCAAAACAGCATGGTACTGGTACCAAAACAGAGATATAGATAAATGGAACAGAACAGAGCCCTCAGAAATAATGCTGCATATCTAAAACTATCTGATCTTTGACAAACCTGACAAAAACAAGAAATGGAGAAAGGATTCCCTATTTAATAAATGATGCTGGGAAAACTGGCTAGCCATATGTAGAAAGCTGAAACTGGATCCCTTCCTCACACCTTATACAAAAATTAATTCAAGATGGATTAAAGACTTACATGTTAGACCTAAACCATAAAAACCCTAGAAGAAAACCTAGGCAATACCATTCAGGACATAGGTATGGGCAAGGACTTCATGTCTAAAACACCAAAAGTAATGGCAACAAAAGCCAACATTGACAAATGGGATCTAATTAAACTCAAGAGCTTCTGCACAGCAAAAGAAACTACCATCACAGTGAACAGGCAATCTACAGAATGGGAGAAAATTTTTGCAACCTACTCATCTGACAAAGGGCTAATAACCAGAATCTACAACGAACTCAAACAAATTTACAAGAAAAAAACAAACAACCCCATCAACAAGTGGGTGAAGGATATGAACAGACACTTCTCAAAAGAAGACATTTATGCAGCCAAAAAACACATGAAAAAATGCTCATCATCACTGGCAATCAGAGAAATGCAAATCAAAAACCACAATGAGATACCATCTCACACCAGTTAGAATGGCAATCATTAAAAAGTCAGGAAACAACAGGTGCTGGAGAGGATGTGGAGAAATAAGAACACTTTTACACTGTTGGTGGGACTGTACACTAGTTCAACCATTGTGGAAGTCAGTGTGGCAATTCCTCAGGGATCTAGAACTAGAAATACCATTTGACCCAGTCATCCCATTACTGGGTATATACCCAAAGGATTATAAATCATGCTGCTATAAAGACACATGCACACGTATGTTTATTGTGGCACTATTCACAATGGCAAAGACTTGGAACCAACCCAAATGTCCAACAATGATAGACTGGATTAAGAAAATGTGGCACATATACACCATGGAATACTATGCAGCCATAAAAAATGATGAGTTCATGTCCTTTGTATAATAATAATAATAAAATAAAATAAATAAATATTTGTTTTCAGATGTATAATTATTGGGTCAATAATCTTATACTCATGGCCACACAAGGCTCAATTATTTTAAAAAATGTATGCCAATTTGACATTCCATCAACAATTCTTGAATATCTAAGTGAACCTTCATCAGTATTAAGTATTTTTTAAGTGTTTGCTAATTATTAGGGGTATCAGTAATTCTTTTTGGATAGCAAATAATTCACCTCTCTGGAAATAGTTTAAGGTAAATAGTGTAAATTATTCAGGACTATATACATGTGTTTTAGAACTATGAGATGTCTTCTGGTAAAAGTGAATAAAATAAAGCAAATTTTTTTTAATATTTTTACTGAATATTTTATGTATCTATTGACCACATTAAATCACTTTTTAGTCTTATTTAAATCTGTGGCATCATTTGCTTTTAGTAATCTATAAAAATCTGCCAAATTCCATTTTCTAATCTAATTTTGGGGCATTTCTTCCCCAATTCTCCAATAGTAGAAATTCTGCCTGAATTTCTACTATTCCTATCTTCTTTAGAT
Organism: Homo sapiens; assembly: GCF_000001405.40. Lineage (NCBI taxonomy): Eukaryota > Metazoa > Chordata > Mammalia > Primates > Hominidae > Homo > Homo sapiens. The sequence continues at coordinate 108,199,201 of NC_000002.12, forward strand.
TAAGGGAGAGGGATTTTTTGACAATATAGCTACACGGGTCATGCGTATATTGATTAAATGCTGAGATAATTTTAATGACATTTTACTCCTTTCCACACACACAAATTGGTCTAAATTAAACAGATTCCCAATAAAATATATATAATGTTATATAGTATTAAAGATACATATAATAAACATTAAATAAAAATATGTTATGAGGGTAGGTACCGATGAAAACATTAAAACTCAGGCAAGGCCCAGTGTGGTGGCTCAAGCCTGTAATCCCAGCACTTTGGGAGGCCAAGGTGAGCAGATCGCTTGAGCTCATGAGTTCAACATCAGTCTGAGCAACATAGTGAAACCCTGTCTCTATAAAACATAAAAAAAATTTAGCTGGATGTAGTGGTGCATGCCTGTAGTCTCAGCTACTCAGGAGGCTGAGGTGGGAGGCTGGCTTGAGCTAGGCAGCTAGAGATTGCAGTGAGGCAAGATCCTGCCACTGCACTACAGCCTAGGTGATAGAGCCAAACATTGTCTCAAAGAAAAAAAAAACAATAACTCAGGCAAAGTAATTACCAAATATCATAATATATTATGTATCTAAAAATAAAAGCAAAGCATATTTTAAATTTTTTGTTAATTCATAGCATGCCTATAGAATAGTGCAATACTCAATATCATTAGTCACAAGGGAAATTCCTGTCATACCAACTGAAACAGAGTCCACAGGACAGGTGGGAAATCACCCAGGGAATAAAACTTTACTCCAAGAATGTAACTCTTTGCAAGCCTGGATGCCAAAGCTGTCTGCTGTAACATGAAGCCAGTTTAATCCAATGGCTGCTGAAACAGCCTGCTGTGATTCTAAGAGTAGTTTTACCCAACATTGTCATTTACCAATCAGAGCTTGCCAGCTCCCAAAAATCTTACTAGTGCCAATGAACTTTCTTTCAGAACACTATGTAACATTCCTCCTTTTTATAAAACTTCGAATCTTGTCTTTGTTCTTCAGACATACTGAAGACCACACAGTCTGTGGTGTGTCCCAAATTGCAATTCTTGTTCCCAAATAAAACATTTCAAATTTAGAAATTTTCCTTTTTATTCAATTTGAATTTGACAACTGATAAACAAAATGTAGTATAACAATGCAATGGAATATTTGCCATAAAAGAAATGAAGTACTGATATATACAACTACATGGATGAACCTGAAAACAGCTTGCTACAGAATGGGGATCGACTGATAATGGGTATAACATTTCTTTTCTGGGGTGATAAAATGTTCTGGAATTACATAGTGGTAATGGTTGCAAAACTCCGTGAATATCCTAAAAACCACCTAAGTGTATACTTAAAACAGTGTATTTTGGTGTCAGTGGAATAGTGAGGGAGAAGAAAAAGAAAAATCAGTTAGGCAGACAGCTATAGGCAAAAATAGAGTAGTCTGGGGAAAACTCAGAATGCCCAGGTATAGAGAGATAAGGAGGCAAAGTCCAGCATAGAAGCCTTTTGTTTTCTGTATGATTAACGGACTCCCAGGAAAAAGTTTCCTCCCCTTTTCAGGCACAATCACCGTGGGCTCCATGGGAACTTGCACAGGGAGGGAGGTTTACATAAAACAGACCCACAGTTATACAAACAAGAGAAGCTACACTTGATGTGCCTGCCGCTGCATAGATAAGGAGAGTTATACAGACAGCTTTACAGGTAAGAGAAGTTACTCAAACAGCTACAGAAAAGAGAATAGTTTCCCATAAAAGCTTTTGCATTCGGCCGGGCGCGGTGGCTCACGCCTGTAATCCCAGCACTTTGGGAGGCCGAGGCGGGCGGATCATGAGGTCAGGAGATCGAGACCATCCCGGCTAAAACGGTGAAACCCCGTCTCTACTAAAAATACAAAAAATTAGCCGGGCGTAGTGGCGGGCGCCTGTAGTCCCAGCTACTTGGGAGGCTGAGGCAGGAGAATGGCGTGAACCCGGGAGGCGGAGCTTGCAGTGAGCTGAGATCCCGCCACTGCACTCCAGCCTGGGCGACAGAGCGAGACTCCGTCTCAAAAAAAAAAAAAAAAAAGCTTTTGCATTCAACTATAAAAGTGGCAACCCACTTGGGCTCCGATCTTCGCTGCAGAGAACTTTCTTGTGTCACTTATTAAGCTTTCATTCCAACCTCACATTTTCTGTGCCTGCTCCTTAATTTTCTTGGTTGTGAGACAATGAGCTCATATAACACCTCAGACACGAGACCACTGACCTGTTTCAATAGGACATTTTGACATGGCAGAATAGGAGGCTCCTTACTCTACTCCACCCACAGACATAGCCAATAAATATATATTCACAGATGACTTCCCTCTGACAGAAAATCAAAAACCAGTTGAGAAACTACTACCCGCTGGATAACTGAGAAAATATCCACATCATAAATGATGACATTAAAAACATGAAATGTGGAATCAGGGACAGTAAAAATACAGTGTGTGTGTTTGAGATCAAAATTAAGGTGTTATTGGCTTAAAATAACCAGTTATAAGAGATTTTATATATCCCTCAGGGTAACTATAAAGCAAAACCTATAATAGATAAACAAAAGAAAAAAATATATATCCAAACATACCACTACATAAAGCCATCAAACCATAAAGAAAAAAAACAAGAGAGGTAGAAAACAACAAAGGATCTTAAAACAACTAGAAAACAATAAACAAAATGGAACTGGAAAAATTTTACCTGTCAATAATTACTTGAATGTAAGTGGATTAAATTATTTGATCAAAATGCATCTAGTGACTGAATGGATTAAGAAAGTAATAAGAGCTACATATATTTTGCCTCCAAGAGACTCATTTTACCTTAAAAGAAACCCATAGACTGAAAAAAACGAAAAACTGATATTCCATACTTCCTTGGTCAGTGGGGAAAAGTGCCCCACCTGCTCTGAAGAACAAGGAGGAGGTGGACCCCCATTCCTCTAGAGATCTAATCATCAGTGTGGACCACCCCTAAGGGAGGGAAAAGTACAGCCCACCAAAGCCCCGCCTTGTGTCAAGGGAAGCACAAGCATGGCACCAGACACTGACATGGAGAGGGAATCATCTATTCCCCACTGCCCCTCTCTTTAGTGCACTATTGCAAACTCAGCAGTGACTCTTCCCATTGGGGCCCAGAGAGTGTGGGCTAAAAGAGTGTGCTCCTCAGTCTTCTCCAGCAGCACCAACCCCACTGAAGGCAAATGCACACTGAGGAAAGGCATATTTTGTGCTTCTTCATTGCCTCTGCCCCATCTCTACTTGTTGGAGCTTACTCTTAAGTAAGGACTGCAGCCTGAATTCTACAACCAAATGCAATTACCTCACTATAACAATTAACATCTGAGAAAGCTACAAAACTAACTACAGCCAAGAAACCCATACAGAGCCTTGGCATCCTGAAAGCACCCCAAAACAAGGCCATTTAATAATATACAATATACATCACAGTAATACCTCCAAGGGAAAAAAAAGAGTAAATAATCAAGAAGCCCAATTAAAACAATAGCAAATTCAAGGAAGAAAGTAGAAGAAGAGAAGAAGGAGAGGGAGAAGGAGAAGAAGGAGAAAGAAAGTGTCAGCTCCTCTGATGGGAAAGAATCAGCACAAGAACTCTGGCAAGACAATGAAAAAAAAACAAAAAAACAAAAACACAAAGTGTTTCATCAGCTCCAAAGGATCTCATTAACTACTCAGCAATAGATCCTAACCAGAATGAAATGTCTAAAATGACACATATAGAATCCACAATATGGATGAAAACAAATTCAATGAGATCCAAGAGAAAGTTGAAATGTAACAGAAAGAAGCCAGAAAAAGGATCAAAAATTTGAAGTACCTAACTGTATTTAAAAAATGAATAAACAGAACTGCTGGAATTAAGAAGTTCAAATTTTAAAAAATATTTCAAACTATCATTTGAAGCCTTTTTTATTTTATTATTATTATACTTTAAGTTTTAGGGTACATGTGCACAATGTGCGGGTTAGTTACAGATGGATGCATGTGACATGATGGTGTGCTGCACCCATTAACTCGTCATTTAGCATTAGGTATATCTCCCAATGCTATCCCTCCCCCCTCCCCCCACCCCACAACAGTCCCCAGAGTGTGATGTTCCCCTTCTGTGTCCATGTGTTCTCATTGTTCAATTCCAACCTATGAGTGAGAACATGCTGTGTTTGGTTTTTGGTCCTTGCGACAGTTTACTGAGAACGATGATTTCCAATTTCATCCATGTCCCTATAAAGGACATGAACTCATCATTTTTTATCACTGCATAGTATTCCATGGTGTATATGTACCACATTTTCTTAATCCAGCCTACCGTTGTTGGACATTTGGGTTGGTTCCAAGTCTTTGCTATTGTGAATAGTGCCGCAATAAACATACGTGTGCATGTGTCTTTATAGCAGCATGATTTATAGTCCTTTGGGTATATACCCAGTAATGGGATGGCTGGATCAAATGGTATTTCTAGTTCTAGATCCCTGAGGAATTGCCACACTGACTTCCACAATGGTTGAACTAGTTTACAGTCCCACCAACAGTGTAAAAGTGTTCCTATTTCTCCACATCCTCCCCAGGACCTGTTGTTTCCTGACTTTTTAATGATTGCCATTCTAACTGGTGTGAGATGGTATCTCATTGTGGTTTTGATTTGCATTTCTCTGATTGCCAGTGATGATGAGCATTTTTTCATGTGTTTTTTGGCTGTATAAATGTCTTTTTTTAAGAAGTGTCTGTTCAGGTCTTTCTCCCACTTTTTGGTGGGTTGTTTGTTTTTTTCTTGTAAATTTGTTTGAGTTCATTGTCAATTCTGGATATTAGCCCTTTGTCAGATGAGTAGATTGCAAAAATTTTCTCCCATTCTGTAGGTTGCCTGTTCACTCTGATGGTAGTTTCTTTTGCAGGAGCTCTTTAGTTTAATTAGATCCGATTTGTCAATGTTGGCTTTTGTTGCCAGTGCTTCTGGTGTTTTAGACATGAAGTCCTTTCCCATGCCTTTGTCCTGAATGGTAATCCCTAGGTTTTCTTCTAGGGTTTTTATGGTTTTAGGTCTAACATGTAAGTCTTTAATCCATCTTGAATTAATTTTTGTATAAGGTGTAAGGAAGGGATGCAGTTTCAGCTTTCTACATTTGGCTAGCCAGTTTTCCCAGCACCATTTATTAAATAGGGAATCCTTTCTCCATTTCTTGTTTTTGTCAGGTTTGTCAAAGATCAGATAGTTGTGGATATGCAGCATTATTTCTGAGGGCTCTGTTCTGTTCCATTGGTCTATATCTCTGTTTTGGTACCAGTACCATGCTGTTTTGGTTACTGTAGCCTTGTAGTATAGTTTGAAGTCAGGTAGCTTGATGCCTCCAGCTTTGTTCTTTTGGCTTAGGATTGACTTGGCGATGTGGGCTCTTTTTTGGCGCCATATGAACTTTAAAGTAGTTTTTTCCAATTCTGTGAACAAAGTTATTGGTAGCTTGATGGGATGGCATTGAATCTATAAACTAACCTTGGGAAGTATGGCCATTTTCACGATATTGATTCTTCCTACCCATGAGCATGGAATGTTTTTCCATTTGTTTTTGTCCTCTTTTATTTCATTGAGCAGTGGTTTGTAGTTCTCCTTGAAGAGGTCCTTCACATCCCTTGTAAGTTGGATTCCTAGGTATTTTATTCTCTTTGAAGCAATTGTGAATGGGAGTTCACTCATGATTTGGCTCTCTATTTGTCTGTTATTGGTGTATAAGAATGCTTGTGATTTTTGCATACTGATTTTGTATCCTGAGACTTTGCTGAAGTTGCTTATCAATTTAAGGAGATTTTGGGCTTTGACGATGGGGTTTTCTAGATATACAATCATGTCATCTGCAAACAGGGACAATTTGACTTCCTCTTTTCCTAATTGAATACCCTTTATTTCCTTCTCCTGCCTGATTGCCCTGGCCAGAGCTTGCAACACTATGTTGAATAGGAGTGGTGAGAGAGGGCATCCCTGTCTTGTGCCAGTTTTCAAAGGTAGTGCTTCCAGTTTTTGCCCATTCAGTATGATATTGACTGTGGGTTTGTCATAGATAGCTCTTATTTTTTTGAGATACGTCCCATCAATACCTAATTTATTGAGAGTTTTTAGCATGAAGCATTGTTGAATTTTGTCAAAGGCCTTTTCTGCATCCATTGAGATAATCATGTGGTTTTTGTCTTTGGTCCTGTTTATATGCTAGATTACATTTATTGATTTGCATATGTTGAACCAGCCTTGCATCCCAGGGATGAAGCCCACTTGATCATGGTGGATAAGTTTTTGATGTGCTGCTGGATTTGGTTTGCCAGTATTTTATTGAGGATTTTTGCATCCATGTTCATCAAGGATATTGGTCTAAAATTCTCTTTTTTGGTTGTGTCTCTGCCAGGCTTTGGTATCAGGATGATGCTGGCCTCATAAAATGAGTTAGGGAGGATTCCCTCTTTTTCTATTGATTGGAATAGTTTCAGAAGGAATGGTACCAGCTCCTCCTTGTGGCTCTGGTAGAATTTGGCTGTGAATAAATCTGGTCCTGGACTTTTTTGGTTGGTAAGCTATTGATTATTGCCTCAATTTCAGAGCCTATTATTGGTCTATTCAGAGATTCACTTCTTCCTGGTTTAGTCTTGGGAGGGTGTATGTGTCAAGGAATTTATCCATTTCTTCTAGATTTGCTAGTTTATTTGCGTAGAGGTGTTTATAGTACTCTCTGATGGTAGTTTGTATTTCTGTGGGATCGGTGGTGATATCCCCTTTATCATTTTTTATTGCATCTATTTAATTCTTCTCTCTTTTCTTCTTTATTAGTCTTGCTAGCAGTCTATCAATTTTGTTGATCTTTTCAAAAAACCAGCTCCTGGATTCATTAATTTTTTGAAGGGTTTTTTGTGTCTCTATTTCCTTCAGTTCTGCTCTGATCTTCGTTATTTCTTGCCTTCTGCTAGCTTTTGAAAGTGTTTGCTCTTGCTTTTCTAGTTCTTTTAATTGTGGTGTTAGGGTGTCAATTTTAGATCTTTCCTGCTTTCTCTTGTGGGCATTTAGTGCTATAAATTTCCCTCTACACACTGCTTTCAATGTGTCCCAGAGATTCTGTTATTTTGTGTCTTTGTTCTCGTTGGTTTCAAAGAACATCTTTATTTCTGCCTTCATTTCATTATATACCCAGTAGTCATTCAGGAGCAGGTTGTTTTGTTTCCATGTAGTTGAGTGGTTTTGAGCGAGTTTCTTAATCCTGAGTTCTAGTTTGATTGCACTGTGGTCTGCGAGACAGTTTGTTATAATTTCTGTTCTTTTACATTTGCTGAGGAGTGCTTTACTTCCAACTATGTGGTCAATTTTGGAATACGTGTGGGGTGGTGCTGAAAAGAATGTATATTCTGTTGATTTGTGGTGGAGAGTTCTGTAGATGTCTATTAGGTCCACTTGGTGCAGAGCTGAGTTCAATTTCTGGGTATCTTAGTTAATTTTCTGTCTCATTGATCTGTACAATGTTGACAGTGGGGTGTTAAAGTCTCTCATTATTATTGTGTGGGAGTCTAAGTCTCTTTGTAGGTCACTCAGGACTTGCTTTATGAATCTGCATGCTCTTGTATTGGGTGCATATATATTTAGGATAGTTAACTCTTCTTGTTGAATTGATCCCTTTACCATTATGTAATGGCCTTCTTTGTCTCTTTTGATCTTTGTTGGTTTAAAGTCTGTTTCATCAGAGACTAGGATTGCAACCCCTGCCTTTTTCTGTTTTCCATTTGCTTGGTAGATCTTCCTCCATCCTTTTATTTGGAGCCTATGTGTGTCTCTGCACATGAGATGGGTTTCGTGAACACAGCACACTGATGGGTCTTGACTCTTGATCCAATTTGCCAGTCTGTGTCTTTTAATTGGAGCATTTAGCCCATTTACATTTAAGGTTAATATTGTTATGTGTGAATTTGATCCTGTCATTATGATGTTAGCTGGTTATTTTGCTAGTTAGTTGATGCAGTTTCTTCCTAGCCTTGATGGTCTTTACAATTTGGCATGTTTTTGCAGTGGCTGGTATCGGTTGTTCCTTTCCATGTTTAGTGCTTCCTTCAGGAGCTCTTTTAGGGCAGGCCTGGTGGTGACAAAATCTCTCAGCATTTGCTTCTCTGTAAAGGATTTTATTTCTCCTTCACTTATGAAGCTTAGTTTGACTGGATATGAAATTCTGGGTTGAAAATTCTTTTCTTTAAGAATGCTGAATATTGGCCCCCACTCTCTTCTGGCTTGTAGAGTTTCTGCCGAGAGATCCACTGTTAGTCTGATGGGCTTCCCTTTCTGGGTAACCCGACCTTTCTCTCTGGCTGCCCTTAACATTTTTTCCTTCATTTCAACTTTGGTGAATCTGACAATTTTGTGTCTTGGAGTTGCTCTTCTCGAGGAGTATCTTTGTGGCATTCTCTGTATTTCCTGAATTTGAATGTTGGCCTGCCTTGCTAGATTGGGGAAGTTCTCCTGGATAATATCCTGCAGAGTGTTTTCCAACTTGGTTCCATTCTCCCCGTCACTTTCAGGTACACTAATCAGATGTAGATTTGGTCTTTTCACATTGTCCCATATTTCTTGGAGGCTTTGTTCATTTCTTTTTATTCTTTTTTCTCTAAACTTTTCTTCTTGCTTCATTTCATTCATTTGATCTTCCATCAGTGATACCCTCCCTTCCAGTTGATCAAATCAGCTACTGAGGCTTGTGCATTCGTCACGTAGTTCTCATGCCTTGGTTTTCAGCTCCATCAGGTCCTGTAAGGACTTCTCTGCATTGGTTATTCTAGTTAGCCATTCGTCTAATTTTTTTTCAAGTTTCTCAACTTCTTTGCCATGGGTTGGAACTTCCTTCTTTAGCTCAGAGTTGTTTGATTGTCTGAAGCCTTCTACTCTCAACTCATCAAAGTTATTCTCTGTCCAGCTTTGTTCCATTGCTGGTGAGGAAATGCGTTCCTTTGAAGGAGGAGAGGTGCTCTGATTTTTAGAGTTTCCAGTTTTTCTGCTCTGCTTTTTCCCCATCTTTGTGGTATTATCTACCTTTGGTCTGTGATGATGGTGACATACAGATGGGGTTTTGGTGTGGATGTCCTTTCCATTTGTTACTTTTCCTTCTAACAGTCAGGACCCTCAGCTGCAGGTCTGTTGGAGATTGCTGGAGGTCCACTCCAGACCATTTGCCTGGGTATCAGCAGTGGAGGCTGCAGAACAGTGGATATTGGTGAACAGAAACTGTTGCTGCCTGATCGTTCCTCTGGAAGTTTTGTCTCAGAGGAGTACCTGGCCGTGTGAGGTGTCAGTCTGCCCCTACAGGGGGTTGCCTCCCACTTAGGCTACTCGGGGGTCATGGACCCACTTGAGGAGGCAGTCTGTCCGTTCTCAGATCTCAAGCTGCATCCTGGGAGAACCACTACTCTCTTCAAAGCTGTCAGACAGGGACATTTAAGTCTGCAGAGATTTCTGCTTCCTTTTGTTTGGCTATTTCCTGCCCCCAGAGGTGGAGTCTACAGAGGCAGGCAGGCCTCCCTGAGCTGCAGTGGGCTCCATCCAGTTTGAGCTTCCCGGCCACTTTGTTTACCTACTCAAGCCTTGGCAATGGCAGGCACCCCTCCCCCAGCCTCGCTGCCACCTTGCAGTTTGATCTCAGACTGCTGTGCTAGCAATGAGCAAGGCTCCGTGGGTGTAAGACCCTCTGAGCCAGGTGCGGGATATAATCTCCTGGTGTGCCATTTGCTAAGACCGTTGGAAAGCGCAGTATTAGGGTGGGAGTGACCCAATTTTCCAGGTGCCATCTGTCACCCCTTTCTTTGACTAGGAAAGGGAATTCCCTGACCCCTTGTGCTGCCCAGGTGAGGCAATGCCTCACCCTGCTTTGGCTCACGCTCGGTGCACTGCACCCACTGTCTGACACTCCCCAGTGAGATGAACCCGGTACCTCAGTTGGAAATGCAGAAATCACTCGTCTTCTGCGTCACTCATGCTGGGAGCTGTAGATTGGAGCTATTCCTATTCGACCATCTTGGCTCCACCCCCAATTTCATGTTTTTAAAGGCTACATAGTACTCTATTGTGTATACACACCAAATATTTGTATACATTCACCCACAGATAGGCACTACAGTTGTTTCCATATTGTGGCTCTTGTGACTAATGCTGCAATCAATATGGGAGTGTAGCTATCTCTTCAACGCACTGATTTCATTTCTTTGGATGTATACCCAGTAGTGGCAGAGCTGTGAAACCCACCCAATAGTCCCATAGGCAACTTTTTGAATAAATATAGAAATTGACCTTTCTGGTCTTAAAGCTTGAAACTTACATTCATTTTTTCTGCATTCCTTCCCCAGGAAATGACCATCAGGCCTCTAAACAAAAGTATCAAAGAATTGAAACTCATCCATCACCACATCCAGACAATGCAGTGCAGGCTTCCTTATTCATCATGATTGTTTTCTTGCCCCTCTCTAGTTCCTGTTTTCTTACATATTGTTACATGTGTTCCCTGCTCTATAACCCCCTCATTGTAGTTGGTCAGGGAAATTGATTTGAGACTGATATCCCACCTCCTTGGTTGCAGCACCCCGTTAAATCCTTCTTCCTTCTTCCTGGCACTACTCATTGTCCTAATCATTGGCTTTCTTTGTGGTGAGCTGCAGGACCTACACTGGACCCCTGGCCTTTTGGTTATCTGTGGATCATTAGTGATTGTATTTTTAGTTTTTTGAAGAGGCTTCATATTGTTTTCCAAAGTGGCTGTACTAATTTACAATGCCACTGATGTTGTACAAGGGTTCTCTTTTTTCTATACCTTCCCCACACTTGTTATTTGTTGTCTTTTTGATAAGAGATGATCTAACATGTGTGAGATGATATTTTATTGTGGATTTAATTTGCATTTCTCTGATGATTGGAGAGGTTCAGCACTTTTTCCTATATCTGTAGTCCATTTCTATGTATTCTTTTGAGAAATTACTATTTAGAACCTTTGTCCATTTTTAATTAGGGTTATTTCTTTTTTTTGTTATTCAGTTGTATGAGTTCCTTGTGTATTTTAAATATTAGCCTCTAATCCAATCTATGATTTGCAAATGTTTTCTCCCAGGTTGTGGGTTGTCTTTTCATTCTGTTAATTGTTTCCTTTGATGTTTAGAAAGCTTTCAGATCAATGCAGTGACATTTGTCTGTTTTTGTCCATCACAGTGATTTCACATAGCTCCAGACTTATGCCATGGAGCTTTACCACTATGTTTATGTTCTCCTCTAGTAGTTTTACAGTTTCAGCTCATATATTTTAAGTCTTTAGCCCATTTTGAGTTGATTCCTGTATAAGGGGTAAGAAAATCGTTTACTTTTATTCTTCTGCATGTGGATATCCAATTTTCCCAACACCATTTATTGAAGAGACTGTTCTTTTCCCATTGTGTGTTACTGGCACTTTTTTCAAAAATTAATAGACTGTAATTGTGGGTGTTTATTTCTGAACTCTCTATCCTAGTTCATTGGATGATGTATCTGTTTTATGCCAGCACCATGCTGTTTTGACGACTATAGCTTTGTAAAGTGTTTTGGAATCTGGTGGTGTGATGCCTCTAGCTTTGTTCTTTTTGCTCAAGATGGCTTTGGCGTGGCCTTTTGTGGTTTCATGTGAATTTTATAACTTCTCTTTCTATTTCTGTGAAGAATGACCTTGAGACTTTGATTGAGATTGCATAGAGTCTATGAATGGCTTTGGGTAGTACAGATATTTTAAAAATATTCTTTCAATACATTAACACAGAAAATCTTTCAGTTTATTTGTGTCATCTTCAATTTCTTTCATCAATGTTTTACCATTTTCAGTATATAGATCTTTCACATTCTTGGTTAAATTTATTCCTAAGTATTTTATTTTATATTTGGTGCTATTGTAAATTGGTTTATTTTTTTATTTTTTAAAAAGATAGTTCATTGTTAGTGTGCAGAAATGCAACTGGTTTTTGTAAGGTGAATTTGTTTTCTGCAACTTCACTGAATTTCTTTGGCAATTCTAAGAGATTTTGGGAGGAGTCTTTAGAATTTTCTCTATATAAGATCATATCATTAGCAAACAGAACATCTCACTTCCTCCTTTTCTATTTGCATGACTTTCTTTGTTTTTCTTGCTTAATTTTTCTGGCTGGAACTTTTAGTACTATGCTAAACATAGTGGTGTGAAGAGGCATCTTTGTCCTGTTTTTTATTTTAGAGGAAAAGCCTTCAACTTTTCACCATTGATTATGATGTTAGCTGTGGGCTTATTGTATATAGCCTTTATTGTGTTGAGAAACATTCCTTTTATACCTAATTTATTGACAGTTTTTTTAATCATGAAAAGATGTTAAATTTAGTCAAATGCTTTTTTTGTGTGTTGATTGAGATATTGATATGTTTTTGTCCTTCATTCTGTTATTAAATTATGTTGCATCTATTGATTTGTATATGTTGAATCATCCTTGCATCCCAAGGATAAATCCCACTTGATTATGGCAAATGATCTTTTTAATGTACTTTTGAATATAGTTTGCTTGTATTTTGTTGACAATATTTTTATCTGTGTTCATTAGGAATAATAGTCTGTAGTTTTGTTTTCTTATAGTGTTTTTCTTTGGCTTTGGCATTGGGATAATTCTGGCCTTGTAAATTGAGTTTGGAAGTGCTTCCTCCACTTCAGGTTTTGCAAAGGTTTGAATAGGATTGGTATTAGTTCTTCTTTAAATGTTTGGTAGAATTGAGCCATAAAGTTATGAGGTCTTGGGGTTTTCTTTGATGTGAGACTTAATTGATTATGTAATCTCCTTACTCATTATTGGTCTGTTCAGATTTTCTATTTTATTGTGTTTTAGTCTTGCTAGGTAATGTTTCTAGGAATTTACCCATTTCTATCAGATTATTTAATTTGTTGACATATAGTTGTTTATAGTAATCTTATGATTATTTGTATTTCTATGTTATCAGTTGTAATGTCTCCTCTTTCATTTCTGAATTTAATGAGGCCTCTCTTAGTTTGTGTAGCTAAAGGTTTGTCAATTTTGTTTAGCTTTTCAAATAACCAACTCATAGATTCATCGATATCTTTAAGTGTTTTAACACCTCTGTTTTATTTATTTTTGCTCTGGTCTTTGTTATTTCTTTCCTTTGTGCTAACTTTGGGCTTAGTTTGTTCTTTTTTTATTCCCCTAGTTCCTTGAGGTGTAACACTGGGTTGTTTGAGATCTTTCTTTTCTTTTTTTTTTTTTAAAATAGTATTATTTTTAGAGGCAAAGTCTTACAATATAGCCCACGCTGGGTTTGAACTCAGGCTGAATTGATCCTCCCTCTGAGTGGGAGAGAGTACAGGCATGCAGCATTGCACATGGGATTGTTTTTTATTTTCTTTAGGAAGAAAAAAAGAATTAGTGTAAGTTTCCTTCTTAGAACTGTTTTTGTTGCACCCCATAAATTTTGATATGTTGTGTTCTATTTTTACATGCTAAAGATATTTTTAATTTTTGCCTATAATTTCTTCTTTGACCCAATACTTGTTCTACAGCACATTGTTTAGTGTCCACATGTTTGTTAATTTCCCATGATTCATCCTGTTATTGAATTCTAGTCTCAAAGCGTCATGGTTGTAAAAGACGCATAACATGATTTAATCTTCCTAAATTTGTTAAGACTTGTTTTGTGCCTAACATATGATCTAACTTGGAGAATGATAGATGTATACTTGAAAAGAAGGTGTATTCTGTTGCTGTTGGGTGGAAAACTCTGTGTATATCTGTTAGATACGTTTGCTCTATAGTTGAAATCTAATGTTTCCTTATTGATTTTCTGACTGGTCAATCTATTGTTTGAAGTGGGGAACTGAAATCCCCTACTATTACTGTGTTGCAATCTATATCTTTGTTCAGATCTCTTAATGCTTGTTTTATATATTTAGGAGCTCCCAATTTGGGGTGCATGTTTCTGTATAATTCTTATATCCCCTTGATGAGTTAATTGCTTTATCACTATATAATAACCTTCTTTGTGTCTTTTAACAGTTTTTGACATAAAGTCTGTTTTCTCTGAAATAATAGATGTAGCTACCTCTGCTTTTACATTCCACGTGCATGGAATATCTTTTAAAAAATATTTTATTTTATTTTTATTTTAGATCCAGAAGGTACATGCGTGGGTTTGTTATGTGGATATATTGCATGATGCAGATGTTATCCATTCGTCTAATTTTTTTTCAAAGTTTTTAACTTCTTTGCCATTGGTTCAAACTTCCTCCTGTAGCTCGGAGTAGTTTGATCATCTGAAGCCTTCTTCTCTCAACTCGTCAAAGTCATTCTCCATCCAGCTTTGTTCTGTTGCTGGTGAGGAGCTGCATTCCTTTGGAGGAGGAGAGGTGCTCTGATTTTTAGAGTTTCCAGTTTTTCTGCTCTGTTTTTTGCCCACCTTTGTGGTATTATCTACCTTTGGTCTTTGATGATGGTGATGTACAGATGGGTTTTGGTGTCCCATCTGTACACCTTGATGTCCTTCCTGTTTGTTGGTTTATGTTCTAACCGACAGGACCCTCAGCTGCAGGTCTGTTGGAGTTTGCTAGAGGTCCACTCCAGACCCTGTTTGCCTGGGTATCAGCAGTGGTGGCTGCAGAACAGTGGATATTGTTGAACCGCCAATGCGGGAAAAAAATGCCAGACAAGAATTTTATATTCTGCAAAACTAAGCTTAATAAGTGAAGGAGAAAAATGTCTTTTCCAGACAAGCAAATGCTAAGGGAATTCATCACCATAGGACTGGCCCTACAAGAGATGCTTAGTGGAGTTCTAAATATGGAAATAAAATGATGATATCTGCTATGAAAGCACACACAAGCACATAGCCATGGACACTGTAAACCTCATTTACAGTGGTAAACCTGTAAACCTTCCAGTTCAAGGAGAACTACAAACCACTGCTCAATGAAATAAAAAAGGATACAAAGAAATGGAAGAACATTCCATGCTCATGGGTAGGAAGAATCAATATCATGAAAATGGCCATACTGCCCAAGGTAATTTATGGATTCAATGCCATCCCCAATGCCTATAAGAAAGGCTCCAAAGGGGTCATTAAGAAATGGCAGTTAAGGTTAAAGATGTTTAGAATGTGTTCAAGAGTAAAAATTGATTTGGAGACTTCACTTGGAAGTGTTAATAGCAAAGACTTGGAACCAACCCAAATGTCTAACAATGATAGACTGGATTAAGAAAATGTGGCACATATACACCATGGAATACTATGCAGCCATAAAAAATGGTGAGTTCATGTCCTTTGTAGGGACATGGATGAAATTGGAAATCATCATTCTCAGTAAACTATCGCAAGAACAAAAAACCAAACACTGCATGTTCTCACTCATAGGTGGGAATTGAACAATGAGAACACATGGACACAGGAAGGGGAACATCACACTCCGGGGACTGTTGTGGGGTGGGGGGAGGGGGGAGGGATAGCATTAGGAGATATACCTAATGCTAAATGACGAGTTCATGGGTGCAGCACACCAGCATGGCACATGTATACATATGTAACTAACCTACACATTGTGCACATGTACACTAAAACTTAAAGTATAATAATAATAAAATAAAATAAAATAAAGAAATGAAAGTGGGACATCGCTACTGATTTCATAGAAATAAAAATGATTATGGAAGAATACTATGAACAACAGTACATGAACAACTTGGATACCCTAGATGAAATAGACAAGTTCCTAGAAACACACGATATACTAAACTGACTTGTGAAAGAATAGAAAATATGAACAGACTCACAGCTAATAAAGAGAACAAAGAAAAGCCTAGAGCTAGATAGCTTCAGTGGCATATTCCACTGAACATTTAAATGCGAACAAAAACCCTCTCAAACTCTTCAAAAAATTGGAGACAGAAAAATACCTCCCTCATTCTATGACTCACCTAGAATAGTGAAATTTATGGAGAGAGAAGGTAGAAGTTACCAGGGATTGGAGGAGAAGGTAATAGAGACATTTTTAGTGAGTATAGTTTCTGTTTGGGATAATGAAAAAGTTCTGGAAATGGATAGTGATGATGGTTACATAACGTTGTGAATGTACTTAAAGCTACTTAATAGTACACTTAAAAATAGTTAAAATAATAGTGAATTATATGTTACGTATATTTTACAATTCTTAAAATAAATGTAATCCTTGTGGTTGTTACTCCACTACCACAGAATACACACACACACACACACACACACACACACTCCTTCAGAAAAGGAATACTTCAATTTTCTAAATTTTCTGTCTGATCACTCAAAATACTTTGATACTATGCCAAAATATCAGGAAATTTCATGTTTATTGGAATATAAAAATGTAATGAAAACTTTAGATAGTAATTGAAATGCTCTGGTATTTAACGATGTGTGTGACTTTTAAAATGTGTTTTTGATAGACTCTGATAATTTTATAAAACTACACAAACTCATACGAATTTTTCCATGCTGTCCAGTAATCGATTGATTGCTTCTCAGTCCAAATTCACTGTCTGCCCTCTCTGCGAAACTGAATCTGAACCCTTTCAATATTTTTCCTTTGCCAGCTGCTGTGATGTTGAAACCTTGTCAGCAGAGAGCACTGGAGAGACATTGTGGGAGGAAAGAGTTTTGCTTCCTGGTTCAGGGTTTTCACTGGCCAGGCTCCCGTGGTTCTTCTCCACTGTGCCAGCTCCTCTAGGTCCCACTCCTGCAGCACACATGGCTTCCCCAGGGTTCAGCTCCTGCAGTGGGGGTGTCCAGTGCTTCCCCAGCTTCCTCCCAGGATGGTTTTGTAGTAGGATGCCTCCAGGGAGACACATCCTTGTGAACACCTTCCCCACACCCTAGAGGGTGGATTTCCTGCAAGTTTCAGAGAGTAGAGCAAGTTCTTCCAGAATTGAACCGCAGTAGCTTCTCTGTTGTCCCATGAGTCATGCCACGTCCTCTCCCATAAGGTCTGGGTCTCAGTCCTGGTGGGCATGGGAAGACAGGTTCTTTTCGAAGAGGCTCTTACTCTATCTCAGCCCTAGGGATAGTGGCTGTTCCTTATATTTGATATTCCTATATTCTTCAGAGTTTTACTTCTTACTTGCCAACACCTCGTTACTCCAATCTCTTGTTAGAGTTAATCATTCTCTGTATTAAACTTTTCTTGTTTAAATTAATGTGGTTTCTCTCTCCTCTCTCCCAAAAATCCTGTGTGAGCATTTGAAATGCTTTTATTTGTGATACATATCTTCTAAACTTTCACAGAAATTTGAACATGTTTCTGACATGAATAATTGATTTTGAAATGTAAACTAACATGAGGTTTGCATGTTCTCCAATACTACTACTAATTTTTGAGTTATGTTAAAGATTTACAATAAAACATTCAATGTCCTTCCCAGATAACTTTGTGATTTAGTTCTAAGTTGCTTTATTATTTCCACATGCAAATACGTAATTTATTTCTTTGTCCATCAGCTGTTAATATTTTTGACTTTTTCCTTTTTATATAGCAGGAGATTAAAAGAACGTTTCATAAACACTCAAGTGCACCTTTAAATGCTGGGTAGGTCGAGTGGCATAGTGAAATATAGATATTGAGGAACATTATTATGTGTTTTCGTAAAACTAGACAGTGGACTCATTAGAATAATGTGGCAAAGAAATTTTAAAAATAATCCTTATAAAAGAAACATCATAAAAACAGAGAAAAAGGCTTAAATAGTATTACAGCTTTTATGTTACTTCTGCTTTCTATCTCTTCTTTCTCTGGCTCGCTTCTTAGATAATCTCATTCTCTCACATGGATTTTAAATTTCTGCAACATGGTACCATCTTCCAAATTTTTATCTCCACCTCAGATCTCAACCCTGAATTCCTAAATTGTCAGCCCAACTGCCTACTTCATATCTCTACTTCCTTGTTTTATATACATTTCAAACAGAAAAAGTCAAACCCACAAACCTAATTCACCCACTGTCTTCTTCATCTCAATTAAAAGGCAACTCCATCTTTTCAGTTGCTCAGCCAAAGCTTATTCTATTTCTCTCTCTCTTGCACACTACATCCAATCCATACATCATTTGGCTCTGACTTCAAACTATATCCAGAACATGACCTCTTCTTATCAACATTACTGTGACCAACCTCCTCTGAGTCACTGGCGTGTCTTCCCTGAAGACTTGCAATCACAACCTAATGAATATCCCTCCTTCTATGTCATAATTACCCAGTCACCATATGATCCTAAATGGATCACATCACTGTGCTGATCAAAATGCTGCAGCAGTGCCCCAACCCATTCAGTCTAAGCTGAATTGTATCACGGTCTCCTGTCCTACACCATCTGTCCCCAGGTCCCTTTCTAACCACCTTCTAACCTTTGCACACTCACTTCTCTTCAGACCTAGTGACTTCCCCACTCTTCCTTGAACTCACCTAGTGTAGTCCTGCCATAGAGACTTTGGCCTGGCATTTCCTCTGCCAAGAATGCTCTTCGATCAAACAGCTACATGACCCTCTCCTCATATCCTTCAATCTTTACCCAGAAAGCATCATTTCAGTCATGTCTTCCCTGATCATTCTACTTACAATCCAGCACTTCCTGGTTCCCCTTATTCTGCCCTAATCATTTCCATCACAAGTATCATCTCTTCTAACATACTCTACACTTTGCTCACTAAATTGGAGGCTCCAGGAAGACCATTCTCAGCCTCTGCCCATTGCCCAACAATCACATGGCCAGAACTAGAGATGATTTACAAAGGCAACATTCAAGGCCTCCCACAGGTATCCAGTGGACTGAATCTCAGAATTCTACCAGCATTGTTTTCTCACAAGAGATGCCTAGGTTATGGTTGGATCTCACATGGAAAAATATACAGGATGAGTATTCCCTGGGAAAGAGATTGCCATGGTTTGGACATTTGTCCCTTCCAAACCTTATGTTGAGATCTGATTCTAAATGTTGGAGGTGGGGTCTAACAGAAGGTGTTTGGGTGATAGTGGGAGACCCCTCAGGAATAGATTAATACCCTCCCCAGGAGTGAGTGAGCTCTTGCTCTATTCCTTCCCACAAGAGTTGGTTGTTAAAAAGAGCCTGGAAACTCCCTTCTCTTGCTTCCTGTCTTACCATGTGATTTTTGGATGCACTGACCCCCTTCACCTTCTGCCAGAAGTGGAAGCAGTCTGAGTCCCTCACCACGTGTCCAGTCTTCCAGCCATCAGAATTATGAGCCAAATAAACATTTTTTAAAATAAATTTCCCAGCCTCAGCTATTCCTTTATAGTGACACTAAATAGTCTAAAGACGGGGTGGTGGTCAAAATTCAAGCATCTTTCACCATAATGAATTGAATGTGCTGTTCATTAGTGAGACTCTGAAGACAATCTGACTTTTGACCTCTTGGGTAAAAGGTACACAAATTTAACCTTAATCATTGCACTTAATGGCCAGACTTTTTAAAACCATGAGTTTAAAAGTGTGATTCTTAGGGAGCTAGCCTGATTCCCCCTTAGAATTTTTCATAAGTCACTGTGACAACTGCAAAATATCATCAGCACAAAGACACAGCATAAAAATGAGTTACAAATACACGTCCTTAAAGGAAATAAATTCACTACTTTCTTGTCCAAGATTATGGCTAAAATTACAGCTCATTGGCACAGATTTTATATCTATCTATCTATCTATCTATCTATCTATCTATCTATCTATCTATCTATGTAAAACACTGATGAAACTGAAAAACTTGGAACAGTATCTGGTCCAAGGTAGCTGCTTAATAAACGTCTGATGAATTGAATGGAAACTGGAAGACTATCATTTATTATATGAGTCTTTAAAGTAACAATGAAGTTTCTATTTAAATGTAATTTTTAAAGTTTTGTAAATTGTGTTGTCAGTACTGACAACAATAAAATAACCAAGAAATAATATATGAGTGCTTATTGATGAAGAAATAAATTAAATGCAGTCCAATTAGGTACCAGACAAGAAAATAATGGGCTTAAATTCTTACGAATATTATAATAATGTTCAACTAACATACTTCCACCCATCGCCGTGTACTGCCATGAGTACCTCACACTGAATTGCAAATAATTTCAACATTATTGCACCAACGTCAAAATAAGAAAATGCAGAGAATCATGGCCTTTTTTCCAACCTCATGGCAGCTTAAAAAATATATCTCACCCTTAATGCATTCTAACCATGGGCCAGGTTTGGCTGTGAGAGCTGCTGCACAGACAGAACTAATTAGTCAACACTTTATGTATGGGATGTTGGATTTTGAACATAGCAGCTTTTGGTAAAATCAGAGATTTGTCCAAGGCAGACACTGAGAAATATAACAAATTAAGCTTTGATTAAGTCAGTTTTAAATGGATGACTCACACTTTTTAACGGTTGTGAACAGAAGCCAAACAGCAAATCTGAAAAAAAAATCTAAACTCTTGTTCAGAGAAGAGATTAATCTAAATCTGTGGGGAGGGAGGAGGAAAGGGGACTCAGAGCTGCAGCACCTGTGGAGAGCCTGGGACAGTCTCCTGAAGCACAGGCCAGTGTCCTATGCCTCCCTCCGACCTTGTTAGCCCACGTGGCACAGGAACACCAAGGGCCTGGTCAATGGCTCAAGGTCTTTCCTGCTCATTCCCCCTCACTTCCTGCTAGATGCAGCTATCAACAAACCAGACTCCAGCTCTGCCCCAGCCTCCACCAGACTTCAAACCAGTCTCAAAACCGAGCAGTTTAGCCCCAAAATGCATTTTAAAACTTTTTGCCATGTTTTTTTCCTCCCTAGTCTCAAGATGTAAACTTGAAGGAAACTGACAAACATATTCACAGGTTCTGGTGACTAGGATATGGATATCTTCCGGGGCCATCATTCTGCCTATCACAGGCCTTCAACTATAAATTATCATTATAAATATTATAGATTTACAGATAAGGCTTGTCCCAGGGAGACTTGGACCAAGTCTAAGGTGCAGAGTGTTCCTGAGGGCAGATAACACTCTGTCCTCACTGAAAGGATAGTGTGTTCATTGGACAGGTACACAATGAATGGTTGTCCATTAAAGGTGGTCACGTGTTGTCAGGCCACTGTGCTCCAGCATCCAAGCAGCTGGCATAGGAGAAAGGAGAGGCCTCCGGCTGTTCCCGGAAAGACAGCATGGCCTGGCTGTTTAGAGCTGAGACTTGGGTTTGAGGCTGATTTTGCTGTGCCACATACCAGCCCTGTGACCTTGAAACCACCACTTCATCTCTCTGAGCCACAGCTGTTGCACTGGAGACACAGGAGTCATGATATTAACTGCTTTATATAGCTGTTGGGACAAGTGAGGTCTTGTATGTACACTAGGTTAAGCATGTCAATAAACGTGACCCATTATTGTTATAAATAATACAATAAGAAGGAAAATTAGTCTAATTTTGATTTGAACAAGAGCCTTTTATTAACTGAGGAAGGGACCTGCCCTGATTCCTGAAGCGTGAGATTCAGGGCAAGTCTGTAGAGTGTTGAAGCAGTGGCAGCAAGATACCACGGAGAGAGGTCCCAGCTGTGCGGGTCAGGAGGTAGGATTGGAAGGATAACACTCTTCTCTGAAGAAACGCTGGAAAGGTTTACGAAAAAGATTCAGATTTGGTCAGACCCCTGTGAAGCACATCAGTATGGGATCTGAAAATACAGTGTCCTGAATGGGACACTGAGCCCAAGTTAAAAGGCTGCACACTTCGCTTTTAGCATGAAGGAACAAACTGTCACCTAGCTTGGGGTAAAATCCTCCACTGGTCCCAGCTCAGGGAAGGCTGCCAAGCACTCACTGGGCACAGCAGGACACGGGGTTCCCAAGGGGAGAGTAACCAGGCTACAGACTCTGGGGCCCACACACAGATCAGACCTGGCCTGGGCACAGCTGGCAGGGCAGCCAGCCGGAAAGGCTCCAGGCAGGCTCCTGCTCTAATACTTCTTTCTGGAAGCCCAGGCCTGCCCACTCTGTGGACAGTTCTGGGCCTCTAGGCACCCTAATGGTTGCTGCAAGTTGACTTTCCTGAGGACACAGGGAAGCAACAAATAGCACAGGGCATGCATGGCCACAGGCAGGCCTTGGGCTCCATCCCTGCCAGGGGACTGGAGCTGATCCTGGCCAATTCTCAGAAGTCACCTGAGATGCCCTCTGCAGCCTCAGGAGCCAAAAACATGGTTCCTTTCCCAGACACCCCACGATTCTGGGCCTGAAATCAAGTACACTCCTTCTTTAAATAGGGATTACTTTTTAAAATCCAATTAAATAATACAGGTGAAAATGCTTTCTTTATGCTCTTAAATATTATAAAAATGGGAATTTATATTTTTTCATTAATAATAGTTCAAACATTGAAGATTCTGCTATGTCATCTTCATTGAAAGCCCATGAAGTCTCATCGTGGATGAAAAGCAGTACAAATGATGAAAAGCCTAGCAGTGCAGAATAACAGTCATAATTTGTGTTTGCCCACTGGTATTTGCTTACCAAATGCTTTATCTACAATGATTATCTATCTTACTGAGTTCTTGCAATAATCCTGGGTGGCACATGAGGATTGCACATTTCTCCTAATTCACTTAAGTTAAAACTGACATTTACTCTCCTCTACTTAATATTGGGCAGGCTGGGTCCTCTGGGTGGACTTTCTCTCCTGGATGCTGTAACCTTTTGCCTCCGTTGGCCCCACTCCCATTCTCTTCTTTCCTCTTAGTCCTCCTCATCTCAGTCCTCCAGTTTTTACCTACCAGGATTCTGTGTCTGAGCCCCAGAGTACAAAAAATGAGGGATCATAATAGGATGATTTTTCCCAATTTTCTCAAGGTAGTACATAATTAATACCATTCTCTGCTGCATAGCAATGAAGTCAATTTATTGCATATAATGGATGCCTTAGGCATAATGTTCTCAAAGTGGGGGCCTGCGATCAGCAGCTTAGGCATCACCTGGAGACTTCTTAGAAATGTTAGAAATGCAACTTCTTGGGCACAGCCACTCCCACCAGAACAGAAGCTCCCATTGTGGGGCCCAGCAACCTGTGTTTTGACAGGCCTTACAGTGGTCTAGATACATGTTCAATTAAAAAAACCACTGGCTTTAGGATATTCAGACATAATTCTCCCAGGGATGCCCAGTTGAGAAGTTCTGGCTGGGTTCCCGTTCTTCTCTTGCTCCTCTTTAAGCCCATTTTCCACGCCTCTCTCTGAGTCCTGGCCAATCTTTGACTCTATCACTTCAAGTGCCATTGAAGTGTGCATGATCCCCAAAGCACGGGCTACTTACTACTGAAAATTCCTCCTTACATCTTTCTCCACAGACCCTCCAACTCAATATGCCCTGAGCTCCTGCACTGGCTCTGTATGTGTGGGTGCTTGACCCCTTCTACCTCCTGTCATGGCTGCCCCCCTTCTCTGGTCCTGGCTTACTTCTCCTTCTTCTCTGAGTCTTAGCCAAGCAATTGCTCTGCTAGGAGGCCTGAGTTGTCCTCTGGTTTAAATGCCTTGTCTTAGTTCCCATATCACTCTGTAGAGCTCTATCACAATTCTCTCATAACAAAATCTATTGTGATTCCTTTAGATGCTCCTCTTCTCACTACAGTGCAAAATCCTCACAATCAGGGATTATTATCTTTTATCCCCAAATTGAAATCATATTATGCATACTAGATTTGAATAAAAATATTTTGGTTTTATACTACATATTGGCTCGATCCTCTGAAGTGTGAGAACATTAATTTGCCTATTAATCTGCTGCCTCCCTACACCCATGTCTCAATATCTAATTATAATATTGTTTGTGCAATGTCTATGTTTAAATCATTTACATTCTCTCTTGTGATTCCAACTTGAATTTCATATCATGTCTATATGTCAGTGCACTCGAGGCTCACCTCCAGCTTCCCTGTTACCCAGGTTTATAATGGCTCTTCTGCCAGGTTAGAATCAGCCTGGTTTTGCAGGAAGTTCCACAATAACTCAATGGCCAATTAAATGCTCTCCGAATTCACAGTTTACTGTGAGGACACACCAACAGTCAGGCAAATATATTCAACACACATAGGCAGTGATAAGGGTATGAAAGGAACCACAGTCAATAGAGTAGCTCAGGAGACCAGCAAGCTGCCTGACCAACAAGTCCAGTTTTCCCTTTAAATGCAGACCACTGAACACTGTGAAGGGTAGGGGTGGCTCCTGTTTTCTCAGAAGGGCTTCGGGCAGCCCAGCCAGCCTTTTCCAATGGAAAAGAGGTCTCAGCGTTCTCAGGAACAGAGAATCTGCAGATGCCTCAGCCATGACGAATTTCTTTGCTGCTTTTATTGCCCCCTGCAAGAGTTTCTGTGATCTTTCTCTACCTTTTGGCTTCACTCTCTTGACAGGTCTTGGTGCCTGTCCACAGAAGGCATCATCTTATTGACATAGGATGTCCTGGCAACTGCAAAAGTGTGCCACCCATGGGTGTCAAAGTGGCTTTCACCCATGTTAACGGGAGGGCCTAGGGAGTGGGAATATCCACTCTTACCCACGTACACCCTATCTCCCCTACTGTCAGTAGCCTTCAAACTCCCTAGACCTCATTTACACCATGGATACGAGCTGAACTTTGTCCATGAAATGGAAGGTTTGGCTTATTTGGCAGGAATTAGTCATGTTCACCTGTGTTGTGCCTTTTAATTTCTATTATCATCTGCCTCTGGATCTCTCAGATCCAGTTTTCTTTCCTAGGGCTTTGACCCAAAAACTGGACTTGAATGTGGGACAAAAATGTGTCTCCAAGTGAGGAGAGGTTCAATGGACTCTTTATTATAAGTGGAATGCTAAGCTGAAACTGTGGAATTGAGCCCTCCACCAACAAGAGAGGTGAGTCATGTGACGCACTCAGGTAACTGGTGACTATAGTTATGCTTGCTAAGATTTGGATGCATGAGGCTTGGCTTTGGTACTCACAGGCACAGGCATTTGATGACATCATCTGGAAAAATCTGAAACCATACAGTGGACTGGGTCAAGATTTCCAGAACACTATTCAAGAAGCAGATGAGTTTATGAGACTGCTAACCCAAGATGAGCAGAACAGTAATTAATTACATAGGACTGAATGAGCTGATGAAGAATAATTGTGGGCTTGCTTGGAATATTGCTGTTGCTTTATTGTTACACTTTGTAAATGCAAGGAATCTTTTATCTGTTTTCGTAGGTCATCTATAACATAACAATTTAATCGACCTTGATTTTGCTAACAAAAATGAAACATTTATCCTTTTCTCCCTGCCTGAACCTTTCAGAACCCAGAAATTCTTATTTTCATGGCAATATAGTTATTTACATACATTTAGTAGGAGTCTATTCTGGTTAACAGGATATAACTTAAAACACTGGTTCAAGGCCTTGCCTGAGACATTATATTTTAAAATGATAGTCACTCAGGTATGACCAGACATTTTTAAGGAACTAACGTTGACTTGAAAAAGTCAGTACATTCAAAGCCCTCTTGGAAAAGCCATACATGACTTATAAATTCCCAAATATATAGGTAAAAAATAGAGATCATTTCCTGGCAGTTTGAAGAAATTTAACATATTTTATGTCCTTGAGAAGAGAAGAATTCACCCAAAAACTAGAAGTACTGCTGGTGAAGTGTAATGGCTTGGTTTTCAAGAAGGTTTAAAAGTCTAATCTAAGATTCCTTATGGAAACTTCCTACAAAAAAAAAAAAAAAAAAAAAAAAAACTTTAAAAGTCCTATATGGCAAATTGTCCTTTTTCCTTTATCTGTGAAATACTGAGGCCACATCTAATGAGACCCACCATGGGTTAGTAGTTCATGGTCAAGAATGATATTTCTTTGAGATTGCCTTTGATCAAAAGGAGGTATGGGGGTGACTGTAGGGATAAATGTTGTCTTTTAATAGAAGACTCTAACAAATTTGCATTCATTTCCTAGGGATGCTGTAACAAGTACTACAAAGTGAGTGGCTTAAATTTATTCCCTGGCAGCTCTGAGGGCTAGAAATCTGGAATTGTGTCAGCAGGTCTGTGGTCCCCCTGAGACTTAGGAAGAATGTTTCAGCACCTCTTCTAGCTTCACATGGTGGTCAGTAACCCTTGGCTAGTTTGACTTGTGAGACGTATCACTCTCATCTCCACCCATCATCATAGGGCCTTCTGCCCTGTGTGTGTGTGTATGTGTGTGTGTGTATGTGTGTGTGTACCCTGTTTGACCTTCTGTGCATTTGTGTCCAAATATCCTCTTATTTTAAGGACACTAATCATTGAATTATGGCCCATTCTAATTCATATGGTCCCATTTAACTTGATTACATCCCGCAAAGACCCAATTGTAAACTAAATCATGTCCCCCCACCAAATTCATACTTTGAAGCTCTAAATACCAGTGGAGCTACATTTGGAGGAAGAAAGTGATTAAGGGTAAAAGGGGTCATAACATTGGCCCTTGGTCTAATGGGATTAGTGCCCATCTAAGAAAAGACACTAGAGAGCCTGTGCTCTCTCTTCACAAGCACACACCAAGGAAAGGCCACGTGAGGACACAGCACGAAGGTGAACATCTGTAAGCCAGGAGAAAAGCCCTCACGAGGATTAACAAAACACTGATGATTTCGGGTTTCCTAACTTGGACTTGGATTCAAATTTTCCTTCTTTTCAAACATCGATGAATATCAGCTTAGAATTGTGTTCTTATTAGCGTTCCTTCAGGCAAAAGGGAACCTGCTAACTAGTCAGTTCCAATAACTGATGCAAGATCATCTTCTGACCATAGCAAACCTATCAAGCTTGCTGCTTTCTCTGACTCAGTGGGGCATAGACCTCCTAATTACTGAATAAATATTGCTCAGGTTTTTTTTTTAGGTCTGTGAGATAAGTTTGCAGAATCAATAAAACATTGTCACAAAGTAGGTATCTTCATTATGCTATCAGCTTGGGGATATAGATGATCTTTGGGCTGCCCTCTTCCCTTTTATCATCTCCTTATCCATACTGCTTTTTGAACTTTCTGAACTCCTTAGCAGGTAGGCACAGTACCTTTAATGTGGCTTGGACTTCCCTTCCTCAAGAACTATAAGAAGCACATTTCTGTTGTTTGAACACACCAGAATATTGTATTTTAGTGCAGACTAATACAGACACTACTTCTAAATAGGATGATGTTTACAGTCACCAGAGGTTAGGATTTGAACATGTCTCTTGGGGCACACAATTCAACCCACAACATCCTTCAGGGATATCAGATTCTGATCATATTCATTATCTTTATGCTACTTTGAATATGTTTAAAAACTGTAATAATTGATGGATAAGCAAACTGTCTTGATTTCTCCCACTGTGAAAACAAAAGACAGTGTTATTTCCTGTCACCTTGTACACACTGTCAAGCTTCACCAAGTTTTCAGGACTTCCAGTTTCCTTCAATATCTGTTTCCGACCCTCCAGACCAATATTTTAATTTTTCTCTCTCACTTCTGACTCAGCATTACTGAGAACCACAGCTTGACTGCACAGATCTCTATCAAGGCTCTAGGATACCCCGAAGCTGGCCTTTTCCCCAGGATCTGAAGAAGTCCCAAGATTTGAAGCCTGACAACTTACTGAACCTGGAAAAACTGAAAACCACTTAAGACTGCTGGATTCACCCACAGACAATCCACTGTGTGAGCTCCTAGGACTGTCTGGTGAAACACTTGCTTTTTTAAAAAAAAGGAAACCATACTGTGGACAACATCCCCCAGAGCATTGACTCTTCACGTCAAGAAACTCAACAAGCAATGTGTATAATCCAGAGATTTCCATCCAAAGACCTCCTGGGATCTGATAGACTGGATACCCTTGGGGTTCAACTCTTGGCTGTTTAATACAACATTTTATGCTATATTTATGTTTTTCACTTTAGGCATTCCACTTTTAAAATGCCTCATCTTAGGGACATAAAACAGCTCACCATTGCTAGCGTGCTCAACAGACGTTTCCACTGGTTTTCCAGGGACAATGCTCAGGAAACTCTGGCCCTGAAGACTATTGCACTCAGCCATCTACAACTTCTAATTTCCCTTATCCCTGAGTTGCTCAGGGACAGTTTATCTGAGCCTGTATTAAAACAGAGGAGAGACTGACAAAGCTGATCAAACTACATTTGACATAACTTGAGGCTGGATATACTGTGATGGCTGGCCCTCAGTTTTATATGAACTTCCCTCATTATAACTTTTTTTGCTCTATCTCAGGGACAAACCTCTGCCCATGTACTTAAATGAAAATGAACATTCCCTACCTTCCTGTTATTGCAACATTTGACACAGTTCCTTAAGTATCAAGACCGCTCAGCATTTTTTAGTTTTTCTCTTCCCACAGTCATCGATCTCATGTCTTTGCATGTAAAAGCTTTGCTTGACCACCTATTCCAAGAAATGTTCTGGCATGGACCCTGAGCATTTCTCTGTTGCACCAACTGCTCTTAATAAAGTATTTTCTTTATTAAGAAAATCCGGAGATGTGTCTGTGCTTCCTTGACAGTAAATACAACTAATAGTTATCTTCCTAAGCTGCTAAGGGTGTACTGGGATAGAGTGGGCAGTTTCTGGGGGAAGGAGTAACAGAGTGTGAACAGGTTAAACAATGTTCCCAAGGCTACAATGCTAGTAAGTAATTGATTTAGGATTTAGAATTTTTAATTGATATATCTAACTCAATAGCCCATCTTTTCTCAATATATTATGAGGAAGGAAGGAAGAAAGGAAGAAAGGAAGGAAAGAAAGAAGGAAGGAAGGAAGGAAGGAAGGAAGGAGGGAGGGAAGGCAAGCGGGCAGGCAGGCAGGCAGGCAGGCAGGCGGCTTGTCTTTCCCTGGGCTATATTACCTATAGTGTTTCTGTAATTGGTATGAGCCGCATCATTAAGCTTTTGAGCAGCCTGTCTCACTGAGTTTCCTAATGAAGTTGTGAGTCTCCCTTACAAATAATGAATTAACCATAATCACTGTATCAGTCTGAGTAGCCAGGAAACAGAAACCACAGCAGCAGTATTTAAACAGAGGGATTTTGATGTAAAAGATCGTTAACTAGATGTTGAAGAACCAGAAAGCAAAATAAAATAAAACTCTGGGGTACTCTAAAAGTAGCAACTGCAAGAAGCAGCTGCCACACCTAAGGTTGGTAGAACAAAAAGAGGGAGCTGAATTATTAAAATTTAAAAGCTTAAAGGAAAAGTCCCCTGGGACAGTAACCCAGGGCTGGGCAGGTGCTGACATCTCCAAGTAGGGCCATGAGGAAAGTGTGCACATATTGACAAACCCACCCACTCAGTCTAACTGCTGCTATAGGAAGGCCCTACTTCAGATGCAGTGACCAAGATTTTTGGGTATCACTCACAAGTTTGGAAGAGTCTGTCCTCCTTGCTCCAGCCTCCTAATATCACTCTCTGCCTGTGTGGGCAGGGCCTGATTGAAGCCAGCTGGCGAGCATAATGTAAAGTGCAGAGTCCTAGCTCAGACCTCACAAAGCAGAGCAGATGGGTGGTTTGGAAGCTAGGAAATGATAGGTTAATAACTGGCACCTTCACATTCCCCAGTGGGTGAGCCTTCAATGAAGTATACAAACTATTACCAGAATGCAATGGCTTAAAATTATTTACTATATTTTATCATGATTCTGAGAGGTAGTAATATGGGCAGTTCTGTGGGACTCACCTGGGGTCACTCATGCAGCTGATTGGGATCCAAGCTGGCCTCATTCAGACTCTGGAATGCTGGTGCCAGCTGTTGGCGATGGCATCTTAATTCTTCTCCTAGGGCCTCTCATGCTTCCATTGGGGTTACTGGGCTTCTTCCCAGGAGGCTGATGGGGAGTTGATGTTGGCGTTGTAAGAGGTTCTAAGCAGAAGCTGCAAGGCCTTCGAGGCCTCCAGCTCACACACCTCTCCAGCACATCCTATCAGATAAAGCAAGCCACAGGCCAGCCCAGTCTCAAGGAAATGGAGAAAGAGCATTTATCATTTGATGAAAGGGGAAGGAAAATCATTTAGCAAATAGAAGTGATCCAGGAAGGTAGACTCCTGGGAGCTGTGACTGCAACCATTCTCACAGGTGGAAGACCTTTTATTCCTTTAAGTCACCTCCTATTTTCTCCTCATCTCTTCAGCCCACCATCAGCCTAGCTCAGCACTTGAATGCAGAATGGTGCCTCCTTAACCCTCCTAAGTATCAGCTGGTCTCAAAGACACACAATCCCCGAGCCCCTGTTGCAGTCCTTCTTTTTTTTTTTCTGGCCTCCTTACTCCTCCCTATAATGTAAAAGCTCCTCTCTGGCTGACCTTAGAGACACCTGCCAATCTCATGTCTAGGGTCCTCCCTGTTGCAACAGTCCTCCTCCCCTCCCTCCTACAATCTGTTTGAATAGAAGCTCTATGCCCAGATTTCTTTTAATTGGATAGTGACTGCTTGTTACTCACAGCCCTGACCTTGAATGTACCATTTCCAACCTCCAAAGGAATACTGGGTGGCCTATTCACTCTAACTTGGTAAATGTGACAGGCTCATAGTGCTCAATTTCAAATGCATGGACATATGCACCCTATGGCCAGACATTCCAAACTTACCTGGGTCCAGTACTATGCCAGGTAGTATGTCCCAAGGGGGGGCGGATTTTTCAGCTGCAGATGGCATGGACTGCATCTCTTCCAAGAGCCTGTGTTGTGATTCTCCCATTGCATGTGCACTTACTACTGACACCCCCATGGGGAGTGTAGGTTTCACAGACCACGTGGCAGGGAAGCATCCACTACAGAGTGAACCTACTGCAGAGCCCTTTCCTGTCCCAAGGACCTGTTCCTAGCTGCCCATGGTCTAAGTCATCTGATGTAGAAGGTGTCATCTCCAGATCCCAAAGGACCTATCCAGGTGATCAACTTCCTTCTTTGTGGCAGGAGATGCAAGATGCAACAACAATTTGCTTGAACTCTGTAAGAAACATTCTACAAATCCTCTGACTTCTAAACACCTCAAAACTTTATTGAAGTGACAAGTCCCTGAATCTTCTCAGAGTTTAGCTCCTGCATCCACCCTCTGGAGTGCATGTATCTTCCCAAGACCTCCATGGCTTCTTGCTTATCCAACCCAATCAGCATGACGTCTCGACAAAGTAGATCAGCATAGTGTTCTGCAGATGCACCAGATGGCTTTGTTCCCTTATATAACAGGGCCAAGTAGAGTAAACATAATTCTAGGGCAAGACTAGTAGTAACTATTGTCCTTTCCACATGAATTCCAATAAGACTTCTGTTCTGATCAGAAGAGAAGAGTATATCCAACAATTCAGGGTTGTGCACCATGTGCCCAATTGGCTGTTGGAATCAATTCTAAAAACAACTCTGTGTCTGGAGCTGAAGCTGCCATCAGAGTGGCAACTTGGTTGGTTGAGGTAATCTCCAGTTCTCCTTCAGGATACAGCTTGCTACTAAAGAGGCTGCACTGAGGAGTTAAAAGAAAATGATAAAAACCCCCACCACTCCGTATCCCACCACAAGCTTAAGGACTTTTAAAATGACACTCATCTCTTCAACACAACTCCAGCCCCCTATGAGCATGCGATATTGTTATTGATTTGCTATGTAGGTGACTTGGGTGGCAGTTTCAGGTGGTTTCACATGTCCTTCTTACTTGACAGGCAAAGGGCCCAATGCAGGAGCTACCCCAATGGTCAAGTATATTAATCGAATTATCCATTCAGGGACTGGGAAGAGAACTGCTGGGTTGGTCTGCAGAATTTAACTGAATTCACCCAGGACACTAATTATTACATAACCCTATAAGCTCCCACTTTATCAGGGGGCCATGATGATGCTTTGGCTCTTTGGGTATCAATGTCACCTTAGACCCATGTCCAACTGTCCTCAAATGTCAAGGGTCAGCAAACATATTTTATAAAATGTTAATTGGTGAGTACTTTAGGTTTTGCAAATCATAACATCTTAGTTGCAATTATGGACTCTGCAATTGTAGCATGAAATCAGCCATAGACAATGTGTAAATGAATGGACATTGCTGTTTTCTAATAAAACTTTATTTGCAAAAACAGATGCCTGGCTTGATTTGGTTCTCAGTCCACAGTGTGCTGCCCCCTGCTCTAGGCAATCTCTTCCCTTTAATGTCAAGTCACCCAAGTAAATGTCTCTAAGTTCTCTTTGAAGAAGAACTGTGTACACACAGGATACCACAGAATACTTCAAGGTTTCAAGGTCCTTTCTCCTAGCAACAGAAATATTTCTTCAATCACTGCATTCCAGAAATGAAGACACAAAGACATCATGAGAATATAAAACTACACACTAACATCCCTTATGAATATAGGTGGAAAAATCCTCTACAAATACTAGAAAATAATCTAGCAGAATCGTAAAAAGAATTATATACCATGACCAACTGAGATTTATTCCAGGATTCGACAGAGGTTCAAGAAATGAAAATAATCAATCAGTGTAATATTCCACATCAATAGAATAATGGATGAGAACAACTACATAATCATATTAACTAATTCAAAAGATACATGTGAGAAATTCAATATCTCTTCATGATAGAAACACTGAAGTAACTAGGAATAGAATATTCAGCAAGTATAAATCCAAAGAGAACCACATGATGACACAATATAATTGAACTGCCTAACATCATTCACAATGAGAGAATCTTTTTTACTTGTAACTTTTGTTTTTATTTTATTTTTAAAATTAATTTATTTTTAATTGACAAAAGGTACATATTTATTCTGTGCAACATTATGTTTTAAAAATGCATACACTGTGGAATTGCTAAATTGAGTTTTTTAATATGTGCATTACCATATGTGCATATATTTATTATTTTGTGTGTGTGTGGTGAGAACCCTTAAAATTTACTGTCAATGATTTTCAAAAATACAATATATTGTTATTAGCTGTGATCCATATTGTACAATAGATCTCTTGAAATTACTTTTCCTAGCTAACTGAAAAAATGATAATCTTGGAAGCAGCAAGACAAAACAATTTGCTGCATATGAAGGGCCTCCTTAAGATTATCATCCAATTTATCAGCAGAAACTTTCCAGGCCAGAAGGAGGTGGGGCAATATATTCCAAGTCCTGAAAGAGAAAAATTGTCACCAACAATACTGTGCCTAGCAAAACTGACCTTCAAACATGAAGGAGAAAGTAAAGCTTTTTCCAAATAAACAAAAGCTGAGTTTGTTCCCACTAGACCTGCTCTGAAATAAATAATCAAAGGAGCCCTTCAAATTGAAAAACTGGATGCTAGACAGCAACATAAAGCTGTATAAAAATATAAGGTTCTCTGGTAACAATAAACACATTGACAAATATAGTAACTTAGAGTTTTATGTATTCAAAACATACGGTTTGGAATTACTTATGTTTAGAAGAGAAGCAGAACAGAAAATTTTGTAAAATTTCAGAGCTGCTCAAGGTCAAGAGAACCCACCTCTTATATCCATGTGACCTGGAAATGAGACTTGGAGTCAAAGGAGTTCATTTTGGAGCTTTAATACTTGACTATCCTGCTGAATTTTGGACTTGCATGGGGCCTGTAGCCCTTTTGTTTTGGCCAATTTCTCCCATTTGGAATAAGCGTATTTACCCAATGTCTGTATCGCCATTAAACCTAAGAAGTAATTAACTTGCTTTTGATTTTAGAGGTTCATAGGTGGAAGGGACTTGCCTTGTCTCAGATAAGACATTGGACTGTGGACTTTTGAATTAATGTTGAAGTGAGTTAAAACTGGAAGACTGTTGGGAAGGCAAGATTGATCTTGAAATGTGAGGATGTGAGACTTGGGAGGGGTCAGGGCAACATAATATGGTTTGGTTGTGTCTCCACCAGATATCACTTTGAATTGTAACAATCCTCACATGTCAAGGGCAGGGCCAGGTGGAGATAATTAAACCATGGGGACAGTTTCCCCCATACTGTTGTCCTGGTAATGAAGAAGTCTCAGGAGATCTGATGGTTTTTTCACTGGGAGTTTCCCTGCACAAGCTCTCTTGCCTGCCGCCCTGTTAAGATGTATCTTTGTTTCTTGTTTCCCTTCCACCATGATTGTGAGGCCTCCCAGCAATATGAAACTGTGAAGCCATTAACCCTGTTTTCCTTATAAATTATGCAGCCTCAGGTATGCCTTTATTAGCATTGCAAGAAAAGGCTAATACACTGCATGAACTATTTATATGTAGAGTCTAAAATAGTGAAACTCATAGAAGCAGAGAGCAGAATGATGTTTGCCGGGGTGGAAGGAAAGGAAAATGGGAAGATCTTGGACAAAGGTCACAAAGTTTCAGTTATGCAGCATGAATAACTTCTGGAAATCCAATGTATAGTGTGTAACTTTAGTTAATAATACTGTATTATATACTCAAAATTTGTGAAAGGTCATTCTCACCACACAACAAAGACAGAAAAAAGAAAATGGTAACTGTCTGATGTAATGGATATATTAATTATCTTGATAGTGGTGATGATTTCAGTGTATATTCTATCAAGACATCAACTTTTATACATCTTAAATACATGCAGCTTTAATTTGTCAATTATACCTCAGAAAAGCTAAAGTAATAAAAACCTAAATGGAAGACGTAAAACTGTAAAACACCTAGAAACAAACATAAGGGGGAATACTCATGATACTGAATTTGGCAATGATTTCTTGGACATGACACTAAAAGCACAGTCAATGATAAGCAAATGGAACTACATCAAGCTTCAAATCATTTGTCTATCAAATGTTATATTCAACTGAGTGAAAAAGCATGGGAGAAAATATCTGTAAATTATACAAGTCATAAGGGGTCACTATCCAAAATACATAAAGGAGCCATACAAATAAGTCAAACAACCCAATTACAAAACAGACAAGGGACTTGAATAGACATTTATCCAAAAAGCCAACATGCACACGAAAATATGCTCAATGTCAAGCAAAATAATGATATATCACCTCACACTCAGTAGGGATGGTGACTATAAAAACAAAACCCAAAACAAAAAATGGCTCCTCAAAAAATTGAAAATAAAACTACTATATGATTCACCAATCCCATTTCTGGTTAGAAGTGGAAAGAAGGGTCTCAAAATAATTAAAAGCAGGGTCTTAAAGAAATATTTTCCATCCATTTTCAAAGCAGGATTATTCACAATAACCAAATGGTGCAAAGAAACCAAATGTCTATCAAGGAATGAACAGAGAAGCAACATCTGTTATATGCATAAAATAGATTATTTTTCCGTTTTATAAAGAAATAATCCTATCACATACTTACGTGGATGAGCCACGAGGATGTTACTCTAAGAGAAATAGGTCAGTCCTAAAATGACAAATACGGTATCATTCTATTTCTATAAGGTATCTAAAGTAGACAAATTCATAGAATCAGAAGTTAAAATTGTGGTTCCTAGGAACTAAAAAGAGAAAGAAAAGGGGAATTACAGTGTACACTTAAAAATGGTAAAGATGGCACATTTCTTTGTGTCTTTTTTTAACCAGAAATAAACATAAGACTCAACAATGCTATTCCTAGGTATATACCCAACTGAATTGAAAAATAGTTCTCAAATACTTAAGCACAAATGGACTGTTCACAGTAGCATTACTCACAATGACCACCAGCTGTAAACAGCCCACATTCCTGCCAATGGATGAATAAATAAACAAAATATGGCACATACATACAAACAAATGTTTTTCAGCCATAAAAGACTTAAAGTGCCATAACACAAAAGGTTACATATTGGATGAAACATCCCAAATAATTTGATTGATTCTGTAGAGGCATAAAGAAGGTTGGTGGTTACCAGGTGCTGTGAGAGGAGGGGTGAAGAGGGAGAGCTTCATGGGGATGGCACTTTCTTTAAGGGTGAAAACATTTTCTAATATGAGCTAGAGGTAATGGTGGAATGTACTAAATGCCACCAAAATGTACACCTTAAAATGGTTGATTTTATATTATATTAATTTTAATTTCAAGATTTTAAATTAATTTTTTATTTTTAATATAATTTTTAAAAGTTTTACATTTAAAACTTTCAATTAAAAAATAAACATTACAGGAGAAACGATGACAAAATATATCCTAGAAAAAGTAAACACAATTCCTGAAAAAATACATGTTGTTGCTTATGATCAATATCTTTTTGCTTCTCATAGTTTGTTTGAAAGTTGCTACACCCCGAAGCTTATGGAAAACTTTAAAAGTTTTTTAAAAAAATAAAGAAGACCCATGTCATCCCCATGTCTATTTTATTTTCACCATATGGTATCCCGTTAACTTGTGGTGATGACTAGTAGAGGGCACAGAGGGAAAGGCCATTGTGAAGCTTGGGGTGCCTACTTTCCATGTGGTAAAGAAGGGTAAAGTCTATTTCCTATTTGGTAAGATAAAGATACACAATGTTCTCAATGTACAATTAATAAATGTTTGGAGCTACGTACCTTTCTGTGTGCTGTTCTGTTTCCGGAAATTTCCCATGACTCAAAAATGTTATCAGATGACACTACCCTCAAAAGGGACGGATAATGTTGACAGACAACACTGTTAATATAGACAATCTTGCATGAGAGACTGTGACTTTGAAACTATGAGGACAGTCTATTTGGAATCATCTATTTCTCAATTATTTGTATTTCTTCAGATTAGATTAGAATAATAAATCTAAATACATAACAAGATTGTGTAGTAAGCCTCTAAGAGTCAAACACATTGACAAAGATTCTAACAAAATTAATGTTGTCTATACTACATAATTTATTTTGCTGAAAAGAATAGAGAGAGTAATAAATTATATTTTTATCAAGTTCCTTAAAGACCTCTCAAAATAAATAAAATGTTCAAATATATGAAATGTTATTGACATAGTTAAGGTCTCTTTTTTCCTCAAAAATCAAAAACAGATTCTTTGGAATGACTGGTGGAATTGTAAAATATCTTGTAAGATTAACTGATAAATGCCAAGCACAAACAAAATTTTGCCAGTAATAAAAAGAGGGGATATCATAAATTCCTGCAAACATCAAAGTAATAAAAGAATGTTATAATGGAAGCTATGCCAGTATATTTGAAAATACATGCAAAATGGAAAAATTCCAAGAATGTATAATTTTTCACAACTAACTCAAGAACAGATAGAAAATATCACCTGCTATTCAGTGATAGAAGTTTCCACTTGCTCCGATTGAGGAAGGAAATTAAAGAAGTAAAGAAAAATAAAATAAAAAAAAAACAGAAAAGAAAAACAAGTCTTCTGTATTAGTCTGACTCGTCCCAAAGGCAATAACAGGCAAAGCCCAGACCCAGGCAAACTCTCGATAACATTATCAAAGAAGCCAGGGCTCAAAGAAATGTGCTCTAGAGACTCTCCAGAAAGAAAACAAATTTTTCTTTCCCCTATAATATGAGTAAACTTATGAGTTTATAGATTCCTGTTTTCTGTAACTACTAACTTCCAGTATTCTGTTTTATCTAAGCAGCACATTGAAGGTTATAAGACATGCCTGAACAGGCGTGGGCTACAGCCATCTAGGCCCCGTAGTGAACATTATGAGACAAGCCCATGCAAGGCACTAGAGCAAGCCTAGATAACAGCCATCTGGACTGCATAGCAAGAGCTGCATGTAATCCAGAGTTATGAACCTATCACAATTTGATTAACTGCCTTTGTTCTGCCTCAGTATTCTTGCTTTTGCGCCACTACACTTCACGCCATTGTAAACTTCTTTAAAGCTAGCCTACACTCTTTCAGAAGTGTGTATAAAAGTCAAGTGCTGTCTTTGTTCTGGGGCCAGTTTTTGGATGTTAATCGACTGGCTCTGAGTGTTCTCAGTAAAATCCTCCTCTTTCATCCTGTCATCTCTCTGGTCCTCCTTCATTCCCGCAACAAGATGTTCACCAATACCTGGCAGTTATAGAAGTGTGTCAATTTTTCCAACTAAAATAATTTAAAAGAATTCACATTTTTAACATTTTCATTTCCTTGAAAACTCATGCTATTGGACATCTTCCCATATGTTATTTGGACATCAGGTTTTCCTTTTCTGTGAATTGCTTACATGCATATTCACTGATTATTTTCTTAGTTTATATTTTTGGTTTATAAAATATTTTTATATATCATGGATACTTATTTATGTATGTTCCAAATATTTGTTTTTTGATTATCAAAACTAATATAGAAGAATATTTTTTCTTTACTACATGGAAATTTTATATTTTATTAATAAGTTCTGCCAAGCCTCATAGTAATAAAAAGATTTTGTGTCCAAAAGTGGTAAAGATTTACTTTTTTTTATATTAAGACTTTCATTTCTGTTTTGGATTAGATTTACCTAATAAGAGTCTCAAACAAAATCATATAGCAAGCAGCATACAGGAATCTGTAGATGCATTCACATTAAGATCAGAATTAAAAGAGAAGAGGCCAGAAATGCTTACGGGATGTGGAGAAATTGAGAAAATAATAATTTTTTCAGGGAAAGACAACATGCTGATCCTGGTTATATTGATATAAAGATAAATAGTGGGGCTGGGGGCAGTGGCTCATGCCTGTAATCCCAACACATTGGGAGGCCAAGGTGGGTGGATCACAAGCTCAGGAATTTGAGACCAGCCTCGCCAATATGATGAAACTCCATCTCTACTACAAATACAATAATTAGCCAGGTGTGGTGGCATGTGCCTGTAGTCCCAGGTATTCGGGAGGCTGAGGCAGGAGAATCACTTGACCCCAGGAGGTAGAGGCTGCAGTGGGCCAAAATCGCACCACTGCACTTCAGTCTGAGCAACAGAGCAAGACTCAATCTCAAAAAAAAGATTTTTTTTTTTTTCATAAAAAGAAAAAGATAAATAGTGGGCCCTAAACTAGAAATTCTGGCAAGGTGGAAACCTCAGGTACAATTCTAAGCCTTTTGAAGTTGTTAAAATGGAAAAAAGCTAAAATTGACTAAGACCTAACAAAAGATACCACATAGACAGGGGATCAAATTGTCAAATATGTGCAGTGAAAAGAAACCACAGGGAGAGACAAAG
Source organism: Homo sapiens (assembly GCF_000001405.40). NCBI lineage: Eukaryota > Metazoa > Chordata > Mammalia > Primates > Hominidae > Homo > Homo sapiens. Next base: position 108,238,354 of record NC_000002.12, read on the forward strand.
AGATGCAAGTAGACCAGGTTCTCTGCCCTTGGATCTTAACACATGCAGTTCTTCCCTCCAAAAGGAGACCAGAGACAGCACAAAACAACAAGCATGCAGAGATGGTTTTGTGACAATTACAGCATCTGTTTAGGCAAGGGGACTCTATCCAAGAAAACCTCCCAGTTCTTCCTACACCAGCCCCTAGGACAATTATCAAAATTGTTATTGGCTTCAGGTCTGTCATGACAGTGTGACCAAATGATCCAATTGGACGGGGACTGTCCTTTTAGCTGGAAAACTCCCACTTCTTACCTTGACAGTCAATGTAATCAACAGAACCTCTTTTCACACTCACATTTTTCCTGTTTTGATATGTTCACCCCTTAAAGAAGGTCTGTAGCAGGAATGGTCATGTTTCACAGTGAGAACATTCTATATCATGCATATGTAATGGAAACTATAAAGGGAGCATTTTAGTCCTCCTCCTCCACCAGGAGTTTTCACAAACAGACCTCATTTAGGTTTTCTGCAAGACATCAGCTCAGCAGCCAAGTGTAATGATGATATGAACCACCACGTGCCGGACATCCTTTGTCCTGGGCACTGTTCTGATGCTCTACATAATTCACGTCACATGATTCCTAAAACCAGGTTGCCAGATAATGGAGAACACAGCCATATGGCTTCAAAGTCATGCCCTAAGGCTCTGTGTTTTAGTGCTCAATCATCAGGAACAAAAGTTCAGAAAGAGATTAAAAAGCAATGACTTTGTCTCAAAAGTATAACTGAAATTGAAGATTAGGAATGGTCTCTGGGAGTCTTGCAAAACAGAGGACAGACAATGTAAATATATGGAATTTTAACAATGAACTCTGTACAATATTTACTTAACTCCAGTATACTGAGTGTTACTATGTATAATAAAAAGAGTAAAATCAATAATTAGATCATCTCAACAGATGGAAATTTTACTAAGCACCAGGTGAGGAGTGCAAGATCAGAAGCTCTGGAGACTGTTCTCCCCTGCCCACACCCACTGACAACCACAGTGTGTCCCACTGCATCCACTAACCCCGACATTCTTGCCCTGAAATACACACACACACACACACACACACACACACACACACACACACAGAGGGGGACATGGAGGTTTCATGGTTTTATTACAGGCCTTGTGGTTTCCTAAAATGAACTTTCTTCTACACCAATTTTAACTACGGATTCAGTAAAGAGGCAATAGAATATATTTTCTACAGGGTCAAAGGGAACAGGATGAAATAATTGTGCAAGTTCCTGTCCTGAGAGCTGGTCTGGGAAGACCTTCAGTATAAATATGGGCTCCCTGGGATAATTAATGAATTATTGGTTTGTATTCCCTCATGTTGGACCTGTTCATTTACATTCTGAGTAGCTGGTATCAAAAAGGGAGCAGCGACCCTCAACTTTGTGGTATCTGCAGAGAGCCAAGCCAGGACTAGATTTGTACCTTGGGGAGTACATCAGGATCCAGTGGAGGCAGAACACAGCAGCAGGTGCAAAGTCCTGCCCTGGCATCAGCCTTACCCCAGGCTGACACACCCACCCCACCCATCCTCCCAGGTTTATAAGCTCTGGACAGTCAGCACCATCCTCACCTGCTGTGCTCTTGCTTGCACAGTGTCCTGGAGCTGGACCTGGCTCTGGGTTTCCAGGAAGCAGTTTGACTAAAGGCAGCAAGCTGCTTCCTCTGCTGCCTGAGATACCAGGTAAGCCTCACCCTCTTAGAGACTCTCATCCTAGTGTCTGACGACCACCAGGCCCTGGAAAAGGGTCGGGATATTCAACCCTTGTTAATCATATAAAAAATAGCTTTGGAGCCTTTAGACTTTGCAGCTCCAAATAAAACTCAGGTAAGTCGTGAACTGAATGCCTCATGCATCTTCAGATGGTATTGGGTCCTGAGGTAACACTGAAGCAGAAGTCTAACTCTATTTAGATATCTTTCCCTGATGGTCTGAAAGAATGAGATGCTAAATGCATTCAATAATTTTGATTTGATCTTTAAATACCTGTAACCCTATTGCAAATAGTAGAGTGAATATAGCAATTCCCATAAGTGTGGTGCAGTAGATAATTTCCATCTAAAATTTTACTTACCAAGATATAGAATTTCCCTTTGGGGGTCTGTGAACTTTCTTAGTTTTATTTTCCCAAACAAAGAAACCTCCAGATTATGGGTGGGCACCCTACTTACTTTTATTACCTGGCAGAATTTGCAGGATCATTGCCCAGAACTAGCATATTGATTCAGATTTTTACATTACCCATCCCTTTTTGTTTCTTCCAAGCTGTAGGAGATACCACTTGATTCACAGGAATAAGCAGGGTTCGTCTAAAATGTAGGCAAAAAGCTTCAAAACAATGAAAGAGACTAGAATTTAATGACAAATATATGATAACATTTGGAACACAATTTCTCTCTCCAGTACTCATTTTTGGTAAAAACAAATTATGATAAGACCATGTGTGCTGTGGGTAGAATACACTATAGTCTTATACTTGGCCTGATTATTTGCATAATGTGCAGCAAGAATGGTTACATCTACATATGCCTTTTGGATTGGCTTTGAAGAAACTGTTCCACAAGGAATTTCAGATAAGACATTTAAAGCCGAGCCCAGCCATGGTTCGTATCCTCCATGAGTTGTGTGAGTCTTTCTCTTGAGTTCCCAAGATCAACATGGAGTTAGTTCCCAGACCTGTTAGAAAGTGACATTCCTGACTGACCAGAGGTTAGGAACCCTGTGCCACACTGTGTAGACAAGGTATGAGGCCAGCTCTCCCCAAGAGGCTTTATTGGCTCTGCGTGTCACGCTTGATTCCTCAAAGGGAAACACACCCTTTCAGTCAAAGCATATGTAAAATAACCAGTTTTTCCAATTGTGTCCTGTTGACAAAGAAAAATGGATTATTGTCACACTGATGCAAACAACTATATTGCCGTAAGTTAAGAGTACTCATAGATAGTCTCCTAATTCTAGAGGAACCAGGCAGAGAAAAATAAACATGCTCCAAATTTGGTTCACAATATGTACCTTACTCAATTATTAAAAGCCATAAATAGTTAAAAATAAGTTTACTTGATGATACAAAATAAAACAAGCATCAGCAATATTCCAAGCAAAAGTTTAAAAGCTTGCTTTAACTTTTTGGGTGCAGTCCACTTAGTTAACTCTTGTCTTGCTTGATATTTAAGGAACAAAGCAAGAAAACAATTGTCTGTGAATGACAAAATTTCCCGGATAGTTACAGTTAAAAACATGACTGGGACAGGTCGTGGTGGCTCATGCCTGTAATCCCAGCACTTTGGGAGGCCCAGGTGGGTGGGTCATGAGGTCAGGAGATTGAGAGCATCCTGGCTAACATGGTGAAACTCCGCCTCTAGTAAAAATACAAAAAATAAGCTGGGCATGATGGCGGGTGCCTGTAGTCCCAGCTACTCAGGAGGCTGAGGCAGGAGAATGGCATGAGCCTGGGAGGTGGAGCTTGGAGTGAGTAGAGATGGCGCCACTGCACTCCAGCCTGGGTGACAAAGTGAGACTCCATCTCAAAAAAAAAAAAAAAAAAATCACTGGAAAACCTGGTTAGTAAGCGATTTTAATTATATACCAGGTGTGGATCCTAGGACCCAGACAGAAACGCAAATAAAGTTTGACTTTTCAGTATCTAACTCCATGTGTCCCAGGCCTTACTTATCTGTAAAGCAGGCAATATACAACCTGGGAACATTTAGCAACCCTGGTATCTAAGTTATATGATTCAGACCACCTATTTGCATTTTGACGACACTTGTATTCTACCAATAATTCTTAAGAGTATTTTTAATTCTTAAAGCCATGTGAACTAAAAACGTATTTGATTTAAGCAATTATTTTTCTTTAAGCCAATCAATTAGAGCTCTTTTTGCAGACATTACACACAAAACATATATAGCAGCACAGACAGAAGATTCAGCACTTGTTAAGATTTTTCATTTGCCAGTTTTTTAATTGGATTACTGGCTTTAGGGTGGAGCCCTTGGAGGAGCAGGGTCAGGTACCATGCATTTTTTAGTGCCTAATAAGCAGACACAGCTGAAGGCAATTAGCCCATCCCCCCATAGAAGTCTTATTTTTTAGTGGAGGGTGGGGATGTTTTCATACCTTTCAGGTGGCCAAGAGCATGCTTCTCTGATTTATTACTACTCCTAGCCGTCCCTTACAGTGTATTTTCTACCTGGTTATTAAACAGCAAATCTCTCTCATAATGTGAAGTAATGTGAAACCCCCAAAACATAAACAGTATATAACACAATACATAACAGAACAGAGTCTTTGATTTTGAGAGGAAACTATCTACTTTTAATTTTGGGGGCTTCGTGGGAAAAACAGAGGGCTTTTTATTTTCCCAAAACAGGGTCTGTGGCACCTCCTCTGTTTTTCCCAAGGAGTCCCATGCTACCAGAAGTTATCTTTGGGCCTCTCATGCATGCATTAGGAGTGGTAAGACAAAAAATAGAGAAAAATAATTCAGTCGACTGAGAGGAAAAAAGGCTTTTTCCAGAAAAACTTTTAAATATACCTATAACTTGAATATCCATTTTTAATTAAGCTGAGCACTCTTTAAGAAAATCCTTTTAAATCCCTTTTTACTCGACTTTAGCCATGCCAAGCAGTTAAGATTTTTGACTTTTCAATTTTACAAAAAGTAACCTTACAGGTGAAACCAATGAGCCTTAATTAGGTTATGATTTAACCGTGAGTGTGCAAGGCATTTTCAAAGGAGGGTAAGCAGCTTTTGAAACTATCATTGCAAAATTGTAACTGAGACAGTGAAAGACATCTGACCCAAACAGCTCCATTTTGTTTCCAGCGCCCGAGCTGTCCTTGCCCATCCCTGGGGACAGGCTTCACCAACTTTGGGAGGAACCTGGTTTACAGTTTATACTTTAAAACAAAGATGGTAACAGCTCCTTCTTAAGATATGTTTCCAGGGCCGGGCGCGGTGGCTCACACCTGTAATCCCAGCACTTTAGGAGGCCGAGGCAGGTGGATCACGAGGTCAGGAGATCGAGACCACCCTGGCTAACACGGTGAAACCCTGTCTCTACTAAAAATACAAAAAATTAGCCGGGAGTGGTGGTGGGTGCCTGTAGTCCCAGCTACTTGGGAGGCTGAGGCAGGAGAACAGCGTGAACCTGGGAGGTGGAGCTTGCAGTGAGCTGAGATTGAGCCACTGCACTCCAGGCTGGGTGACAGAGCAAGACTCTATCTCAAAAAAAAAAAAAAAGATATACTTCCCTCTTGCCTGGGAACAAGACCAAAAAACTAGCCAGAAGTCTTGAAACCATCCCTTAGGAGTCATGCAGCAAGAGACTATGAGATTTTGACCCTCCCTAAACTGCTTTCAAGATCAGTGCTTAAGATATTTTGTAAACTCTACCCTTGATGAATCAGCTAGCACCACCCGATTGACAAACTGGCTTATATGATTTTTTGGCCCTTACTCAGGAACTGACTTAGCACAAGAAGACAGCCACCATTGTAAAAAGGCTGAGAGTAAAGTATATTATTGCCATGTAGTTACAGGTCATGTATCCAGACATGAAACAAGATGGAGGCCTGTGGCCAAGTTTGTTACTATTATGTTGGGCTGGCTTGAACCGCAGACTTGTGGGGTCCTGGGCCTGCATCCTAACCTAAGGTATCTTTTCTTTGACAGAACCATACAGAAAGACATGCAAAGCACACCAAATTGTCTACAGCTTAAGATCAACAAAAATCCTTTTTCATTAATTATAAATTCACAGAGAATATAAACAATGATCCTTATTATCCCCTTTACTGGCTCACACAGGGAGAGAGAAGCCAAAAGCCCAACTGGTAAGAAATTTTTACCCTTTTGCCAGCATATCACACTTCTGGGTTCCCTTCCCCCTAGCTCAACTCTAAGCCAAGCATTTTTAAGTTTGGAAAATTAACTTTTCCCAGGTTAAGGGGACATTATAAAAGAGATAGAACCATTATAAACCATAAAAGAAGAAAAAATACTACAGAAAGGAGTTCCAATTACAGTTGTTATGAGGTATCGCCTCTCTTCCTATTGGGAATGGTGTTTTGCCTATATTTTTGCCTTCCCTATTTTTTTCTTTTCCATTTTGGCACACTATAGGAGACATATTACTTATTTCCAAAATTCTCATCTGCTTGCAGAGCTGCCTATTTTAGCTACAGTTAGGGTTTGGCTTAGGAGCAGCATAACTTTCCTCCATGAGAGGGCAAATAACTGAGTTAAATTTTGGAAAGCTTCTATATAGCTATCAGGGTGGTCAGAAAATCAGCCTAAGTCTGCCTTTACTTGTCTAAAGTCCTGCAATGAGAAGGGAACTTGAAGGCACCCCCAAATAAGGGAATCCTCAGGTGGTTTCCCAGGACCTTGCTTTTCTAATTTTGGGGAATTATTCTCTTTGGGCCTGCCTGATATGATTGCTAAAAGAGCTGGGTTGATTTTGCAACACTTGCAAAGGTCTAGTACAAAGGCCACACTCTTGTGCAAAAGAAAATAAGCCACTTTTTCTTCAAAGTTTCAAGGATGAAGGAGTCCCAGTGCTTCAAAATACACTCCAGGGGAGTGCATGTTGAAGATGATCTGTTACCCATCTAAAAACAGAAGTGAGAATAAAAGTGTCCTTTTAGTCTCCTTCCTTTCGGTATTGTGATCAAGGATGGAGAAGAAAACAGTAGAGGGCATTCCTCAACTATTTTCTGTCTTTGGCTCCTGAATCCTGGCACCCATTTAAATGTGCCACCCATGACTGCAGACATGACCCTATAAGTCATGGCCCCAGAGGAACTAAACTTTTGGGCCTTAGTCATACTGTCCACAGGCAGTCTTAGTCTTCTGCCTTTTATTTCCCTTTGACCTCCTAGACTTGTGTGGCCTGCGTGCCTTCCAAAAAAAAAATGAATTTCAAGAAAAATCACATAATTGGGCAAGGCCCCTTTAAGGGAGGGAGCATGCTAGATTGAACTCTATATCCTGCTATGATGGCCTATGCTAAAGCATTTACCCATAGAAAAAGGGTTCTGGTTAACTTCCAGACTTAGAATCCCTTTACTAATTAAGCACTGTCTGAATAGGAGACAGAATAGGTGCCTTAAAGGAACACGGGAATTGAATGGCCATTTTCTGGCCAATGGGACAATCAAGGAGTAGCTAGGAAGCAGGGTAACACGGTTGTAGTAGCTAGGAAGCAGGGTAACAAGACCCTAGGCTGCACACAACGCGGGGACCCTGGGCCTAGTCCACAAAACCATTTTTTCCTCCCAGGCTTCCGGGCCTGTGATAGGAGAGGCTGCCATGAAGACTCCTGACAAGCCCTGGAGACATTTTTCTCATTGTCTTGGAGATTAACAATCAGCTCCTCATTACTTATGCAAATTTCTGCAGCTGGCTTGAATTTCTTCCCCAAAAATGAGATTTTCTTTTCTATTGCATTGTCAGGCTGCAAATTTTCCAAACTTTTATGCTCTGCTTCTCTTATAAAACTGAATGCCTTTAACAGCACCCAAGTCACCTCTGGAATTATTTGATGCTCAGAAATTTATTCCACCAGATACAATAAATCATCTCTCTCAAGTTCAAAGTTCCATAGATTTTTAGGGCAGGGGCAAAAATGTCACCATTCTCTTTGCTAAAACATAGCAAGAGTGACCTTTACTTCAGTTCCCAACAAGATTCTCATCTCCATCTGAGACCACAGTAGCCTGGATTTCATTGTCCATATCATTATTGGCATTTTTGTCAAGGCCATTCAACAAGTCTCTAGAAAGTTCCAAACTTTCCCACATTTTCCTGTCTTCTTCTGTTCCAATCTCTGCCTGTTACCCAGTTCCAAAGTCAATTTTACATTTTCAGGTATCTGCAGTAGCACCCCACTCTGCTAGTACAAATTTATTGTATTAGTCCCTTTTCATGCTGTTAATAAAGACATACCTGAGACTGGGCAATTTAAAAAATAACGAGGTTTAACAGACTTAAAGTTCCACGTATCTGGGGAAGCCTCACAGTCATGGTGGAAGGCAATGAATGGCAGCAGGCAAAGGAAAAGAGAGCTTGTGCAGGGGAACTCCCCCTTATAATGGGTGGGGACACAGGCGAACCATATCAGACCCCAACTAAATTCCAAGTTTCCAGAGTTAGTAGACATGAGAGTTTTCAGGTACATGGGTACAAGAGAGTTTTTTCTGCTGTAACCCATGACTGATATTTCAAAAATTATTCCATGAATGAAAAAAAAACTACATGAAATTATGTTTTTTGAAGATTTTCTCTGTGAAAACTATTCAAGAAAATTGAGTATAGAATGCTCCTTAAAACCATTGTTTTGAATTTTCTTCAATGTAATTGTCTCGCTTCTAATTATACAAAATAATATCTTGAAGACAATGAAGCAATATATGACACATAACCCATTATATTCCCGATTAACAAGTAATATGGTTGTTAGGTCATGCAGCAGGAAAAAGACTATTTGGGTATAAATCTCAGCCCCAACAGGTATTGATTATTTTACTTTTATCAAATTATTTAAACTTATAATGACTTAAGTTTCCACATGTAGAAAACAGAAAAAACTATTACCTATTTTATGTGGTTGCTATGAAGATTAAATAATTAATGTACATAGAGTAAGTTGTTAGCATGTTATATGTTAGCTTTCACTTATTTTATGCTATTCTAATCAAAGGCAGTAAGATGATAACCCATACTATGAACCATAAAACAACATTTTTAAAAATTTTAATTAGTATTGATCTTACCCATCCCAGATTCCCAATGGCGAAGATTGAGAAAAACGCTCCCACGATGGAAAAAAAGCCAGAACTGTTTAACATCATGGAAGTAGATGGAGTCCCTACGTTGATATTATCAAAAGAATGGTGGGAAAAAGTATGTAATTTCCAAGCCAAGCCTGATGATCTTATTCTGGCAACTTACCCAAAGTCAGGTAAGGGTAGCAAAACATAAAAATATTCAATATTTTCACGTGAAATTATTGCATAATCTGTATTGATAAATGAAGCATGATTGGGATTTGGAGAGAAACAATTCCTCATTATGGAGATCTGTTCTTTGGTGCTGCAGGACATTTAGCATTCCTGATCCCTAGGACAACAATTTCCAATAGCACTCTCTGAAGAGAACAGAAAAGATTTCTAAATGCTTTGGTAGTAGGGCAGATAATGCTCCCATTCCAGAACCCATAGCATACATCAAATATAAGGTCAACAAATTGAAAGACCTATGGCTTTTTTAAACATCAACCCTCAAGACAGCCTTCTAAAAGCATGTCCTACTCCAAATATTAATCTATTATCTCAGATATTAAACACAAATTGATTTTCTAATCCTCTAAAGCTCTTGGAGGATGTCAGCCATGAATTTTCTGCTCTGTACCAAATTAGTCTCATTCAGAAAAGCCCAATGACTGACCTTGATTTAAAATGCCTTAGATTTCTAATTCTTCTCTAAAAATTCCTAGACTGGAACACATGCTAGAGTCAATGGGCACACCTAATGCCCAGAACTCACTTTCGATAGGCCATTCTCCATTAAAATGAACCACAGCTATTAGGAGAATTGATGATCCCACTCTTGGGAATAGAATATGCAAGGGGAATGTACTACATCTTCTTTTTGAAGGAGTAAGTGATCAGTATATATTCCCAGAATTGTTTGTTTGTATTAAATGTCTGTAAAAATAAAGCACACATAATAACAAAAAAATTGATGGGGACATGTAGAAGGATACAAGAACCAACGTGAAGGGGCTCTCACAGTAGCCACATTTGGGACAGTTTGAGCATCCAAAAGAATGATCACTAACTGATTGGGAGAACATTAAATAAAAACCTCCTGGTCAGCCATGCCGAAGGGACAAGATTGGATGTGTACTCCAGCCATAATAAAAAAGGAAACTGGATAAAATATATGAAACCACTGGTTTCTGACCTTGGATGACAGTTGTCTCAATCCTCAGACTGAAGATGCTTTCTGAATAGGGTATAGTTATAGGGTGCAAAAGAAAAAGCCATAGCAAACTCATTGAGTTCAAGAGCCAGGTGTAGGAGTTCTGAGAGGTTGAAGTGGCTGCTATTTGCAGGTAAGAGTACCAGACAGAAGGAAACTACACAAATAAATACCTTTAGATATCTTTAGAGAGGACCCTTTTAGTTTATTGTTGAATGGTAGACTGCACTTCCATAGAGCCTATAGCTCCATGAGATCAGGCAAGGAACCACCAGAAAACTATTAGCCATATAATTCCTAGAGATTATACAAGCATGAGAGACTTTTGTGCTCCAATCAGGATAGGATGGACAGAATTTTGGTCCCCATGACATTAGTCCTCTGTTATTACATCTGCCGTTATTTCAGATTACATTCCCAAAAGGATTTTGCAGTTGCTATTAAACTATCTAATCAGCTGATATTAAAATAGGGAGATTATTCTGGACTATCTTGACGGACCCAGTGGAATCATGTGAACAGGAAGTCAGAGAGATGTGGCAGAGGAGAAAGTCTGAGAAATTTAAAGTATAATAAAAGTTCACTGCATGATTATAGATTTAATGATGAAGAGAGAAAGTATCAACAAAACAGTTATCTCAATACTACAGCCACAAGCAACTGAATTCTGTTGGCATCTAGGAGCTTGGCAAAACACCCTGAAGTCCCAGATGAGAATGGCAGCCCTAGCTGATACCTTGATTTTAGCCTAGTGAGACCCTAAACAGAGGACTAGCCATGTTAACCCCAATTTCTAATCTACAGAAACTATGACCGAATATTCAGGTGTTGTTTTAACTCATGAAGCTTGTGGTAATTTGTTAACCACAAAGTCTTCAACCTAGAATTCCATATACCCAGTAAAAATAATATATTAAAATATTACTAAAAATAAAGGTCAAAGACTTTTTCTCTGACAGCGAAAAGCTGAATGTGTTGCCCGCACAGCTGCACTAAAAATAAATAAATAAAAAGTTATATTAAAGAAATTTATTCAGAGTAACAGAAAATAATAGTATACAAAACTTTATTATCTTTCAACATTCCAGCAACACACAGTTGGAATATGACATTTTAAAAATACCATTGATAAAATAAATAGCACCTGAAAACATGAAATATTCAGAAATGAACTTAACAAAGCTGTGCATGATTTGAAAGTGAAAACACTACGGAGAGAAATTGTATAAGACTTAAATAAATAAGGAGGCATACCCTATCTACGGATCAAAAGGATCAATATTTTTAAGATATCAACTGTTTCAAAATTAATGTATAAATTCAATCTCAATCACAAACTGACAAATTGATTCCAAGATTTCTATGAAAATGTCATTAAAAGCAAATATTTTTGATAGAGTAAAGTGGCAGGGTTTATATTAACTGATTTCATGACATTTAACTCAGCTTCAACATTCAAAAGACTGTGATACTGTTGATATTGTTGATAGACATAAATACTTGACCCTTACTTGGTGCCAGATGCAAAAAAGTCAAAGTGCAATGCATCAGACCTCAAAAAATTAAAATTAAATCTCTAAAACTATGGAAGTATAGATAGGAGAATAGCTTCAAACTTTAGGTTAGGCAACAATAATTTGGGGAAAAAAATGGAAAGCACTACCCTTTATGGTTTGCATTTAATGTAAATTCAATATAAATTAGACTTAATCAAATTAAAACTTCTGTTCTTCTAAAGACCCAGTTAAGAAAATAAAAATATGTGACATAGATGGAGAGAAAATATTCACAATACATATATCTGGCCAGAAGGTATAAAGAACTGTTACAACTAAGAACAAAAAACAAAAAAAAAATGTATTAAAGTGGGCAAAAGATGTAAAAATGTATCACCAAAAAAGCTTTACTATTAACCAATAAACACAAGATATTCAACATCATTTATCATGAGAAAATGTAAATTAGTACTATAATGAAATACCACTACACACCACTTCAAATGGCTAAAAACCTGGAAATACTAAGTGTTGATAAGGACACAGAGCAACTGAAATTCTCATGAACTTTTGGGGAGGACCTAACATGGTACTAATGTTGAACAGTTTGTTATAAAACTAAACATGCACCTACCACACAACCCAGCAACTCCAATCCTAGAGATTCACCCCCACCCCCAAAATAGAAATCTATGTTCATATAAAAACTTGTACACAACACTATAGCAGACTTATTCAAAATTAGCCCAACACTGAAGAAAACCTAAATTCGTATTGTCATATAAATGAATAAACAAATCACTGCTTATCCATACAATTGAACTGTTCTCAGCAATTAAAAAAAATGAACTACAGATATATACAAGAACATAAATGAATCCCAAAATAATGAGGGTGTGTGAAAAAATTCAGACACATGAGGACAAACTGTATGGTTTCATTTATATGAAATTCAACAATGTGTAAAACTAATTTGTATTGACAAAAACATAGATCAGCAGTTCCGTGGAGTCGGAAGTGAGGAAAAGAATTACTGATAGCAACAGACACAACGTTCTACTCTTATCTATGGTAATGGCTACATACATTTGTCAAATTTCCTTAAACTACACATTTATAACAGGTTCATTCTATTCTATGTAATTTTTACCACACTGAAGTTTATTTCAAAAAACGTGATTCCATAATGATGAAAAATACAAAAAGAAAAACTTATGTATTATGATTGAAGATAACTGTTATTCATCTCTTAGACTAAAAAGAAGTAATTAAGAGAAAGAATTTAGAGGAATTGCAGTTCTTCCCTGATTTATGAGGGAAAGTTCTTTATATGAAGATCTACCTAATAAATAGAGAAGTGAGGGGATTAGAAAATAAGCAATTTGAAACCCACAATAAAAATTAGGTAAAGTAGGATCATTAATGAATGAATCTTAAAATAATTAGATAAAATATGAGGAGAACTGGCTGGTCACATGGTACTGAAATGTCACCACATAGTTTTATTCCTAAAAGCAAATGGAAATATGGGCCTTTACAATGAGCGACCTGGTGGTCACCTACAAAACTGAATGATGAACAGTAGTATCACTAGTAGTGAGGCAATCAGACGTATGTACTTCTTGGCATGGTGCAAGAAGTACCAAGCACTGCCTGAGAAATCTGCCAAAAATGTTCGCTAGAACCTAATCAAGACCTGGATTCCAGTTTATGGGAAATAGAGGAAATAGAGGAACAAAAATGTACTGTGAAGAAATAATCAGACAAATCCAGAATGTGGGGAGTACTATAGGACAGCTGGCTAATTCGTTCAAAAACCAATGTCAAAGAACAAAAATCAGTATCATTAAGAAAAAATATGGAAAGATGATTCTAAGCTGAGACAAAAAGGATAGCAAAAGTAATGCAGCCAATACATCTTAATTGGGCAAAAGTGATTAATAACATTATGATACAATGGAAAAAAATTAACATAGGTTGAGTATCTCATGTTATTAAGGATTTATTATAAACTAGATGTGATGAGAAACATTTAGTAACCATGATAAGAGAATGTCATATTGGAAGATACAGCATTTTTGGCATGAAGTGTCATAATATAGGAAATGTAGAAATGGTTCACTCAAACATGATAGTTGAGAGATTAAATACTAAAAGATGATAGATAGATAGACAGATAATAGGAAGATAGTAGATACATACATACATACATACTTAGATACATAGATAGATACATAGATACATAAAGAAACAGATGATAGATTAGATAGATAGATAGATAGATAGATAGATAGATAGATAGATGGATAGATAGATGGATAGATAGATGCAGGTATAATACAACAGTTTTCATTTCTGCCTTGGCAACATTGATCTAATTTTAAAGTGCTCTCATGTTGCTGTCTTTCTTCAAAATATTCAATAACTTAGAATGAAAGTTCAATTGACTAAAATTAAAGAACTATTTCAAATATTTTCAGGTACAACATGGATGCATGAAATTTTAGACATGATTCTAAATGATGGTGATGTGGAGAAATGCAAAAGAGCCCAGACTCTAGATAGACACGCTTTCCTTGAACTGAAATTTCCCCATAAAGAAAAACCAGGTGAGTAATATGCACGAAGATAGAAAGGACTTTCACTTCAGGATTCCAGAGCAATGTGTACTGTCTCTGATAGAGCATCCGTGGTAGCCAGAAGTAGCCTGTATCTTTCATGAGGTCTATTTGTTCTCAGGCCAACAATCAAACTCTAGATTGGGTCTTCAGGGCTTCCTCCTGTTCTTAGCTGGTGGCCTTTATCTCCCCAATAAGATTTTCATTCTCTTTCTCATATTTCTCCTACCCAATGTTACGATAAAGAAGACTCCCTCTGCTTTGTATTCTCCTTCATATGTTTGAATCAGTGGAAAGGCCAGAAATTAGCAATCAGCTATTGTAAAATAACAGGTGTGATTTCTGAAGAAAAAGGAGGAGAAGTAGGGGGGATATACCGTGGACATTCCCAGAATTAATTGGGGGAGCTGAAAAGGTTTCCTCAGAGTGTAAAACCCAGTGAATAACATGAAATAAAGACAGACCTCCTAGAGGTCTTTCTTTCCAAGAATGACAACCTATTGTAAAAAAATGGATGTAATTTCTGACAAACAAAAGAGAGAGAGAAAAAGAGAAAGGAAAAAAACAACCAGATATATAACAAACATTCCCAGAATTAATCGAGGGTGAAAAAGAGCTTTCCTGAAAGTCTAAAAGCTGAGAGAATAAGAGGAAATAAGCAAAACTCTCCTAGAAGGTTAGGCAGGATTGGATGCTTTGTATGTCCTTGTGGATAAAAAATTACTATTTCCAATGGATATAAAACAAAATATAATCACTCTACAGACAAAGATATAAATGGAATTCAAGTATTTTGGCAGAGTGCCAAGAATAAACAAAGAATATAAATTGTTTCTTGCTAGATTTGGAGTTCGTTCTTGAAATGTCCTCACCACAACTGATAAAAACACATCTCCCTTCACATCTGATTCCACCATCTATCTGGAAAGAAAACTGCAAGGTATAAAGAGGGGGCTTTTCAAACTTCTCTTAGCTTGGTGATATAAACTATACAACTGAAGATATCTTTCAAAATAATATACTTTGAAAAATATTTTCCAAAATATAATTTGCTATTTTTCTTAGATGAAGCACTTAAAATCAAGGATTACATAAATTTGAAATCTGCAAACATCCATGTTTTCTAAAATTCATTTTCCTCTAATCCTATTTCATGAAAAATTCTTGGTAAGATTTTCCAAAATTGAGTCTGTGTTGCTACAAATCAGAGAGTGTATTGGGAGCTAGAATGGAGGGAAACACATTTAAAAATAAAACCCTGTTGCTTTGCTCTGCCAAAGTACTAGAAGATATTCTCCTGGCCTCAGAAGCAGAGGTATAGAATCTGCTCTTGTCAAGGCTTCCACACCTCCATAATCTACTCAATAAACTAAGCTCAAACCTGTCCTCATTTTTATCCCCCTCACCTCTATGTCTGATCTGTCACAAAGTCCAGTTCATTCTTCCCATCCTTCTAATCTGTGCACTACACTGCAACACTACCACCTGTACCCAACTCAGCTCACTGCTCTCTTTTGCCTCCCACTTTGTCAGCCTGCCTCTAGACCTGCCCCCTCCAACCCCTCCTCCCTGTAACCTCTACTCTTCCTAAAACACAATCTGACTGAGGTATTTCCCCACTATAAACACTTCCACAGGTGGACGAAGATGCCTCCATATCCTCTATATGACTTCCATGCCCTTGACAGTCTGCACCCTGCTCCATCTCCTCCCCAGGGTCTTCCCATACCTGATCCTCACTACAGTCCTCCTGAAATCCTGCAGGTCCTTTCACACATGGAGCATCCCCACACCTTCCACATGCTCTCATCTGACTCAAGCATCTCCTCATCTTTACTTGCATAATTCCTACTTGTTCTTCTGGTCTTTTCATAGAGGGCCCCTACAGGAAGCTTCTGTGACCCCATGGCTGAGTGAGTTTCATGTATCTATATTGGGGTATCTGTGCATGTGTTTCCCCATCATTTTGTTCACCACATTGCATTATAATTTTCTCTCTTCTTACCTCACTGATCAGACTGTGAGCTCCTGACAGGCAGGGACTTGATCGTGCCCAATTTGTCAAGGTAAACAGTGTCTGGCACGTAGGAAGAGTTAACATCTCTGTTCTGCATTTGTTGACTGAATGATACTGAATTTCCAATCATCACATCACCATGCCCCTCTGTCCTAACCATGTGAGATATGTGTGTGTGTGTGTATATATATATGTATGTATATATATGTATATATGTATGTATGCATACATATGTATGTATATATGTATGTATGCATATATATGTATATATGTATGTATGCATATATATGTATATATGTGTATATATACACATATATATGTGTGTATATATATAGCAAAATCACTCAAATCTTTGAGAACCATTGTCTGAAACATTCCTCATGTGAGTCTCATACAAATATCAAGGAACTAGCTCTGGACTCAGTGTCCCAATTTTTGTGACCAGGCATGACCCACTCGTGTACTAAGCATGGATTAGTGGTAGTGCCTCCAATCCTCTGAAGGTCATTTACTTCTTCTGTTGAAGGATAACACCTATTCTCTCCTTACCTAACTCTAATCCTAATAGGAGCCAAATGAGATGGTATGCACAAAAATGTTTTCTCACTCTCTAGTATTTCCCCTGTTGTAGGAATCTGGAAAATTTCTCTCAACTCATTGAGACACAGCTGAAACTCACCATTTCATGGCCCATTCCCTGAATGCCCAGGAATGCTTTGTCACTGGCTCCATGATTACTCAGCATATCACATCATATTCCATGATTGACAGTGCTGTCCTAATAATGTGTTCATCTTCCTGCATAACCAGGAAGAGTGGTTCCTCATAACCACTCTGAAGTGGGGCACTCTCATTTGTCTTTGTGTTCTCCATGGGTATGAGGGTTGCAGAGTCAAAAAGACTCCATTTATTTAATGTTTTAATTCATAACTAATGTATCTAATGCTATAAACTTATAGGATATGGTTACCATTGTATTGAAACACTCACTTGAGTATTTCATGTCAGTCTATTTTTCTCTCCATGGCTTCCTTCCCTCTCCTTGATTTCAGATTGTCTATGTGGCCAGAAATCCCAAGGATTGCCTGGTGTCCTACTACCACTTTCACAGGATGGCTTCCTTTATGCCTGATCCTCAGAACTTAGAGGAATTTTATGAGAAATTCATGTCCGGAAAAGGTGAGTTCAAACTGATCTTTTTGGTACCCTCTTTCAGGTGACTCTAACAATAAGCACCTCTGTAAACTGGAGGAGAAAGTTACAAAAGGCCATCCTGATTGAGGAGGTCCTATCTTGATGATCTGGGACTGGAGAAGCCAGGTAGAAGAGGTATTTTTCCAAAATTGAGTACAAATGTAAATTGAGGTCAACTGGGGTCATAAGTTTTGAGACAAAGGTAAAAAGCCCCAAATCCTTGACTTGAGTTTCAAACAATCAACTTCAAAATAAGAAGAGGCAACATTTCCTATGGAAAGACCTGGCAGTGGGAAGGCATGAGATGATATCCTGCGGTTTCATCTTGCAGTGTGATTGGATGGCCAGACCACCACGTATAGTTACAAAAGTCATACACTGCACAGCCACAGACAGCCTTTCCCGTAGGTCACAGTGCACAATCTTAGACCTGTTCACCTGCAGGAACCTCACATTAGAATTAGCAGCCATGACCCCTCATCCATTTATTAAGATCACACCTTCCAGAGAAGCAGTGAACACATTAGGGCCACACTTTTCAAAATAGCAATTGACTAGATTTGACCAGGTGTCAAATCAGATTGGCAAGGATCTCAAACCCTTCACAGAAGAAGAATATCTCATGAAAACAACAATCTCTAGACAGAAGAAAGATAAGATGGCTACATAAAGTGATTTAGGATGTAAGGACCATCTTTACATATTTGTATGAGCATTAATGCAGAAACATGATTATAGTATTTCATTATAACTGCAGTGAGCAGAACCTAGACAAATGGATAAACATTACATGGTGTCTCCACCATTTCACTAACGTCTCTCAAATAATTAGAACTTCCATAAGTGAAATGGGTGAGTTGTGATGCTGAGAGCTCCCAGTCCTTGAGCAACCTAACTATCCCTGAGCAAGTGTGTTAGGGACCTGAGCTTCATTATAACCAGTCCTGACATATTCATATTCATATTCTTTTGAGGAAAAAGAAAAATCAAAATGAAGTGACTTCCACAACATGACCTGAATAAAAACAGATATCTGTGGAAAAGTCAATAAATAATAATTTCCATCAAGCATGTCTCTCCAGTGAATCAAGAGAGATAACCTCATTAGAACATTTTCTCTAGAAACATAAATTAAAAAGGACTGACAGATGGAAATAAGAAAAATAGCAAATCTAGATAGGACTCCAGGTGAATAGATTTCCAATATTTATGCAGAGAAGTTTTGAGAGCAGGAAAAGTAGGAGGAAGCAGAGGAAGACAGGATCCAAGCTTCTTTTCTTATATGATTTTTTCCAAGGCCTACATTTTGTTACTGTTTTTTTGTGTCAACTTGGCTGGATTGTGACACCTACATATTTAATCAAACAACAATCCTGTTGTTTCTGTGAAAGTGTCAATTGTGTAGTTGTGATTTACATCTATAATCAGTTGACTTTAAGAAAAGGAGATAATGTTAAATATTAATAATATGGGTGGTCTTTATGCAATCACCTGAAGGTCTTAAGAGAAAAAAAACTCAGGTTTCCAAAAGAAAGGATTCTGCCTCAAGGCTGTTATATCAAATCTTGCCTGATTTTCCAGCATCCCCTACAGATTTAAAACATGCCAAGACCCACAACTGCAGGAGCCAATTCCTTTAAATAAACCATATATACATAATATACATTATATATGTACATTTATCTATATGTACATATTACATAGCCATTGCCTAAAATAAATTATATGTGTACACATTTATATTATGCATATATATAAAACATGCACACACATACATATACATGGATGAGTCCCCTTTATACTTGGTTTCCCTTTCTGCAGTTTTAGTCACCCACAATCAACCCCAATCCAAAAATATTACAGTATTTCAAGAGAAAGAAGGATAGAGAGAGGGAGATTACATTCACATAGATGTAAATATATTAGAGAATATTGTTATAGAAGCTCTGTTTTATTATTAGTTTTGTTGTAATTCACTCACAGTGCCTAATATAAAAATTAAAGTAATATACACATCTATGTATAGGAAAAAACATAAACACTATTATCATATAATTTGGTACTATCTGTGGTTTCAGGCATCCGCTGGGGGTCATGTGATATATCCCCTGTGCATAAGGATGAACTAATGTATTCTTTGGATTTGCCTATTGCTCTGTGTCTCTGGAGAACCTGGCTGACACAGATACCAGTCACCATGACACATGCCAAAGTTCAAGTCACTGCAAACTTACATCTCTGTTTGTCCTGATTCAAAAGAGAGCATTTCACACACTTGCTCACTTGGTCTGTGGTCATTTTCCTCTGGAGAATGTTTTCCATCATCCTTCAGACGAATCTTCAAGTCCACTTAGCACAATGCTTGCAACATAGCTCACCCTGAATAAAGATAGCTCCTGTGTTTATAATGACTGCCCAGAACCAAACCAGGAAGCTGCCAGAAGTTACAACCTATCAGGGACACTAAAACATCCCTGGGATAAAATATGGTGCTGGCTAACTCAGGTGTCCACTCATTCTCTTACCAACTAGTGAAAAGAAAATGCATCCCATGTTTACCACGTAGACACAGCCTCAGCTGGAAATAGAAGTTCTCCTGGAGGGCACCCCTCTTTCTGCTGCTGCTGAGTCTCTTTTGGAAGAGGAACTTGCAAACTGCATAGTGCAGCTATACAGGGAAAGCAGCAGGAGGACCCTACCCATTTATAGGATGGCCTGAATTAGTTGAGTCTGAAACTAAACATGGTTTACCAGGAACAGGGGAAGAATTTTATTGCCGAATGTTTTAAGACATGTCACAAGACATAGTCAATGTGTGCAAAGTCACATATAATAAATGTGTACTATAAATCTCGGCTTTACACCATATAGACAAATTTTATTACTAGAAAATTATTTCCACTTCGTTAAGGAACCAGAACGATAGTTACAGAAGCTTATTTCAAAGGAGCACTAATTTACTTTATAGCCTTGGGTTTTGTCCCAGTACTGGGAACTAACAGTGCTCTGACTTCTTCCAGTTGTTGGCGGGTCCTGGTTTGACCATGTGAAAGGATGGTGGGCTGCAAAAGACATGCACCGGATCCTCTACCTCTTCTACGAGGATATTAAAAAAGTAAGTGGCACTGAGACTTATAGGTCAGACCCAGAAACCCTCCTGACAATGTTATTCTGTTAAAAAGCTGTGTCTTTAATTGGCCAAGTTCTTCTTCTTTCCTCCCTCTTCACAATGCCTTTTTCTCCCATGATCAGAATCCAAAACATGAGATCCACAAGGTGTTGGAATTCTTGGAGAAAACTTGGTCAGGTGATGTTATAAACAAGATTGTCCACCATACCTCATTTGATGTAATGAAGGATAATCCCATGGCCAACCATACTGCGGTACCTGCTCACATATTCAATCACTCCATCTCAAAATTTATGAGGAAAGGTTGGTGGCATTTCTTTTCCTTAACTGAACTCTAAAAAATTTTCTACCCTATATGCTAAAATAATTTTCAACCTAATTTTCAGGCAGAAGTGACTCATTTCAGTTAAATTTTGAATCTCTGCTCCCTTCACCCTGCCTGTTTGCAGACAGCCAATGTCAGTGGTTCTGAAACTTGAGTCACATTAGAACCCCTGCAGGCCTTGCTAAAGCTCTGATTGCTGGTCCCCACTCAGAGATACTGATTCCACAGATCCAGCAGTAGCCCTCAAATTTGCTTTTCTCTCAAGTACTCAGGTGATGCTGATGGTGCTGGTCACTTTGATTACAATACCCACCTCAACCATGAACTTCCCTTTGAAGGCTTGTGCATCCTCTGAGCAGCTTTGAACACTCATCTTTAGTCTATCCCTGTAGTTCAAAACCCTAGCTAAGCACTTAGTACTTGGATTTGTAACTACTGATATTCATGTCTGTCTCCAAAATAAGATGATAGGCTGTCCTGAAGAGAGTGTAGTGTTCAGTTTTGTTCCACTAGAACCTAGTATAGAGACTCATACCTCAAAACAACTCAGTAATGGCCTGTTGTGTGAGTGTACAGATGAATGAACATTATTTCTGTCCTCAACAAGTTAACATTCTAGATACATGCAAAAATAGCTGCAAAAAGTTATAAACAAGAAAGTAAAGTGGAAGCTATACTAGGAATTCCCTAATACCAGTTCTCCTGGCTGTATCAAAATTACCTTTAAAAACAGTGACCCCATTCCAGAACATTCCAATTAACTAGTTGCAAGCTGGAATCTAGAATTTGATATTATGGGCAAGCATTTCAGATTAATCCTCTTGTCAAAGGGTAGGAAACCAGTAGAAATAAAGTACTAGGATAACTTAGAGAAACAATTCATTAGTACAGCATTTGTTGGGCTGACAAGGTACAACAGTTTGCAGAAGATCCCTAGTATCCAAATGTCATTTCCAGTGGATTTACTATTTAATTTTACCCAACAAGTAATATCTTCTACAATGAGGTTACTGACATCTTGTAACGTCTTTCACTGTCCCTGGGAGAATAAGATAGGCTGTCCCCCAGGAAGTCCATGATGGTAACCAGCTGTAGACTTTGGGTTGGGTACACTAGAGCCAGGAGTGTACCCTGGAGCAGAAGATTCAGCACAGTGGGGCACCTCAGTGGGGCCTGCAGCATTTGAGGAAGGAGTATAAGGATGCTGTGTGCCTTGTGGTAAGAAAGCCAAGTGGAGTGGAAATGAGGGACCATTCATAGTGGAAAGACCAGAGGGAGTGGGACTGAGGGACCCTCACTCATGGGAAAATCACGTGGGTAGGCCTAGGAACCATTCACTATAGAAAGGTTAGGTGGAATGGGTGCAGAGTCTGTCATGAACTTCTTTGATGTCCTACAGGGATGCCTGGAGACTGGAAGAACCACTTTACTGTGGCTTTGAATGAGAACTTTGATAAGCATTATGAAAAGAAGATGGCAGGGTCCACACTGAACTTCTGCCTGGAGATCTGAGAGGAACAACAACAAACTAGGTGACAGAGACTATGCCAACTATTTCGCCTTTTATTCTGTTGAGCAAGGAACTGTGACTGAATGTGGAGCTTATGAGCTTCAGTCCATCTCCTATAGTGTGGCTAGTTTGCTATAATATTAAAACATGATTTAAAATATCAACAAACCAGTTACTCCAGTAAATAAAATAAGAGAATTAGAGAGCAGAGTCCGCCTACATGAGTTTTTTTGTTTGTTTGTTTTTTAAGTACAGGTATGTTTTATTGTGCATGACAGACAGAGCAAAAACAAACAATTGCATCATGGATTCCCATGTGTGATCCCAAGTAGATTTCACAAGAAAATTATGCATAGGTATTACAAGCCCCATTGTTAAGAGAGAATGTAACAGCTTGAAGTGTACATTCTATACTTTTATGTATAAATAATAACTTCCAAGAGAAAAGAGCTGATAAGTACATTTCAGAGTCACCATTTCTGTAATA
This sequence comes from Homo sapiens, assembly GCF_000001405.40. Taxonomy (NCBI): domain Eukaryota; kingdom Metazoa; phylum Chordata; class Mammalia; order Primates; family Hominidae; genus Homo; species Homo sapiens. Next base: position 108,261,166 of record NC_000002.12, read on the forward strand.
GAATGATATAAAAATAAATTACTACTGCAAAATATCAATCAATTGCAAAATGATTACTGCTCTACTTTTGGCTTGTAACTAATTTTCTCAATCGAAAGAGTTTGAGTTGGAGAAATTAGTCAGTGAGTACTCCTGTAAAAAATCTTCCCACGATATAAATAAAATGCTTAATGTATCTAATCTATAAATTGAGATCTGGGACAAATGCACCATGACTATGCATTGCCATTCTCTTAATAACTATGCATTGCCATTCTCTTAATAAAGAGTCTCTGTTGCATCACTCTAACAATAGGTATGACCTCAGATTTAATATAAATTTAGTGCTTCAACCATGCACCAGTGAAGACCTGGTTTTTTATATGACCAAGTACAATTGTCTTATTAGAAGAGAAGGTCCTGAGGGGCCTTAGGGAGTAGGTGGATGCCAACAGGGCTGATGGCCTCAGAGATGACAGCATGTAACATGTAAGAAAGGGGGGAAATTTGGAAAGACTTAAACTCAGAAATAAAATTAAAGAAGTGTAAAAAGGTATTCAATTAACATCTTGAAAGGGAATCAGGAACAATATACATAGCTCCCAGTACACAGAGCAAAGTAACCTCCCTGTGGTTGTGATCATTGTCTCTACCTTATCGTAGTGACAAGGCAGTGCTATTGTTACGCCAGGCAAAGGGGAAATGACATCCTATTCTCTAGTCAACTGGATGGAAGACAAACTCAAAGGTAAAAAATAGATGATGAGATTTTAAGAAAAGAGAGCAGCTGGTCCCTAAGGCCTGCTGTAAGGAAGCAGAGAGGATGAAGATGGGGGCATTTGAACCAGCCCAGAGGGGACCCTGGGGTGAAAGTTCCCCATCAGGCATTACCCCACTGCCTACATCCAGCCAGATAACCCAACCACCTGAATTACCATCCTCATATTTAGTTGGTGATCCAGAGAAGAGATTTCCTCTAGTATTCCCTAAAGGTATAGCAAGAAAAAAAGAGATTCCTTGATCACTCCTGCCTAGTCAATGCACTGGAAGACTGGTTCACAGGGCTACTGTGCTTTGTAATTGGAGACATGAGAATCCACAATGATTAGAAAGCTCGGGCCCCAGGTACTGTCAGAGTCCACAGTCTACCTCAGAGAGGAGGAGGCAGATTAAAGGAAAAGCAAATTTCATTTTCCTACTCAGAAATGATTTTCTACTAATTGAAAAGCAATTGAATGCTGTCAATAAAGACATTTCCTGTACTAACCTTGGACTCAGAGTATTGATGACCAACTATACAAAGCTTATTTCTTCCATGCAATGGATGATACCTGCCTGCCTTTGCAGGTATTAAGGGGTATGATGCTGAGAGTCCAGGTGTAGAAGATGGGATCACGGGTTTTGGGCAAAGCATTTTGGCTATCTAATGTTAAGAACTGTAAGGTTTGAGAATGCCTTGATGAAAGTTCGTAAAAGCTACAAACAGAGTTGCTGGTCATTTCTACAAGGAGGCTGTGAACTGCTCTTCATCTTCTAGAGGCATATTTTGGCTATGGGCTACTAAGATTCAGACAGGTGTAAGATATAGTTTGCCCCATGGCCTCCCCTAGAACTTTCCCCAATGTGACTGTTCCTGGACTAAACTGAGGGTCGGGCTGCTATTTCCTGTGGCCCAATAACAAGATGCAGATGAACTGGGGAGGAAGAGAAGTTTTATTTCTGTAACTGGTTACATTCAGAGGGCCTGGAAATTATCACCAAACCAACTCAAAATGACAAAATTTTTCAGAGCTTATCTACCTTCTAAGCTGTATGTCTACATGTAAGTGTGCATGCCTTCTAAAGACATATGTGATTAATTTATTTTAATTTATAACTAAGATCTGAGTCCTGAAGACCTTCCTCTGGTGCCTAATGAAGTTTGCTTAATTTAAATGGGTCTCCAGGTACTGGGTTGATCACCCTTATCTTGTCTCCTGTTAAACTACTGAGGTTTGGGGAGTTCCTTCAGACCTCCAATAAACGTGTTTGTGGAGGCCTGGGGAGTTTCTTCAGAGCCCCAATAAAACTTATATAATCCTAACTGGGTACTGTTAAGAACTCCTTTATTATTTTGTCATGTTGTAAGGCCCAGGAAACGCCTAGGCAAAACTCTGGATGGGCTTTTGTTACATTTCAGCCTTTGCATAAGGGCACTGGCTTTTTTTAATATTTAACTTAACCACTCACTGAATACTGAAACAGTTGTGATGGAGGCCTGCATTAATGCAACCTGCCTGCCACAATCCCCACTGTCAATTTGTGCATAATTCTTATCATGCTAGTATATTTATTTATCATGAGAATTGTAGGGATATGGGGCATTGTAATATTTCTGGCTACTTCCTGCTGAGTGAGTGTCATTGTTATGGGACACTGAATGCAGCATTGGTATAGGGGAGGTCTATTTGTTCCCAGCAGCACTCTTTGTTTCAGGGGCTTAGAGGCAGCACCTGCTGAAACATTTAGTCTTCAGTTCACAGGGCTTTAAGAAAGCACAACTTAGGTTTCAGTGATTTCCAGTTAGGAAAAATGGGGTAGTGCATGGGCTTTCATGCAGAAGAGCCTTCAGTGCAAGTCCATGACAATGTTTGCAACTCAGTTTTATCCTCAAAAGCTCTAACTACTTTTTCGGTATTCTAAATCTGCTTTGCTTTAATTCAGTTTTCAAAATATTCTTCTTCCTCAGGAAATAGCACATGCTTTATAGTTGAATGAATCTGTTGGCTCCTGGCACTTGTAAGCCAGATATCTTTATCTGCAAAATGGTATCATATCTATCTCATGAGATCATTGTAAAGATTTACACTATCATACTTGTAAAGTGTACATAGTTGTGTTCAAGAAATTTAGCTTCCTTCTCCCTCTTGCACACCTCAACCCCACATCATAAAGCAAAGTTTAATCCATATAAACACTGGTAGGATTAGTCCCACATATTGGGACAGTGGACTGATTTCTGAATTTCAAACCATCGTGTCTGAGTGTCTGCACAAATTCACTCTCATGACCCAGTGCATCAGCATCCTAGAATTACAAAACTAGCATCTGAGATGTCCTCAGAAATTTAATCAAAAGCTATAGCTTTCTCTCTTTCTGTATCTCTTTGATCAAAAAGATCCAAGAAATAAGGATCTATGCTTCTGGGTCAACTTGAGATTCCTTTTATTCCTCCTCTTAGTGACCTTCTGTTAAGTTCATAGGTTCTTTTTGCCATCTGTTGTAGTCCAAATACTAGAGTTAGTTATACTATGCTTCACCACCAACATTGTTCCTCCTTCACACAGCCTTTCCTGTTCTCCCCCAGGAGATATCATTGCTCCTTCCCACCAAATCTCCTGGCACTCTGTCTGTACGTAGGCAGCATGTACTTTCTCAGCCAGCCTTGTGATTGTTTGTGTTTATGCTTAATTCCTTTCCTTCAAGGTAAGCCTCTTGAGGGCAGGGACAACCCTCATCTTTGTGTTGCTACAGTATCTGGGACAGTACAGTGTCTGGCACTAGGAGTCACTTGAGAAATATTTTTAAAATGTGTTCAAATGATCCTTTAACTCATTTCTCTCCAAATACTGTCCAAATGGAACATCATCCCCAAGGGAAGACCCAACATGATTTGTTTGGTGTGACTGTTCCACATACAGGACCCAAAGCGGGAAATTGAGAAGATACTGAAGTTCCTGGAAAAAGACATATCAGAGGAAATTCTGAATAAAATCATCTATCACACCTCCTTTGATGTAATGAAGCAAAACCCAATGACCAACTATACCACTTTGCCCACCAGCATTATGGACCACTCCATCTCCCCTTTTATGAGGAAAGGTAGATAAGCTTTGTAGTCTAAGATGTCAAATGGAACTCTGTGGTCCCCATGGTCTGCTTAGATTTTCCAGTAATGTTTCATTCTCCATTATTTATTCTTTCCAGCAGCACCACTGTACAACCTTTGAGAGGCAAGTTGCCTGTTTCTCCTCATTCTTGGTGGGGTCCTAAGGGTGCATGCTTACCTCTCCCTCTACTCCTGCAGCAATCATTAAGATTTTGCCTTGTTTCAGGGATGCCTGGAGACTGGAAGAACTATTTTACTGTGGCCCAAAATGAAGAATTTGACAAGGACTACCAGAAGAAGATGGCAGGAAGCACCCTAACCTTCCGCACAGAGATCTGAGAGCAGTCAGGGAGTCTGTCCTGGACTTTCTTACCAGATTTTTGCCATTTGAGCCTCATGATCAAGGACACTTAAAACAAAGACACCCTTCCTCCAGTCTGGAGCTGTTACACACTACCTGTAGATGATAATACTTCATCAAAATGTAACCAAATCCTGGGTAGAGTTTTTAATTAAGATACATGATCCCTCATTTAGACACCAACCACATAACGTACTCCCCTGTCCTAAGGCAAAATAAAGGCAATTTAGTTCCATCACTAGTTTACAATAGTGAAATAAATAAAGAGATAAATAAGAGTAGAATTTCAATGTAAGAGAAAGTGAGCAAGAGAAGAATGAGGATGATAAGTGGGCACTAAGGATAATGTGTGGGGGAACTGGTTTTTATTTTTAAAGGTCAGGAATGAGAGGCAGAGGATAGTCCTACTCTTGAAGATATTAGATTAGGAGGTGCAGGGGGTGGCATGAAGGATGGAATGCTGTGAGCTGGGTCTGGCTCAGGTGGCTTCAAGCTGAAATGGTCCCAAAACCAAAGAGAAAGGCCACAGGAGAGCGATAAGGAACACAAGATGAACAAGAAACTCAGCCTACTTCTGTGGCCAACACAAGGCTGGAAAGCAGAGAAAGATTTTATCTTTCAGATGGACTTCTGAGAGAGAGAGGAAGTCTTCAGTGAGCTCAAGGGAAAAATAAAATAAAATATTTGGTAACTCATGGACGTTAAGAAAAGCTTAAATTTCACATCTCTGTGGAAAATCGTTTTTTATACTTTTTTTTAAAGGGCTCTTAGCAAAACTGTCAGCATTGCCAAGTTCTTCAGCTACACTAATGATTATGTTCTTTTCCTTCTTTTTGTTAAAACCTGTACCAAGAAAATATCTGCCATCATTTTATACAAGCTATACAACGATCCATGTATCATTATTCTTTTAATGTCAGGAAGGTACATTTTGTGGGATAGGTGGTTAACTTATCATTAAACCATACAACACAAAAAAATATCTACTCCACCCGGTAACAAAGTATACCCCTTTGCATTCTTTCATCTTTCCCTCTCTAGGGTAAGCATGCAAATCATTAACCACATGACAAATATCCCAGTATAGTATTTATGCAGAGTTCCGGCCTGCACTGAGGAAAGATATGGTGAACTGAACCAGCATGATTCAATAGCAAATAAATTTTTATCAGGAATACCCACACCAAATGTCTTGGGTTCATGTTCTAAGAGCTGCCTAACAATTTAGATAGCAAGCACATAATCACATAGTGACTCCCTTTGTGACTGTGATAGAAACTGGATATATGGGCAGTATTGATCAGAATATAGGCAATAGGTCTAGAGTTTACGACTAGGCAAAACTTGCTTTTCTCCCTTTATAAACTAATTTTTTTAATTTAATTGTAAAAATATATCCCATTCTTATATTCTCTAAAAATTTCAGCCACAGAAAATACTTCTAGACTCCTCTTTTACAAAGCTCTGCTATGTCCTTTTAAACAATGCTAAAAGTACTATGAAGAAGAATTAATGGTTTAATTCAATCTTAAAATATCTTTGGTCCAGCTGCATAAAATAAACACGATGAAGATGACCATCCATGTATCCTAGATAATCTTGTGTTCTGATCACTTATTACATACTTACAGAGAGAGAGAGAGAGAGACTCCTAAATATACCACAGTCATAGAAGATCAAATTGTAAATGTTCAATTTACTTTGGAACTTTTCACTTAGAAGAAAATAAAAAGCAGCAATGGGAAGTTAGACTCATAAAATTTTAGGGTGAGAATTACAAGAGTCAGAAAAATCACATCATTCAACAATCTTGCTTTTCAGATGAGAACACTAAGAGCCAGGGAGAGAGGGATGGCCCCCACAAACAGGTCACGCAGACACGGTTCATCAGGATCCCCCGGCCCCTGGCTAGCTCCCCACACACTGCAGGAGTCACGCAGATTGCGAAAGTCTTCTCTGCAGACTTCATCTTGCACTACTCACTTCCTCTTAGCACTTGGAACAGCTTGGGTGTTCTATGGATTCTCTCTGATTACATAAGAAATTCCAAAATTTTTCTAATGGCCTATTTAGAAAAAGAAAAACAACAAAGCCTGATGGGAATCCACTTAGAAAGGCAGCTCTTCCCAGAGAGGGTCTCTGCATTAGAGCGTCTTGGAGATGTCTGTGAGCAGGAGGGAGCCCACAGCAGAAACTGCCCTTCCCCAAAGCTGAGTAAAGCCCAGCTCTGCCCTCCAGCCCCATCACAAGGCTTCTGGGATTTCTTTGGCCTGTAGGTACCAGGCTGACACCCCCTGCATCCTGCCCGACCTCATCACATCTCCCACAGGGCCTGCCCTAAGTGGAGTGGACCGAGCTCCCTATGCAGCCCCAAAGACTGTGTTCCACTGCCCTTTTCCTCATTTTACCCCTAATAATCTAGTGTGGGTTTTGCTGTTAAGGGAACTCCAAAACATCTGAGGCAAGTTTTAGTCCATATAAACTCAAGTATGGGGAATGCCAGGAAACAAATGACAGAGAGGAGGGTTAGGGACTGGAATGAAAATCCTTAACCCTTTCTAGGTGTTGTTAAAATGATCACCTGGGAGGCCATCAGACCTTAGTGCCTCCAGTGTCCCAGATTCCTATGGAAGCAAACCAAGACCCAACTCAGTTACACTGAGGACTCAACCAGTCAGAAACCACCAATCAACCCTGGACTAGGGACTTTCCAATTATTGCTCCACTTTGACCAATTAAACATTTCCCCTATCCTGCTTCCCATTCACTCTATAAAAGTCTCCCCACACGCTCCTTCAAAGGAGCCCTGAATCTTTCTGGCTTGGAGCGCCAGATTCATGAATCATTGCCTGCTCAAATAAACTCTTTAAAATGTTAACGTGTCAGAGTTTACCTCTTAACAGTTCCTATTCTATTTTTTTCAGCTTGGTAGAATTAGAGTTCATACTACAGGAATCTAACGATCAGTCTTCTCCAAAGAGGTTTTTCAACAGTGGAGGACCCTCCCAGCCCTTCTCCATTATCAGTGCCCTTTCTCTCTCCACATTCATGGGTTGTTGGTCTAGGCTCAAAGAGGTTGGTCTAGGCCACAGAGGTGGCCTGTGGGCCAAAAAATCCAGCCATTTAGTATGGCTGGGAGCTATGAATAAACTGTTTGTATACTTTTAAACAGTTGTTATAAAAACAACAGAAATGACAAAGAAGAATATGTGACCCACAAAGCCTAAAATAGTTCCTATCTGGTCCTTCACAGAAACTGTTTTCTGATCCCTAGTTTAGGAGAACCCCCCAGCAGCCCTGTTCTGTAGGCAGAGGCCCTGGACGACCATCAACCCAGCCCTGCTGTAGGCACCATGGCCATACAGGCATCACTGTTGCACACCTGCTCTATGGAGGGAGGGCAGAGGAGGAGAGAAGGGAACAAAAATTGAGTAAAGCCAAATTTGGTTTTACAAATGAATAAATATTGACAAACACCCTAAGCCCAGCTGTAGCTGGAACAGAGCATACCGCAAGACCACCATGCATGGCTGGCACAAACATCCAGGCCCTGGAGTCCTCTCTTCCCTCACAGCCTGCCCCATCAGCAGTGCTTTCTCCAGTCTGTACATCTGGGCTATCTCAGCAAATCGTAATGTCTTGCCTCTCACTGGGTGCTTCAGAATCCCTCCTCAGGAAGAAGAGGCAGTGCTCCTCGGAGACCCCTTTTCATCAAGGAGGGCTAAGCATTGGGCTGAGGGCAGCAGGAGTCAGGGACCCTCCGATGGGTCTAAGATAATCAGGGGTCCTCAGCTGTCTGCAGGCCGCCCTGGAATGCTGCGTCTTTGTTGGCAATGTGGACTGTTTCCAGCAGAGCTGTCTCCCTCAGGGTCATTGCTCCTGTCAGTCTCTGGGCACCACCTTCCACCCAGGGGGCACATTGGGAGAGTAGAGGTGAAGTGGCCATCCCTCCTCAGTGGTGCCCATTCTCTTCCTTCTCGCCCTCCATCCAGCTGGCCCTGACCCATGATCAGTCTCTGCATTTCAGTGACTCCCAAGCACACTGTGGCTTCCACTTTCCTCATTCTGCAGCCTCTTCATAAGAACAATCAACCATTCATGTTCCATATTCACCATAAGCAAAGCAAGAAAGAGAGCCCTTGCCTTTCATGAGATTCTTGGTAGTCCTCTGGGAAATCTGCCTCCCCATGCAGTCTCTCTGCATGTGCCCAGGGCCACCTCATCTTCTTGGGGACACACTCATATGGCCAGGTCCTGGAATTGCCTTACATTGGCAGCTGGTTCTTGGAAACCCCATGGAATGTGTCACACCAACTTCCTTCAAACCCTACCAAGCAGAACTCAGGGATTTTAGTACTTTCTGTAAATCTCTATCTGCCTTGGTTGACCATCCCTGAATTGACTCGTCTGTGCCTTAACTGGGCTTAAGTGAAGAAAGTCCAGTCAGAGCAGAGCATGGGTTGAGTTCATCGGACACAGAAAACGTGTCCGAGCTTCCTTCTACCCCAGCTGACAAAGGCAGCCCACCTCAGTCGGCTCAAGCTGAGTTTCTGGGTCAGCTTGCGCTGGATCTTATGTAGATGAATGAGAAGGCTCCTGAAGATCCGTATTTGTGAAGATAGGGGTCCTGGGTGAGGATTGCATGGGAGTCCCAGAAATCCAGACATCATCAGACCCTCCCAGCCTTCTTCCCAAAGAGTTCTGAGGAGCACTCCCAACAACAGGAGCCTGTGCATGGTAAAGGGCCTGCCTCCCTTTGAAACTTGTAGGGGAAGTATGCCCAGCTCTCCAAGCCAAGGGAGGTCCCAGGCCACCACAGCTCTCATGCTCCCGAGGCAGGAGTTTTTCCTCCACCCACCTTCCCATCTGGAAGCACCTCCTGGGAAGTGGTGTACATATTGTGGTCCCAGGAATAAGCAGGTGGGCATAGAAGAGACCAATAGTATATGTGGGCCATGATGGCAAGGACCATAAAGTAAGTGCAGGTGCAGTTTTCAGATGGTGACCTGAACATGGCCTCCAGCCAGAAGATAAGGATCAAGAAGGGTTATGCATGGCTGATGGACAGCTCTCCACCTGTTAGGTCATCCCCAGTGTGCAGCTGGATTGCTGTGGGCTTTTGGGTCATTGGGCCTCCAGGAGCAGTCATTAGTGATGTCCACTCACAGAGTTCAGACCTAGGTACAAAGTTTAGCAGAAAAAGGTGGACTAACTGACTAGGGTTTGGTCCACCCCTAGGTTTAAAACTCCAGAGTCCAGCATGTCCCTAACCAGAAGGCCACTGGCTGCCCGCCTAAGCTCCAAACTGATGGAGAACAGCCCCGACCACCACCAGTACCCACCATGGAAATTAGGGAACAATACGGGTGCAGGGAGAGGCAGACCAGGCCGGCTTCCGACAGAAGACTCAGTGTAGAATCAGTTGCAACAGCCATATAAAAGTTAAGATGCCCTCCCTAGCAACTCACGTGGACATGAGCCCAAGAAACTAGCACAAAACATCTCCAGTCATGCCCCTTGAGGTCCCAGGGACCTTGATTACACCCTGGTTGTAATCAAGCAGGAAACTGCAATCAGTCACAGCACTTTGGCCTAACTACACGCCAGGCTGAATGTCCAAAGGTTGTTCGCACAGGAAAAACCTTAGGAGCATCCTGCTAGGGGCTGGTGTGCCAGGCAGACATCATTGTGAAATCCCACAGTGTGCAAGCAACCTGTGCCATCCTGTATTTGGGTTTGGGTTGCCAGAAGCAGATCCTGGTATGAGGGTTTCTGTGCAAGGGATTTATTTAAAAAGTATTCCTAGGAGAGAATTATCAGTGTGTGGTGAGGCAGGCTGGAGAGGAAGTAGCCAAGCAAGGGTATGGACTTAGCATAGTCCTAGGTGCAGCCTGATCCTCAGGGGGCAATGCAGGGATTGTCCCTACTTGAGTCAGGGAACTGGGCTTTCCTGGGGCATGACATAATCACTCCCTCTGAGAGGCCCCAGGGCAATGTCAGCTCCCATACCTGTGTTCTCTGAGCCTGTGCTCTCTAAGCCTCTGGGCAAAGCCACTCAGTCCCCAAGGTCCAGGCTCATAGAAGAAAGGGTAGGGGATGAGGTGAGGACTGGCAGTGGGGATCCGAGGGCATCTGGGCGGAGCACTAGGAACTCAGCTTCATTACCAGGGAGCATCAGTGAGGATGAACCCACTTTTGAATCCCACATGAAAAACCCAGCACTGTGTGAGTGCACCAAGAACCTTGAGCTCTGTATGGTTGAAAAGCTTCCTTCTGAAGTTGGAGCTGGTAGTTGTTGAATACAGGGTGCACATGGGGGCTGAGGATGGTGATGAACTACAGTGGTGGCACATGTGGGATTGATTGATCTGCCAGCTCAGCATTGATCTGTGAGCTCTGCCCTGGTCTTTGCCAGCCAAGCTGGAGGGCCTTCAGCCTTAAGGGAAGTCCCCCTTCTTATCCCACCACACCCTGCTGCCCTGATATGGAGAATGGCTACTTAGGTAGGAAACCCTAGAATGTGAGATGCAACATCCTAGCCCCTTTCCATGGGGCAGGGGGTATGGGTCCAAGCCAGGAGGGTCCTAGGACAGGGTGTTTCCTACTCAGGGCAGCAGGCCCTTCTGTAATTGAGAGACCCGGGGTCAGAGTCACAGAAACGAAACGAAACGAAACAGAAACAAAGATGGAACCTGAGACCCGGAAGCTGGAAAAGACACTCTGGGGAGGGCCCGAGGCATGTCTCATGACTAAAACACAACACTGAAGGCACAGGGGATGCGAAAGGAACAGGAAGAACAGGAAAAGTAAACAACCAGAAAGGATTCCTGGGAAAATGCCTGAACACTGAGCTATGATGATGACAAAACTCATAGACAGACTTGCTCCACTTAAACTAAAGGCACAAAATAATGTTTGTTTTTTGGGTATATTAAATGGATCTTTACTTAATTTCTGAAAGGAAGCTGAAAATATAAAACTGCTATACTTTTCCACCTGACACTGAATATTATAATGAAATCTCTGATTGTGATATATCGATGATAGATAGATAATAGATATAGATATAGATATATACAGACAGATGAAGAACTGTTTTTCAGTGTATTTAGCTATGTAAGTACACCTTGATGCCTGCACGCCATGGGATTTCACAGAGATGTCTGCCTGGCAATCAGCTCCCAGCAGGATGCTCCTTAGAAGACTAAGCGTTTGCCTTGGCAAGAAGCCTTTGGACATTCAGCCCGGTGTGCGATTATGCCAAAGTCGATCTAAAGCTGAAAAACTACTTGGAAATAATAAAGCAATCTCAACACAAGGCTTTACATAGTGTGCCTGTGAAGGTCTGTGATCAAAAGCCTTGAATTTCAGCCTTGTTTCCGGAATGTTGTCATAAATGTTAGTCGACAATCTATAGAACTGGAAGTCTTTCATTTCTCAGGCACAGGGACCTGACTCATGCTTCTCAAGCACACTTATACCTCTGTCAACCCATCCAAAGGCATCTCACCTTAAATATATTTCTGATTAAGAGATGGGGGTTCAGGCTGGGCGCAGTGGTTCATGCCCGTAATCCTAGCACTTTGGGAGGCCGAGGCAAGCAGATCACTTGAGGCCAGGAGTTCAAGACCAGCAATGGTCAACATGGTGAAACTCCATCTCTACTAAAAGAAACATACAAAAATGAGCTGTCTGTGTTGGTGGGCACCTGTAATCCCAGCTACTTGGGAGGCTGAGGCAGGAGAATCGCTTGAACCTGGGAGGCAGAGGTTGCAGTGAGCCGAAATAGCGCCACTGCACTCCAGCCTGGGTGACAGAGCGAGACTCCATCTCAAAAAAAAAAAAAAAAAGAGAGATGGGGGTTCTTTGTTAAAAAAAAAAAAGAAAGAAAGAGAGAGAGAGAGAGATGGAATATTATAACCTTCCAACTTAGTGGGAGATGGAAATAAGAAAACACTGTAAGGATCCTTCCAACCTAGAGCCTATGAACTTGAAATGCAAATGTGAATAGATCATCTTCTCCCTTCAAAAGCTCCAAATGGAACCTCTATGTGATTTGCTCCCACATCTAATTCTTCAGTTCCAAATATTCTGCAGGATTATTATGTTTTCAACTGCCTAGCAGATCTTCCCACCTCCACAAGTAATATCCCTCCATAGTACCTCAGTGTTGGAAATGCTTAAAATGACCCTCTTCGTGCTGCTGCTCCTTCTCCTCCTTAACCATTTATTCCTTGTAATTTCTAATTTCCAATTGCTGTTTATGAAAATCAGTATTTTATTGGGTATCTTTCCCCTTGATGTCCAGTAACTTAAATACTATGATATAAAAGTAATAATACTTAAGCATTATAATTTAAAAGCAATACATCTTCTATTACTTGATGGGGATGAGAGAAGGAAGAAAACAAGGACTTTGCTTAATATACATTTATATAACACATTCATAACAAAAAATACTCATGACAATTACAGCCCTCATTTCTATAAACGGTTGTGTGGTCATACCTGATACTTATAACTACCTTCTTCCATTACCCATTCCATATTCCTGTGCTTCCTACAAACACCTCAGCTAGTCATGCACCATTACCTGGTGAGGTTACCCAAGCCTTCATCCTGAAGGATCTGGACCATAAGTAGTCCTGCCCGAATTCAGCTGTAGTTTTCCATTGAACTTAATCACAAGGCATGGTATACAAACACTCAAAGTTATCTCCTGGATTCCAGACATCCTCTTGCTTGTTTCTATTGTGGAGCATGGGGGCCATGGACATTTGGGACGCTTCTTCATGTAACTTACTTGTGCCTTTAGAGCCTGCTCAGGCCCAATCATGTGTACATCACTTCCATTTCATGGTGAGTTGCTGCTCTGCACACCCAAGTTTATGGCTTTGTGGATTAGATGATAGTTCATGATAGGCACTCAGGTCATATGGTAACTTGGGTGTCCATGGTTAAGCATTCAGTCTCTACCTAGGCCCAGTAGCAGGCCAAGAGCTGTCTCTCAAAAGGAAAGTAGTTATCTGTGGAAGATAGCATTGGCTTGCTCCAAAATCTTAAAGACCTGTGCTGTGATTCACCTGCCAAAGATTCCACACAGCATCCCTGTCTGCCATCGACACCTCAAGCACCACTGGATCTGCTGGGTCATGTGGCACAAACGGCAGAACAGCTTGTGCAGCAGCCTGGACCTATTGCAGAGACTTCTGCTCTTCTGGGTCCTTCTTAAACATAATGAATTTTCAGATTGCTCAGCAAATGAGCTGATATAAGACACACAAAGAGGAAGATGATGCCTCCAAATTCCCAAGAGGCCTACTGAGCATTGTGCCTCATTTTTGGTAGTAGAAGGAAAAAGATGCAAGAACTTACCCTTCACATGAGAAGGGATATTTCAACATGCCCCATACCACTGGACCCTTAGAAATTTCATGGAGGCAGAAGGCCCCTGAATTTTAGACAAATTTATTTCCTACCCTCTGACACTCAAATGTTGTACCAACAAGCCCAGAGTGGTTGCTACTTCTCGCTCACTAGGTCCAATCAGCATAATGTCATCAATAAACAGAACAGAGTAATATCTCATGGAAGAGAAAGGTAATCACATCTCTGTGAACTAAATTATGACTTAGAGCTGGAGAACTGATAGAACCCCAAGGAACAATAGTGAGGCATGTTGCTGGCCTTGCCAGCTAAAAGCAAACTGTTTCTTATGAGCGTTATGGACAGGCATGGAGAAAAATGAATTTACCAGATAAATAGCTACATGTCAGTTCTCAGGGATGTGTTAATTTCCTCAAGCAATGAAACCACATCTGATGTAGCAGCTGTAATTAGAGTCACCACCTGGTTAAACTTATGATAATTCACTGTCATTCTTTAAGATCCATCTGTCACCAGTTAGAATGGTGATCATTAAAAAGTCAGGAAACAACAGGTGCTGGAGAGGATGTGGAGAAATAGGAACACTTTTACACTGTTGGTGGGACTGTAAACTAGTTCAACCATTGCGGAAGTCAGTGTGGCGATTCCTCAGGGACCTAGAACTAGAAATACCATTTGACCCAGCCATCCCATTACCGGGTATATACCCAAAGGATTATAAATCATGCTGCCATAAAGAACACGTATGTTTATTGCAGCACTATTCACAATAGCAAAGACTTGGAACCAACCTAAATGTCCAACAACAATAGACTGGATTAAGAAAATGTGGCACATATACACCATGGAATACTATGCAGCCATAAAAAATGATGAGTTCATGTCCTTTGTAGGGACATGGATGAAACTGGAAACCATCATTCTCAGCAAACTATCGCAAGGACAAAAAACCAAACGCCGTATGTTCTCACTCATAGGTGGAAATTGAACAGTGAGAACACATGGACACAGGAAGGGGAACATCACACACCAGGGACTGTTGTGGGGTGGGAGGAGGGGGGAGGGATAGCATTAGGAGATATACCTAATGCTAAATGATGAGTTAATGGGTGCGGCACACCAACATGGCACATGTATACATATGTAACCTGCACGTTGTGCACATGTACCCTAAAACTTAAAGTATAATAATAATAAAATTAAAAAACAAACAAACAAACAAACAAACAAAAAAGATCCATCTGTCTTCTGCACGGGCCAAACAGGAGAGTTGCATGGGGATGTGGTGGGAGTCATCATCCCTGCATCTCTCACATCCTTGATGGTGGCACTAATCTCTGCAGCCTCTCTAGAAATGTGGATTTGCTTTTGATTTACCATTTTCCTAGGTAAAGGCAGATCTAGTGGCTGCCACTTGGCTTTTTCCACCTTAATAGCCCTCACTCCACAAGTCAAGGGAATAATGTGAGAATTCTGCCAGCTGCTAAGTATGTCTAGGCCAATTGTACATTTCAGAACTGGGGAAATACCCACAGGATGGGTTCAGGAACACACCGGACCCACTGTGAGAAGGACCTGAGCTGAATTCCATGGCTCACCTGACCGCCATAAGCCACTACTCTGACTGTGGTGGGCCACAGCGGAATTTTGGATCTCTGGAACTTAGTGTCAGTTCAGGGCCCATGTGTTTAGTAGTGCCCCAAGGGTCTGATTATTTTCTTTTCTTCAGTGCATAGTCACCCTGGTAAAAGATAATAAGTCCTTTTGAGGAAGGCTGGAAGAAAGATTATAAATTTTGGTGGTGTACTGAGGCCCATCCGCAAAGAAAGCACAAACAAAAATTAAAAATAAGTAAATGGAGCTTCATCAAAATTACAGACTTTGGACTTCAAAAGATACTATCAAGAAAATTAAAAAAAAAAAAACTATAGAATAGAAGAAAATATTCATTAATCCTATATCTGACAAGGGACTTCAGCATAAAATATAAAAAGAACTCCTACAACTCAAAATAAAAATGGACAAACAGCCCAATTTTTAAATGGGCAAACTTATATCAATCCTTCACATTTCTTTGATTTATGAAAGAAAAAATGTTGCAACATATAGAAGATCAGAGGAAGGAAAGGAGGAAGCAGAAGCTAGAAAAATCTAGATTGTCTTCATGAGCCAGACAGAGGATGGCAGAAGCTGGCCCAAGTCTGGAGCTGGCTGAAGATGAGGCCAATCTCTTTGCAGCAAAGCCCCCAAAGCATGTGGATCATGTGGATGGATTTTTTCACTTTCTGCCTTGTCATTTAGTCTAACAACTGAGACTCAGATGAGAGCTGAGTAAAAGGTCTCAGTCAGGCCACATGAACCACCTCCACCTCCACTAATTCAAGGAAGAAGAGGTGCAAAACCCATGCCCACCTGTGTAAATGCTGCTGCAGGTTTGATAGAAAATCATGCTCAGTCACCAGCTATAGGCAATACACGTGTCTCTGTGAGCTCCATCCCCACACCTCCTCCACCACCCCTTCCATCTCCCCTGTCAATGTCTTCATTAGGAGCTTCAGTGACTTCAACTGCTCTCCACCAAGACCTCTCCCACCTCTGCCTCCACCTCCAAACACTGCCTTGGGAACTCCAGCAGTACCACCTCCTCCAGCGCCTTTCCACATTTTCCCCAGCCATCTTCACCCAGCTCCTCTTCCAGCTGCTCCTCTACACAGCCCTCTCTGCCAGGAATTAGTGCTGTCCCAGTTCATCCATCCCACAAGACATCCAAGGCTACCTCCAGCCCCACACTACCTTCTCTGGCTCCACTTGGTATTCAACCATCATCATCTGTCACAGTTGCAGTCCTGCTCATCCTCTCTCTGGCTACATCCAACTTCACCTACTGCTGTCCCAAGTCCCCAAGCTCCATGAATGACCCCAACTCCTCCAACACAAGTTACGTCTGCTTATGAGCCGAAGTGTCATCTCCCAGCTGTACCTATAGTCTGGGTTGCCAAGAGTGTACTTCTGGAAGCAGTAAGGAAAGGTGTTCGGTTACACAACGTAGAAGAGCAGGGTGTAAAGAGAGCTCACCATGAAGACATTGAAAATGATGTTGCCACCGTCCTGTCTTGCCATACTGCTGTGGAATCTAGTGATTCAGAAAATGTTTCCAAATTTGATGAAGTAGACTGGTTGGAGAAATATGCATTGATAAATATTAAAAATTCAATGTAAGTGACCTTTGTGGTGCTTGTTCTTTGAAAATGTTTGCTCATTCTAGTGTTTTACTTTATTTTCCTTATGATAAATAACTTTTCCTCCATAAATTTTTATTTCTAAGAAAAATATTTCAAACTAAATGCTTTACAAGTGGTTCATTTTCTTCCCCTAACAAAATCCAATTTGGTCAGATAAACTACTAAGTGTTGAGCGTGGACATCTGTTAGAGTAGCAGATTCAGTTTTTGGACACATTTTAATTGTACACTTCATGAATTTTAATTTAAAGAAAGCCACCGAGATTGAAAAGATTGAAATCTTGAGGGCAGCTACATCTGTTAATGAGCATTTGTCCATTTCATGATATTTTAAAAGAATAAACTGCCTTGATTACAGAATCATTCAAAAAGTACATTTAGCTTGTCGTGTTGAACTCTCATAAAGGAATTTTGAATTTTTATAATATTATTTTGTTTTTAAATACTTAGCTCTTAGTTGAAAGTTTTGTTGTACCCCCTTCCTCCTTATAAACTGTGTACTATGATGTTGCTAGCCCATAACAGTTAAAAATTTTCCACATTAAATGCTCTGGCTTAAACATACATATAATTATATAACTGCTAAAAATGATTTTTATAATGGGCAAAGAACTTGAATAGACATTTTTTCCAAAGAAGATATAAAAATGGCCAAAAGATACTCAGCTTAATGAGTCATTAAGGAAGGCAAATTAAAACCACCATGAGATGCCACTTCCTACTCATTGGGATGGCTATGATAAAAAAGGAAGATGATAACAACAGTTGGTGGAGGATGTAGAGAAATTTTATCCCTCATACACCGGGAGTAGGAATGTAAAATGATGCAACTACTTGGGAAAATAGTCTGGCAGTTGCCCAAAAAGTTCAATAGAGTCACCATTTGACCCAGTAATTCCACTTCTAGGTATATACTCAAAAGAAATGAAAAGCTCTGTCCACACAAAAACTTATACATAAATGTCTATAGTGGCATTACTCCCAAAGCTAAAAGAAGGAAACAACCCAAATGTCCATCAACCGATGGAAGGATACACAAAATGTAGTATATTCCTAGAACAGAATACTATTCAGCCATAAAAGGGAATGAAGTGCGAGACAGGCTACAACATGGGTGAACCCTGAAAAGATAATGAAATTAAAATGTTAAGATTGAGAATATTATGAAAGAAGCCTGTCACAAAAGATCACACACTGTATGATTCCATTTATATGAGATGTCCAGACTAGGGAAATCTACAGGGATATAAAGTAGAATTGAGATTGCTGAGGGCTGGGAGCAGGAGGCTGGAGGATGGCATCTAAAGGGCACCGCATTTTGGGAGGGCAATGAAAATGTTCTGAAATTGATTGTGGCACAACTCTGTGAATATGGCAAAAAAAACCACTGAATTGTGCATTTTAAGTGAGTGGGCGAATTGTATGGCGTGTGAACTACACCTAAATAAAGTTGTTATGAAAAGAAAAAAAGGTCAGCAATATGGAGCCTTCAAGATGACACTGGCAACTCACATGAGGAGAATGACCACAAAGAAGCCAGAGGTGCAGGGAGGAAAAAGTTTACTGAAAGTGACTTTTACGTCAAATTCAAGAGTTTCCTCTTTATTCTAAACAGCAGAGTGGGCAAGCCAAAGCTCACTGCCTGTTTTTGTAAATAAAGTTTTATTGGAACACAGCCCCAACTATCTGTGTAATGTTGTCTGTGGCTGCTGTCACAAATCAGCGGCCGACTTGAGTAGCTGCAACTGACATCATGTGATTGGCAAAGCGTGAAGCAGTCACCACTTGGCCTCTTACAAAGAAAGCTTGCTGACCCCGGCTATGCACAGGGTGAAGCCCCTGAGATGTTTAGAAGGTATCTCTGTTGGCTACTTGGGGGGCGGTTTGATGGAGAACAAGGAGAGCACGCTTGCTCCAGTACCGTATTCTTTCTTCTCACAGGCCCCCAAAACTCCGTCAGTCTCTTTCTCTTCCCCAGAGCCGTCAGCTCCTGCTGGAACCTCCTGTCTCTCTCTCTGCTGGGGACTCCACAAAGGGAAGCATGGCCCAGCATTCCACCTCCCCCTGCCCCTAAGACTGGGGTTGCAGACCCTTTCATTTTGAGATTTTTGTATCTCATCACTATAAGGAAATAAAGAGGGAAGAAGCAAAATCCACAAGTGCTAAATTCCATAAATCATATAAAGCTCTTATTTCTTTGTTTTCTCAGTTCCTAACACAATGCCTGGTGATAAATGAATGGTGAATGAATGAATGAATGAATGAGTGAGTGAATGAATGAATGGTGATCCTTGCTAATCTACTATGGAAATCTCAGTATCTCTGTATGCCTTCTCTTTTATTTCTGAGGGGAGAGTCCTTTGTGCCCTTCTGCGTGTTTTTATAGAATTCCTGGGCTCCTCCAAGTTTCTGGTTTCTGTAACAGTATCGTGATGCCAGCATCAACATTTAAACTAGTGGCCATCCCCATGAGAAGGAACTTAAATCTCACAGGAACTGAGGATAGCACATGGCCCTTTCTCTGTGGCACGATTTTCACAGAAGCTGATCACTCAGTGATTTCCTCCCACTCTGGAGAATGAATTCACCCTGGGTGTGCTTATCCCCAGAGGACAAAAATCCAACCCTGATTTTGTACCTAGGTGTGGCCAATGCTATCAAAGGTAAACTCATTAATCAGCATCCTGATAAGGTGATCCCAGAAAATGAGTTATTGGAGAAGAAGGCTGCAGCAACATAGGAGCTGCAGTCTGCCAGGATGTGGCCACACACCTCGATGGTGGGGCCAATGGCAATCAGGCCTTCCTGCTGCCAGTTAACCCTGAGTCAGGGTACTCAGATAGCCCAAAAGCGAGACCTGACTAATGGCCCTTTCAGCAAAACCAGGACCTGGACCCTAACTTCCTCACCCGATGATACACCACTTGTCCTTAAATGCCGAGTGTCAGTAATCAGAGAGACAGAGAGACAGAGAGAGAATGTATTTGTAACTTTTCTTTATTTTTTGTTTTTTTGGAAAAAAATACACATGCATTTTAATGTTTTCAATCAGATTACCAAAGGCCCTTCAAACTGTACCATTTTATCTCTTACTAATAGTATTTTTTTTAATACTTTAAGTTCTGGAATACATGTGCAGTACATGCAGGTTTGTTACGTAGGTATACATGTGCCATAGTGGTTTGCTGCACCCATCATCAACCAGTCATCTACATTAGGTATTTCTCCTAATGTCATCTCTCCCCTAGCCGCCCGCCCTGCAACAGGCCCTGGTGGGTGATGTTCCCCTCCTGTGTCCATGTGTTCTCATTGTTCAGCTCCCACTTATGAGCTTTTCTTTTAGTCCTTTAAATGAAATGAATTAAAACATTAAATATAAAATATGCTATTAATTTGATAAGCGCATGGGATTCTTAGCCCTTTAAAAGACAAGAATAAATTGCAGATGACCTTGGCTAGTAAGAAAAATGTCTTCAAAAAGTGATACTGCTCCACACCTTCAACCATCAAATTACCCTTTACACTTAACATGTGAGACCCCAAGGATGAGCAAACTTCCACAGAGGAGAGAGTGAGTTATAACTGTTTTAAACATGTGGTCAGAGCACCCTCAGGTATTTGGGGAGGGGATTCAGGGGTAAGCTCTGCTGTGAGAAAGTAGCTGAGGCCCTTTGCCTCCAGAAATCCAGCCTGGAGGCCTGGACTTGAGGGAAATGACTCAGCAAGGAATACATCTCATGTTGGTGCCAGTCCCACTACTCTACATTCACCAGGAAACAAAGCTATAGCAGGTGGCCTTAAAATGGAGAGTGATGTGGTATTCAAAAGCCTCAATTAGAGAAGCAGCCTTCTGGGGTTCAAACCCATGCTCTGCAGCTGTGATCTGGAGCAAGGTATTTACCCCTCGTTGTCGTCATGACAGGGGAATAATAATAGCAGCTACCCCACAGGGTTACTGGAGGTCTACATGAAGTAATAAAAATGTGAAATACCTAGAATTGTGCCAGTTGTATAGTAAGACATATTATATCATATTATATCATCACAGAGATATTTTGACTGAAAGAAAAGCCACTAAACAATAAAATGCAGAAGTTTGTTTACTGAAACATGGATACCTTGAAGAACAATAACTATAGTGTCAAAATAACCCACTTGGATTGGCTGACATCTATATCTGGTAAGTAGACCTACAGATAAAATACTGGACTGTATGAGCCCACTGTGTACTTGGATGACCAAGAACTATAACAATTTCTGGAGAGAAGTATATTAGAGTAGGAAGTCCTGGAAGAACTGACACAGAAGAAATAGGCTCAGCCACCAAGACCCTGTCATTGGCCCCTTAAGACTATTACAGTTCAGTGGGACAGTGAGCTACCCAGTGTCACAGTCATCTACACTCTACCTACTGAGATGCCGCAACCCAGAATCTGTTCCTGCTGAAGTTCTTTTCAGAAGTCAAAAATTCTGCCCCTTAAATTACCCTCTATAACCTGGGTCTGTTAATTGCCTCATGCCCTCTAAAGAACCAGTCTAAAACCCGCCATATTTATTTGGATACATCCTTCCGTTCTGCCCATCTTTTAGTTTTAGTTGCTGAGCTGGAAAGCATTAAGAAAACAAGAATCTGCTCTGTAGAAAAATATCATTATATTCTGATTGGAGAAGAACATAAATTGAGTAGAACATGTGGAAAACATACAAAGACAGAAAGAAAAAGCAACTGTAATTGGATCCTAGTTTCTCATCATCACTAAAATTTTACATATCCTGACCTTCTGATTTTAGACATTCTGGTGTTTGGGTAGTAGTACTGAATTGTGATATAATTTTCAATTGAATTTATTTAAAATAGCATGAGCTGGGCACAGTGGCTCATGCCTGTAATTCCAGCACTTTGGGAGGCTGAGGCAAGCAGATCACTTGAGGCCAAGGGTTCAAGACCAGCCTGGCCAATATGGTGAAACCCCGTCTCTACCCCTAATACAAAAAAATTAGCCACGTGTGGTGGTGCGCACCTGTAATCCCAGCTACCCAGGAGGCTGAGGAAGGAGAATTGCTTGAACCCAGAAGGCGGAGGTTGCAGTGAGCCAAGATTGCACCACTTCACTCCAGCCTGGGCAACAGAGTGAAACTGTGTCTAAAAAAATGAATAAATACATAAATAAAATAGCTTATTTAATTACTTGATTTGATTTATTTCTCTGGTAATTACTGATGTTGGCATCTTCATGTATTTATTGGTCAGATCATCATTTATGAAGTACCTGTTCAGGTCTCTTGCCCACTTTTCTATTTGGCTATCAGTCTTTTTCTCATAGATTTGTAGGAGTTCTTTATATAATCTGGATACAAATTTTTTAACAACTGCTATGTTACAACTATCTTCTTTCACCTTGTAGCTTGCCTGGTGGCAGGTAGTTGAATCATGAGGGTGGGTTTTCCCCATGCTGTTCTTGTGATAGTGAATATGTCTCATGAGATCTGGTGATTTTATAAAGGGCAGTTCCCCTGCACATGCTCTCTTGCCTGCTGCCATGTATGATGTGCCTTTGCTCCCCTTTACCTTCTGCCATGATTGTGAGGCCTCCCCAGCAATGTGGAACTGTGAGTCCATTAAATCTCTTTTTCTTTATAAATTTCCCAGTCTCAGTTAATTCTTCTTAGCAGTATGAAAATGGATGAATGCAATCCCATTCGACAAGTGGTTCCCACATCCTTCCCCCATTCCCACCCACAGTGACACATCTCATCCCAAGAGATGAGTATGGCTAACACAGGGGTAGAGGCTTTGGTGTATCTTTTTCCATACAGTTGTTGATGGACAAAACATTTTTTACAAAGACAGGATCACACCAAACACATCATTTTGTAATATGCTGTTTCGCTCACTATATGATCAGTTATTCAGTGTCCTAACATATGTACAAAACATTATTTATTAATTTGAGAAATCCTTAAAGTGTGTTGGGACTATCATAGGTCTACTTTTCTATGTTTTTGAAGGGTTCAATTATCACATATGATAGACCCAGAAACTTGCACAGGGAGCCCCCATTTAAAAATTGACTGCGCTCAAAGTATACTTTCAGTCTTTTGAAACTTGAAAGATATTTTCCCAAAAAACAATGCTGAAATGAGTACTAGGTTCTCAAGATTAGAGTAATATCTACAATGAACTCACAAGGTAGCTGAAACACCAGGCACTCCAAATGAATCATAAGTAAAAAGATAACGCTACTGCAAAACTAGCTATTAAATGAAACAGATTATTGTATTTACTTGAATGTCTGTGCCTTAAAACAAACTGCCAATTTAGCTGGAGAAAATGGTAAATGAAGTTGAAAACTACCATGGAATTTTGAAAGAAACTTTTATTTTTTTGTTTTGTTTTGTTTTGTTTTGTTTTTATTATTATTACACTTTAAGTTTTAGGGTACATGTGCACAATGTGCAGATTTGTTACATATGTATACATGTGCCATGTTGGTGTGCTGCACCCATTAACTCGTCATTTAACATTAGGTATATCTCCTAGTGCTATCCCTCCGCCCCCGCTACCCCACAACAGTCCCTGGAGTGTGATGTTCCTCTTCCTGTGTCCATGTGTTCTCATTGTTCAATTCCCACCTATGAGTGAGAACATGCGGTGTTTGGTTTTTTGTCCTTGCGATAGTTGGCTAAGAATGATGGTTTCCAGCTTCATCTACGTCCCTACAAAGGACATGAACTCATCATTTTTTATGGCTGCATAGTATTCCACGGTGTATATGTGCCACATTTTCTTAATCCAGTCTATCGTTGTTGGACATTTGGGGTCTATTTTTCAAAGCTCCAAAAACTGATATTAGTGTGTTATGGGTTGAATTGAGTCCCCCTCAAAAATGTTGAAGTCTTAACTCCCAGTGCTCGTGAACGTGACTTTATTTGGAAATATGATATTTGCAGAGGAGATCATTAGGGTGAGCCTTAATCCAATATGACTGATATCCTTATAAAAGGGGGAAATTTGGACACAGACACACACAATGAAGACAGAGATTGGGGTGGTGCCTGCAAACCACCAGAAGCTGGGAAAGAAGCATGAAACAGATTCTCCCTCACAGCTCGAGAAGAAGCCCATACTGCACCTTGATCTTGGACTTTTACTTATCAGAGCTGTGAAACAAGAAGTTTCTGTAGCTTAAGCCACCCAATTTGTACAGAAACCCTGGGAAACTAATGCAATGTGATTCTTCATTATTTCTAACTTTGTGTCAATCATGTCTCAGGATTTCTCTCTTCCTTAATACAAATGTGCCACATCCCCATGCCAACAGCCATCAGCCATGGCTGGAGTGGAGCCAGGGTCAGCAAATGGAAGGATGAGTAGGAGAATATGAAAGAAAGGAGATAGTAGAAAGTGAGGGAGAAAAAGACTTGTTCCATCTTTCCCTGGGTGACTGGACAAGAATTAGACAAGAAAAGAGAAAGGGAGAATTAAAGCCAATGAGCATTGCAAAGTAAGAAAAATGGCTTGAGAGACATGTAATTATGTGAATTGCGGATGGTCAAAAACAGAAGGAAAAAAATTTAAACGACAAGGGAGCACAAGCCAGGAGAATGCTGAGCCAGTTTCCTGGATAATAAGCGAGATCCATGAAGTTACAAAGGAGTCAGAGTTTGCCCACCTAGTACCTCACCACCTGCAGGAAAGAGCTCATCTGCTCTCTTGTGGACTTGGTCAAAGGATCTGTGTGACTGAGGCAAGTGTTACAAAGCTTGCCTGAAGCAGTTGCAGCTGTAGGACATAGCACCCAGAAGGAATGGCTATGTCCCGGGGGGAGACCTTTGCTCCCGCTGCTCCTCAAAGCCAGCCTGCTGGAACACAGGCACCTTCCACTTTGTGCCAGTGGCACAAAGCAGCTTGGCTACTTTTCCCAATTGAAAACCATGATCAGATCCCTCACAAAACTCTTCCAGGAGGCAATAGTGACTTTGGTCTTTCTAGCGGGACAGAGGCTGCCGTGTAGACATTCCCCTAACTCCAAAGAAGGCACACTTTACCTGGTTCTCAGAAACAGCTCAGAAAGTTCCAGAGGTACATGAATCACAAATCAGGGAAAAATCCATGTGGATGGATTATGTATAAACCAGGGCAGGGACTAGGGTGAGGTAAGGGCATAGCATTGAAGGAGGCATTCATTCTCTTGCACGGCCCTGGAGCGAGTGTCTCCTTACATTTTGCACCTTAGTTCCCTCATTCAAGTCCCAGTCCCGGTGAAAACTAAAGTTTTTGTTTCATTCATTTGTTTATTCATTCAGTAAGTATATTAATCCAGTTGAATGGGTACATGGTACAGGTGGTCTTAGAGATAGGCCCCAATCGACACACTGGGAGGGTAGTTAATTTCCTCATTCAAGTAAAAACAGAAAATTGCTGTAAGAGAAGGCCAAATTAATCCTATGGACCACACATTGTATGATTCAATTTATATAAAATGTCCACAATAGACAAGTCTATAGAGACACAAAGTAGATTTTGGTTTCTTAAAGCTGGAGATGGTGGTAGGAGGAATTAGGCATGACTATTAATAAATATGGGGTTTCATTTTGGGGTGATGAAAATATTCCAAAATTGAGTGTGATGATGGTTGCACAACTAAAAACATTGAACTGTACACTTGGGTGAAGTGCACAGTATGTGAATTTGATCTCAATAAAACTTATTTTTAAAAAAGCATATGGTAGTTCACAGAGAGATTGCTTCCAGCTATAACCTAAGGAAAGGCTTCAAGGAAAAGATGGGTTCAAAGCTGAAGAATCTGACTCTATGGAAACAGAGTAAGAACATTTTTTTAGAGATGGGATCTCACTATGTTGCCCAGGCTGGACTCAAGTAACTGGGATTACAGGTGCACAGCAGTGTGCCAGGCTAAGAGTAAGAGCATTTTTGGCAGGGAGAAACAGGAGTAAACCAGGGAGGCAGGAAATTATAGGATGCATACAGGGGACAGTAAGTCATTCAGTTCACCTGGTGTGTGGGGCCCATGGTGGGGATGGTGTTATATTAAAGAAGGCCTTGAGCCAGGCATTCAGGAGGCTTGAAGTAGGAGGATCACTTGAGCTCAGGAGGTCAAGGCTGCAGTGAGCTATGATCATGCCTCTTCACTCCAGCCTGGGCAAAAGAGTGAGACCCTGTCTTATAAAAAATAAGAATTAATGAATTTAGAAGGTCTTGAATTCCAAGTGGAAGCACCCAGAATTTGAGCCATAAACAACCAAAGGATAGCCTGATCTGAGCTGAGCTTAATTTATATGCTGAAAGTATGAGAGACTAGTAGGGAAGAGACCAGAAATAAGGAGACTGCTAGAAGATTGTGCAACATCCCAGTTCATCCTCCACAAATGTGGAGGAAGCAGATACTAGCAGTGGTTACTAACTGTAAATTCTGGGATTGTAGAGACTGTGACCCATGCAGACAGCAAAGGCAGGGAGATGCAGCATGCAGCGCAGCATGGCACCGATACTGGCAGACACTTTAGTAGACTTAGGGACTTTAACTGCAGAGAAAATGTGAGGTTGCACTAAGAACTGTGAATCAGCCCTATGGGGCTGAAAATTGACAGCACTGGGATAAGTGGAACTGGAAAGAGAGCAGAAGTAGAAAAATAAAGTTCAGCCGGGCGCAGTGGCTTATGCCTGTAATCCCAGCACTTTGGGAGGTCAAGGCGGGCAGATCACCTGGGAGCAGGAGTTGGAGACTAGCCTGGCCAACATGGTGAGACCCCGTCTCTACTAAAAATACCAAAAAAAAATTAGCTGGGCATGGTGGCGCACGCCTGTAGTCCCAGCTACTCAGGAGGCTGAGACAGGAGAATCGCTTGAACCCGGGAGGCGGAGGTTGCAGTGAGCCAAGATTGCACCATTGCACTCCAGCCTGGGCAACAGGAGTGAAACACCATCTCAAAAAAAAAAAAAAAAAGAAAAAAGAAAGAAAAAGAAAGTTCAATTTATTGGGAAAAAAAGAGCCCTTTGGAAACAAGGAGGAAGAAGAAGTGTCGGCAAAGAAGCATTAGGAGGTTCAGGGTCAAAGAAGACAAGGAAAGCTTTGGCAAGAAGGGCAGATGGGGTGCAGAATTATGCTTCAATTCCAGAAAGGAAAGCACTGGGGTAGATACAAGGTTGGGGCTGGCAGAAGAGTAGCAGTTCAGAGATCATTAACACTTGATCCATTTAATTTCCCAGGTAACCAAAGACACCATGGAATATAATCTGCCTCCACTAAAGTGTACCTTTTGTACAATAAGGCAAAGAAAAAATAAGTACACACCTAAGCTCTAGACTTTTGTTCTATCCTCTCTGCATTTTCGGTGTGGATGAATACAACTTGGGAAGAAAGGAAAGAAGAACCAGCAGTTTTAAGCACTTACTATTTGCTCTGCAAAGTGTATTCATCAACATTGTTGCTTTCAATCTTAAAGCATGGATTGGAGACAGGCAGTATTACCCACACTTCATAGATGCAGAAATTAAATCTCAGGCTAAGGAGGAAGGAAAAGGGAGTTCACCAAATAAGCAGGAGCCTACCTGAAGCCTGATGCATCTGGTCCTAGAGCCAACCTTCCATTTCCCCCCAGCCCCCACCTGTTTAAGCTTCGAGGCCAGTGGGAGGAGGGAGGGGCCAGGCAGCTGAGGGCCAGGAAAGATGTGAAAAACTCTAGCTGGTGACCGAGAGGAGGAGTAGAGTGTGCCCTTAGTTCATATGAACTAGAGGGAGTTGGTATTTGCACAGCAGTCAGGGTCACATGAGTGATCATGGTACAGTGAGAAGTTCTCCCTCCCAGGGCCAGGTCACAGGGTTTGTTTCTGTTCAATCCGGATTCTTCCAGTAAAAGCTTCAACTTCCCACACTGAAGCTGAGAGCCTCCCAAAGTGCTGGCTACCTGCTGAGCGCCCCCGTAACTCTGACACAGTAGTAATTTGAGCCTCTGCAATTGCCGTCTGCTTCCTGTGAAAGTCCTTTCCGTGCCCACTGACCCTTGAGTGGGCCTTTGAGCTGCTGACTTTCAGCTGGAACTTGAAGGTAAGAATATGGCTTAAAAGAAATTCTGTACCTAACTCGTTAATTTATTTTTTAACCTTTAGCCACATAGGTGTGGCTTTACAGATGCATTTATTCAAACCAGAAAAGATCCTAAGAATCTGATAAAATAATATAAAAGAGTTTTGTTAACAGCCTCCAGCCTAAAAATTCAGACCTAGAAATTCAGGACCCCCCTCAAATCACCTCCAAAAGCTCTCTCTCCTGTAATACTATCTCTGTCTCCCACCCTGATCTTTTCCCAAATACCCTCCCTGTCCCATCCTCCTCCAGGGCCAGCTCAACTTCTCTGGCCAAGACTATTTCTTCTTCCATGACAGCCCTCCTCTTATGCCAGCCATTGACTAAGACACATGCTGGGCCTGCAAGGGGACTGAACCAGATCCTGTGCTCCAAGGGTCCAGACTTATAAGCAAGTAATTGTAGGACGTGGAGTAAGACCTATAAAATTTGCACACAAAATACTATAGGATCCCATGGAAAGGAGTGATTACTTCTGTTTACAGAGTCAGGGATGCCTCCACAAAGGAGGCCATAGTGATCTGGCCTGATATGATGAAAATGTCCCTGCTGGCTGCTCAAGGGGAAATGTATGTGTCTACATGCCTGACTCTCCAAGGGCAGGAACCATGTGCTGATGTGGCCCAGCAATGAGGGGCCTGGGGAGGGTGAGAAGGACTTGGGACTTCTCCTGTGGGAACTGGCAGATCCCTCTGCTCCCACTGCACTACCCAGCTGCCTCAATCTCTTGCTGCATCTCCTTCTCCCAGCTTTAGCCAGGTTCTATCACTCCCCGTGCAGGCCTCCAACAAGAGCAATACAGTGGGATCCATAGTTCACTGGACAGCCAAGCCCTTAACCGCCCTGGTCCTCAGCAGCAGCAGGTGCCCTTCCACACATGTTCACAGCTGTGCCCAGGCCCTCGGTCATCAGCTACCTGCCCAGAGCACAACGCCTACCACAGAGTTGGTCAATGTGTTGCGTGGATTATTCTCAGGGCATTAGTTCAAGGCCAGAGCCCTAAGCTCACATGTACACCTGCCTACAGGTGTACATTGGGAAGTCCCATAAATACATCAGACTCAACCCCAGAATTGGACTCACCATCCCCTCACCCCCACCCTATGGAGGACCTTCTCACTGTGTCCTTACATGGTCTTTCCTCCATGTGCACACATCCCTGGTGTTGCCTTGTGTGTCCTAATCTCCTCTCATTACAAGGATACCAGATTGGAATAGGTCTCATCCTAGCAGCCTCATTTTAACTTAATCACCTATTTAAAGACATTATCTCCAAATACAGCCACATGCTAATATACTATGAATTAGGACTTCAACATATGAACTTAGAGAGACACAATTCAAACCACGATAATGTCCGTCTTAGTCCATTTTATGTTGCTATAACAAAATACCTGAGGCTGGGTAATTTATAAATATAAGAGGTTTATTTTGAATCATGATTCTGGTGGCTGAAAAGTCCAAGAGCATGGTGCTGGCATCTGCTCAGCTTCTCGTGAGGGCCATGCTGCATCAAGACATGGTGAAGAAATAGAAAGGCAAGCAGGCATGTATAAAGGGACCAAACTCACCCACTTCTGGGAGATGGCATTAATCTACTCATGTGGAATCCACCCTTATGGCCCAAACACCTCTCACAAGACCCCGTGTCCTAGCACTGCCACACTGGCAGTTAAACTTCAACAGAGAGTTTTGGTGGGGACTAACCACATCCAAACCACAGCAGTATCCAAAAAGTGTTTTGTAGTTTTATGTTTATATATATGTATACTTTTTGTTCATAACTATGTATAAACAGTTTTCTATCACTATCACTGCCATAACAAATTATCAAAAATTTAGCAGCTTAAGACAATACAAGTTTATTATCTCACACCTCTGTAAGTCAGAAGTCCAAACAGGTGTCTCTGGGTAAAATCAAGGTGTTGGCAGGGCTGCGTTCCCTTCTGGAGGGTCTGAAGAAGAATCCCTTCCAAGCTCATTCTGGTTGTTGGCAGAATTCAGATTCATGTGGCTGTAGGATGGAGGTCCCATTTGCTTGTTGGCTGAGGTTCATTCTCAGCTTCTGGAGGTCATGCCTTGTCTTGTGTTCCCCTTTGTCTCTAAGCCATCAATGGCAAGTTGAGTCATTCTCATGCTTCCAAACTCTCCAGCCACTTCTTCTGCCACACGACTCTCTGACTGCTCTTCTACACCCTTGTCCACTTTTAAGTGCCCTTGTGGTCACATTAGACCCACCGGGATAATACAGGACATGCTCATTGCCTTAAGGTTCTTAACCTAAATTCCATCTGCAAAGCCCTTTGCCACACAATGTAATGTATTAGGAATTAGGACGTGGACATCTTTAGGGCCATTATTCTGCCTACAACAATATACATTTGAAAAAGACAGATAGAAATACATCAAAATAATAACAACTCTTGTGTGATAGATGTTTTCCTTGTACATTTGGACTGTTTCCAAAGTTTCTGCAATGTATAACTTTAAATTCACAATAAAAAAAAACAAGAGGCAATTTTTAAAGAAGGAACATAGGATTCGTATACAGATGTTGGCTGCGATCCTGGGCAAGTTATTGATCGTGTGACTCTCAGCTTCCTCACATTTATGAGGGTGATAATTATTCCTTCCTAATAAAATTGTCATATGAATTAAGAAAGAAAAAGAAAAGTCCACGAAGGACCTAACATAGAAGGCCTGCAAGAAATGTTTGTTCTTATCCCTCCTCTCCTGAATTTGATCATACCATTATCTCAGGAGTACTGTCCAAACTCCACCTTCTTTGATGTATTATAAATACAACTGCTTCTCATATTTGAAAATTTTCATAAATAATTTGTCTTTCGTTTTCCAAAAATTGTCTTCATCTTAAAGGGCTCAGCTCAATCTGGAAGCAGAAGCCACCATGAAAACTGCCCTCACTAATCTGGGCACCTAGTTTTCTCATCCATTCCATGAAGCAGCTGGGCCAGATTATTTTATTCAACCTCTAGCAAGCATGTACTGTTACATTTTCTGTAAGGACCCTTTCAGCTCCGAAGTTCTATCACTCATTTTCAGCAAAAGTTAAAATAAATTAATGTATACAAGGCCTCAGCCCAGCGTTGGCAAATTGACGTGTTCGATAAATGTTAGCTTTTAACTACTATTTCATTAGTAGTAGTAGTAATAAATGTCTTCTGGAACCCCAGTAGCCAGTTATCCTTGAGTAACAGTGATTTACATCTTCTGCTTTCTCCTTTTGGTGCATTTAAAAGTCTTCCCTCAATACAACAATGACAACACACACACACACACACACACACACACACACACACACACACACACACAATGCAAAACTGGGCAAAGCAGATATTTCTCCCACAAATGGCCAATAAGCATGAGAAGATGCTCAACATCATTAGACATTAGGGGAATGCAAATCAAAACCCCAATGAGCTATTTATCACCGCACAACCATTAGGATGGCTATTATCAAAACCAAAAAAACAAACAAAAAACACAAGAAACAACAAGTGTTGATGACAATTTGGAAAAACTGGAACCCTTGTGCACTGCTTGTAAAAATGTAAAATGGTGCAGCTGCTGTGGAAGATGCTGTAACATTTCCTCAAAATATTAAACATAGAATTACCAGATGATCTAGCAATTTCACTTCTGAGTATATACCAAAAAAAATTGAAAGCAATAATTCAAAGAGATATTTGTACATCGATGTTCACAGAGACCTAATTCATGACAGCCAAAAGTTTCCATCAATAGATGACTGGGTAAACAAAATATAGGCTGGGCACGGTGGCTCACGCCTGTAATCCCAACACTTTGGGAAGCCAAGGTGGGTGGATCACCTGAGGTCAGGAGCTCAAGACCAGCCTGGCCAACATGGCGAAACTCGGTCCCTACTAAAGTCACAAAAATTAGTCAGGCATGGTGGCGGGCACCTGTAATCCCAGCCACTCAGGAGGCTGAGGCATGAGAATCGCTTGAACCCTGGAGGCAGAGGTTGCAGTGAGCAGAGATCATGCCATTGCACTCCAGCCTGGATAAACAGAGTGAGACTCTGTCTCAAAAAAAAAAAAAAAAAAAAAAAAGGAAAGGTGTATATCTACAGTGAACTAGGGAAGGAAATCCCATCACATGCTACAACACGGATGAGCCTTGAAGAGATTAAGCTTTGGATCAAGCTTTCAATTAAGCATAAGATTAAGCTTAATTAATAAGACATTCACAAAAGGACAGATGTTATGTGATTCCACCTAAATAAGGTACATAGAGTCCATAGAGACAGAGAATAAAATGGTGGTTGCCAGGAGCTGAGGGAGGGGGAATGGGAATTATTGTTTAATAGATACAGAGTTTCTGTCTGGGATGATGAAAAAAATTCTAGAAAAGATGGTTATAATGGTTGCACAACAATGTGAATGTACTTAATGCCTCTGAACTGTACACCTAACGATGGTTAAAATGATCAATTTTATGTTATGTATATTTTACCACAACTTCTTTAAAAATCTCCTCTATTCTTTTCCCATAGGGACCCCAACCCTGAGACACTATGGCCCTGACCTCAGACCTGGGGAAACAGATAAAACTGAAAGAGGTGGAGGGGACCCTCCTGCAGCCTGCAACTGTGGACAACTGGAGCCAGATCCAGAGCTTCGAGGCCAAACCAGATGATCTCCTCATCTGCACCTACCCTAAAGCAGGTGATTGCAGGGTAGGAGGGACAGCAAAGACCTGCTGAGCCAGCACAGGCTCATCACTTAAGTTAGAATTCCCCTTCTTAGGAAACCTGCTCCTTCTTATTGTTCCACAATGGGTTTTGGAGCTCAGGGCTCACACAGGATGCCTGATATCCGAGTTTTCCAGGAAAGCTGCTATGCTCTACCATGCACTGGTCTTGGGTGGAGAGACCCTTGCCTGTGCTGCTCCACTCCCTACAGAGATCCAAAGTCCATCCCTCATGGACTTCTATCACTCATGGCAAACAGGATTCTGACCCAAGGGGAGGGTGATGCAAACACCAAGGCTCTACATCCTCTTCGTTTACTCGGGACTCTTCAGGGAAGATTGTCTAACAGATTTCTGCTTCTCATCCTTCCTTTCTGAGCCTCAGGGACAACGTGGATTCAGGAAATTGTGGATATGATTGAACAGAATGGGGACGTGGAGAAGTGCCAGCGAGCCATCATCCAACACCGCCATCCTTTCATTGAGTGGGCTCGGCCACCCCAACCTTCTGGTGAGAGCACCTCCCTCTTTCTCTCTTCCTGCTTTCTTTCCCTCTCTCTTCTGTTTTCCCCTGTCTTTTCTCACTTTTCTCCTCTTCTCTCCTCTCTCTCTCCCCCATCTCTCCTTCCTCTTCTCTTTCTCTCTCATTTTCACTGTCATATGTTTCTTCCTTTTATCTTCCTCTCATCCTCTGTCTACATATTATTTAAGATTTTTTACCAAAAGTGAATCACCAAATGAAAAGGATGTGTGCTAGGGTCAGATTCTGCCTTATTTTCTTCTTAAGCCCTCCCTCTGATCATGTGCAACTGTAGATCACATTGAAGATGTGAAAAACTGTAAGCCATTTATTCCTTCTTCTATCTGTACCCCAACCTGATAAAACCCAGTGCAGCCAGGAGGGTATCCAAGAATCGATAATTCACACACACATACACACACACACACACACACCCCATTGCATTTGGAACCAATTATTTCTGTTCAACAGAGAAGACTTTTCAGGTAATGCTCAACCTAGAAGTGTTTCTCTTCACATCAAAAAATAAAGAAAGCTAAAAAATATAACCAGAATGCTATATTTCAGGTAACTGGAGCTGCTGGAACTATTTTGCAAAACAAGGATAGGAGGAAGGCCTACTTCCCTAAGTTATAGCATTGCAGAGATCCATGTGATAGAAAGCTGGGAGCACAGTAGCTGAAGCTATGAAAATGTAGTTAATGCAGCTCTAGCATGAAGTCTAGACTTGGAGCAACTGTAGACAGAGGTCTGATAAATCCCTAAAAATGTCCTAAGATAGAAATTCCCTGATCTGATGCATACAAGACACTTGTAACCTGTGGAAGGAGGTGTCTCCAAGTCAGAATAGCCTTAAAGGATTTTGCTTTCCCCTATGATCCTACCATCCAGCCCCTCTGGCTCCTCTGGCTTTCGAAGAAGAGAAAATGGTCACTAGGTAGGTAACTACTCGCTTTGTAACCCAGTGCCTGTTCCCGCCCTGCTCTGAAATACCTGTGGGGCTCTGACCCCATAGACAGGCCAGCCTCTGCCTGCTTAACCATGATCTCACTCCATGTGCCATGAGGACCTGCTGTTTTGTGTGTGTCTGGTCTTCTGCTCCTTGAGCAGCAGGATGGTATAATAGTTAA
Source organism: Homo sapiens (assembly GCF_000001405.40). Lineage (NCBI taxonomy): Eukaryota > Metazoa > Chordata > Mammalia > Primates > Hominidae > Homo > Homo sapiens. Next base: position 108,295,494 of record NC_000002.12, read on the forward strand.
GGACTACCAGGGTTTAAATCCTGACTCCATCACTCACCTCACAACGTTTAAATCCTGACTCCGTCACTCACCTCACAATGTTTACATAACCTCTCTGTGTTACAGTTTCCTTAGCTGCAAAGTGTAGATAGAATCAAGGCCTATCTCAAAGAGTTGTTGTGAGCATTAACAAATTCAGTATAGGTAAAAAGCTTGAAGCAGTGCCTGACACTCAGAGGATACTATCTACGTGTTAGCTATCTTTACTAACCACTTCTCCAGGCCCCATGACCCCATGTGTTCCCTGATTATCTAAGACCAGCATTTTTTGTTTATTTAAAGATGGAGGCTAGCTCTGTCACCCAGGCTGGACTGCAGTGGTGCCATCATAGGTCACTGCAACCTGGAACTCCTGGGCTTAGGCAATCTTCCCACCTCAGACTCCTGAGTAGCTGGGACTACAGGTGAACACCGCCACACCTGGCAAATTTTTTGCTTGTAGAGATCGGGTTTCACTATGTTTCCCAGATTGGTCTCAAATACCTGGCTTCAAGCAATCCTCCTGCCTCGGCCTTCCAAGCCACTGGGATCACAAACATGAGCCACCACACCCAGCCCAAGAACGGCTTTTGATCTTTGTTCTACCTCCTGCCCCTGCCGCTGCCCAGTGTCTTACCTCTGGCAATTTGAGAGATTAAAGAAAGAGGAGAGGCCTAAGCAAGATTTCTAATGAAGTATTCTTAGCAGTAGAGAGCAGAGTGTTCAATCACTAAATCGGCATAAAAACCAGGATAGAGCTGTAGAATCCAGAGAAAGGATGGTAATCAAACGGCCAGCTTGGCATGTCATACAGAGGCACCCTGGCCTCTTTAGGAACCAAGGTGCCCTGTGTGAGAATAACAAACAGTCTCAGGCTTTATGATCTGCCCAGCCACAGACAGCTGAATGCTGGCTGGAGACTCAGCTGTGCAGTGGTCGTTTGTTTGGTTTTTTTTTTGAGACAAAGTCTGGCTCTGTTGCCCAGGCAGGAGTGCAATGGCATGGTCTTGGCTCACTGCAACCTCTGCCTCCCGGGTTCAAGCAATTCTCCTGCCTCAGCCTCCCAAGTAGCTGGAATTACAGGCACCTGCCAGCACGCCCAGCAAATTTTTGGTATTTTTAGTACAGTCAGGGTTTTACCATGTTGGCCAGGCTGGTCTCGAACTCCTGACCTCATGATATACCCGCCTCGGCCTCCCAAAGCACTGAGATTATAGGCGTAAGCCACCGTGCCCAGCCAGTGGTTTTCTTTCAGAGTAGATAATCCCTGCCAGTTGAGGTGAGGAGCATCACTGGGAGGAGACCAGTTGCTGACATAGACTCATGGCTGTCGGCCAAAGGTCTCAACCACCCTTGGAGCATTCTGGAGTGGTCAGACACTACTGGACAATGGATGAGCTTGTGCCCTGCATGGTCAGTCTCCCTTCCAGGCCCCCTTCTGCTCTCCCATCAACTCCCAGCCTTGTAGCCGTTCTGTGACAAAAGGGATTACATCTGTGACCCACAGAGAATTGGTTTGGAAAGACTTTGAAAAGACCTGTGTGCATGTGTATGCATATGCATGTGTGTGTGTGAACTGTATATAGGTGAAATCTAGGAATGATCCACTTAGTTTCAGCAAACATCTATGCTCAAGGGCCTATGCTGCTCATAAGACTTCACACCTACTTGCCCTCAATAAGTTATTGTCCCATGGAAGAAACCAATGCAGATGATATAACAACAAGCATGGAGGGCTACTGGCAGGGTGAGGGGAACATGGCCAATGAACCGTTCCTGGAGGTGACACCTGAAATGATAAACTGTTGTCATTACTAATTTTCTGCCTCTGTCTCCTGCCAGACTGCAAACTCTTTGATGGCAAGAAACAAGTTCTGTTTAACTTTGTACTCCCATGGGGCTGTTTCTACAGTATTGGCTGAATTGATTTATCCCTCACAGCCACATGCAATTTGGCTCAAATCCCAAGGCTAAAATCTTAGTGCAACTGACGAAGGCCAAAAATGACCCCGTTTGCCCCCTTCTTCCAAGCTAGTGGGCTTGGGAATGGGCCCTGCAGCCTGGGCTGTGTCATGCACACTCTCCACGCTGTGCTTCTCCACCCTGAGTCTGAGCAACCATCGTGGTATTCCTGGCGGGTGAGGCAACCCCATGGGGCTTTTCTGAATCATTGATGAGAGAGAGGTGGGGCGAGGGTGTGGGGGGGCAGAATGTACAATGTACCTATGTTCATAAAAGAAAACACTGGTCAACTGCTTTATGTCAAGCCCCGACTCCACAGTATCTCTCTCCTGTAGGGGTTTTTTGGCAGAAAAATTTGGAGTTAGAGCTGGACTGAGCCCACCAACAGGGCTGGATCAGGAGTAGGAGTGGGCCTTCTTATTTGTCATGGGCAGGAAGGATGACTGTGAGCCATCTAAGGACCATAATGACTGAGTACAGATTTCCCAATTAGAAGACTGGGTCTCTTTTAGGCATTAAGTGGTTACTGCCCACAGGGCATTAAATCAGGTGTAATAGGAAAGAGGAGAGCCGCGAGTACCAGGAAGGAAATCAACCAGCCTGCAGATCTCACTTTCTGGCAGATTCCCTGAATTTGCTCCCCAGCTTGGGATTGACAGTCCAACTCCATCCATAACCTTCCCTTCTGTCCTCTATGTCTGCTAAGGTTTCTTATAGCTTTCATCTCCGTTTCTCTACATTGTGCTTCTTTAGCTCTGCCACTATTTTTCTTTTCAGCTATATAAGCTCTGCTATTTAACCCTACTCATTGTAGGTTTTCATGTCCAAACACTATAAATCTTCCCAGTCTTTTTAGTAGTCTCTTGTTTCCTTGCTCATGTTTTCAACTTTCTCTTTTATTCCTTTGCACTTTTTTTTGAGACAGGGTCTCACTCTGTCACCCAGGCTAGAGTGCAGTAGTGCAAACACAGCTCACTGCAGCCTCAATCTCTCGAGCTCAAGCGATCCTCCCATCTCAGCCTCCCGAGTAAGTAGCTGGGACTACAGGTGCGTATCACCATGCCCAGCTAATTTTGGTATTTTTTTTTTTTAGAGACAGGATTTCACCATGTTGCCCAGGCTGGTCTCAAACTCCTGAGCTCAAGCAATCCACCTGCCTCAACCTCCCAAAGTGCCAAGATTACAGACGTGAGCCACTGCCCCTGGTCTTCTTTGCATATTTTAAACATAGTTATTTATATTCTCTATTAGGTACCCAATAACTGAGGTCACTAGGGGTTTAGTTCTTCCACCTGTTTTTTTTCTAGCTCTTGTTCATAGGGCTTTTCCCTCACTTGTTTTGTAATTTTGTATAAAAAGCTCTTTTCTCCCTGTCTTGATCTCACACCTACATTGGAACATTTCCAATCTAGAATAGTTTAAGTTAACTTCTGGTCCAAGCTGGTAGTATAATTTCATATCCATGCATGTAGTATGAAAACAGGATTGTGGTTATGAGCTCTCAAGAAAGCCTCTTTTTCTGCACCCAGAGGCGAGGCAAGGAAATTACCTTACCTCTCTTTGGCAGTAGGTGATCTTTTTCTCTCTCACCTTTCACTGAGGTAGCAGACATTTGAGTTTCTCCGGCTAATGCATGGGTCTCTGTTCCTAATCTGTGCCTCACTAAAGTCCAGGGCTACCAGCCTCTTCCCTGAGCAGAGGTCACTGAACTGAGCACTGGGTGTCCAGAGGGTGAACCCACTCAGGGCAGCTGTCATCAAAGCCTTTGCCCACTTCTCCATCTTGCAGCTCCCTCCCTCTTCACTTTCGTCCCTGGAGGGTCCCCTTATTTTCTTATGAGCCTGATTATGCACTTAAATGATACGTTTGGTGTTTTAATCAGAATCTGCAGGTGTGTGATTAACAGGAAAGATCTTCATAATGTTCAGGCCACCATGTCTCCAGCAGTGAAAGTACTTGGAGAGACCCTTGAAGAGTGAGTGGGACTGTCCAGATGTGTAGAAATGAGAGCCGGAGGGAGCCACAGGGGCGTGGGGCAGCAGGACCAGGGCATGTGGAAGGTCAGAGTGTGAGCTGGCGTAGAGGTGGAGCTGAGAAAAGAGACTAGAGGCAGGAGAGCTTTGCAGTTCTTCTAAGGAATATGGACTTCAAAAATGGTTAAAGGTGGTTTTCCAACTTTTCTTTTTAGTACCAAAACACTTTTTTATTTAACAAAAATTACCATGACTACATGATCCAGCAATTCCACTTCTGGGTATATATCCCAAAGAAATAAAAACAGGGTCTGAAACAGATACCTGTACATCTACATTCAAAATAACATTATTCACAATAGCCAAAAGGTGGCAACAACCCAAGTGTCCACCAATGGCTGAATTGATAAACAAGATGTGGATATACAATGGAACATTACTCAGTCTTAAAGAGGAAGGAGATTTTCTGCACTAACTTGACCCAGCTCCTCTGACATGATTCGCATGAGCCTCTGATTCCCACACTAGAGTGGAAGCTCCTTAGGGAGAAGGCCTGTGTTTTTCTTGTCTTTGTTGCCTTTTCCCCTAACCTCAGCTTAACACGATGATTGCACAAAGTGCTCGTTAAGGCTTTTAAATGAGAGAGTAGAGGCCGGGCACCGTGGCTCATGTCTGTAATCCCAGCACTTTGGGAGGCCAAGGCAGGTGGATCACGAGGTCACCAGATCGAGACCAGCCTGACCAACATGGTGAAACCCCGTCTCTACTAAAAATAGAAAAATTAGATGGGCGTGGTGGCCAAGCGCCTGTAATCCCAGCTACTCGGGAGGCTGAGGCAGGAGAACTGCTTGAACCTGGGAAGCGGAGGTTGCAGTGAGCCGAGATCGCACCACTGCACTCCAGCCTGGTGATGGACCAAGACTCCGTCTCAAAAAAAAAATGAGACAGTAGAAATCATGACTCACAGGCCAGCAAGTATACATGTTTTTAGAGATGAAACAAGTGATTGCAAACAGGCCGGGTACATGAGACAGCCTGCTGCAGGCACATGGGGGTCATCTCTGGCTGGCAGGAAGGTGAGGGAGTCCTCTCTTCTCTGGTCCTGGCTGACTCTGCCTCAGCAGGACTTCACTTGACCATTCTCACCTTCTGTCACCTCATCCTTAAAGTGACAGAGTAAATTAACTCTAAGGCCCCATCCAGGACTCAAGCTGTGTGATTTTACAAAAATGAAAATTATATTAATAATCCCATTGTAAAATCCCAAAAGAAAGTCAAGAGACTAGCAGAAAGACAGGTGGGTGATGGGATGTCCTGGACAGAGCCTGGATCATGAGGTCCCCATGTAGTGCTTGTACTACGCAGATGTTTCCTCTTGAGCTATTTTAAAGGTGTGGAAAAAGCCAAAGCAATGCCCTCTCCACGGATACTAAAGACTCACCTTTCCACTCAGCTGCTGCCACCGTCTTTCTGGGAAAACAACTGCAAGGTAAGATACCAACAGCTCCCTGTGACAGAAGGGAAAGTAAGCCAACCAAAGCGAGTCCTGCAGACCCCAACGCAGAGCATTCGTGATCACCTTTGCCTCTCCACTGTCTCTGATGCTTACCAGCAAAGAGAAAACATAAAGTTCTACATTCAGCAGGACATTCACCTGAACAGTTTCAAATAGGACATGAAGGCAGGATCCAGATTGAATGTTTGGAGGGAACTAGAGACATGGGGAGGCAGTGAGTGCAGTAAGCGTAGCTGTGAAATGAAGGGGAGAAGATGGTGGTCCCAGGCTGCAGGCCATGGGGAGGTTTTCTAACAGACCAGGGAGGGAAGAATGAGAGGAAAAAAGCTAAAGCTCTCCCCAAAGGAGGCCAGGCGCGGTGGCTCACGCCTGTAATCCCAGCACTTTGGGAGGCCGAGGCGGGTGGATCACAAAGTCAGGAGATCGAGAGCACGGTGAAACCCCGTCTCTACTAAAAATAAAAAAAAACTTAGCCGGGCGCGGTGGCGGGCGCCTGTAGTCCCAGCTACTCGGGAGGGTGAGGCAGGAGAATGGCGTGAACCCGGGAGGCGGAGCTTGCAGTGAGCCGAGATCACGCCACTGCACTCCAGCCTGGGCCACAGAGCGAGACTCCATCTCAAAAAAAAAGTTCTCCCCAAAGGGTAAACAGATGAATCAGGCAGAGCAACGCTCTTGAGGACACCCCACCTCTGCCTCTGGTAGACTCTGAGTTCTTCGTTTTATTTATTCTGTGACTTTATTCGTATGCACCCCAGTGCCTAATAAGTTCCTGGCACATAGAGGGCATTAGACACGTCCTTGCTGAGTAAATACGGAAGTGGCTGTAGAGCAGGTGGAGTCAAGGGTACAAACTGAGCCGCCAGCCTTGGTGAGAAAGTGGGGCACTGCTTCCTTAAAGGCAGGAATGAAGGGGAAAGAAGGGCTAAGAAAGATATGTTGCTAGGGGACTGGAGTGAAGTTGGAGGACTCAAATGACTTCACTCCTTTTAGTAATAATGTTGGATAAGGGGACAAAAACTTCCATTTCCAGAATTATGGCAAACTAGGTGTTCTGAACCCCTGAAGCCCTTATATGTAGAACATCCAGGATTACTGCATAAAAAAATCACAAGTTTCCTTTTAATGCATAACTGAGATCAAAATAAAGTCCCTAAGTTTAGAAACTGCAGAGGAAACTGAAACTCAGAGAGGCAAATTGAGACTGGGACTCTCCAGGGGAAATCTGATGACCTGGATAATCCAGCAATTTAAGTTTTAATGGCTGCACAGGGACAGGGTCAAAGCCCATGGCACAAGGAACCAGAAGAATGAGGAGCCAAAGCTGGGACCACTGAAGGGCTACATCCTCAATGGATGGGTGGAGGAGGCAGAGAAAGACCTTAGGGAACCACTCTGCCTTGACCTAGGCGCTCAGCTCCCTTGAGAATGTATAGCCACAGGTTTACTCCCTCGGGGTTTGAGATTGAAAATTGCACTCCTTGCATTGTCCAAGAAACTACAAGCAGAGACATTCCACAAGGTGGTCCCCACAGCCAGTGTTCCCAGGTCCGCTCTGGAGGGACACAGCTGCAACTCAGACCCCCATAGGATCCCCACTTGAGCTCACCATCCCACATTACAAAATACACAAAAGAACAAGCCACCATGAGATGCAGTCTTCAGAAAGAACCCATGGAAGAGTCAGACCTCAAGAACTTCAGACAATGTAATTATCAACTCTAGAAATAAGAGAAGGTTCAAGTTGTGTGAATAAATGAAAAAGTGTATCAAAAATAAAATAAAGAAATAAGATGCTACTTTTAGACACAGAAATATTAAGTAAATAAATGGAATTTCTATAACAAAAAAATATAAAATCATGGAAATTAAAAACTCAAGCATAGGATAAAGTGCAGAACAGCTGCATAGAGAATTAGTGAACTCAGACAGGAAGGTTTGAGGGTAAAGGTTTGAGGAGAGAGGAGAGACCTGTGTCTGGAGCTAAGAGCCAAGAGATGGAGCACGGGAGGGATTAATAAAAGGATTATCAAGCAGCAATGAAGAGGAAGAAAACTGAGCATAAAAAATTTAGAAACTAGGGGAATTTTTTAAATCAGCATTTCTTAAAACCTTCTTTACTGGTGCTTGGCAGCTTGGTAAGTTGGAGAAGAGAAGATGGGGAGTAGGACTTAGTAGACAGTAACAGAGTCAACGCTTTCAGGAGCAGGGTTTCTCAACCTTAGCACTTGCTCTAAAGGGCCTGGGACTTGATATAATCAGGCATGGCAAGACATGCAGGTACAGTGGTGACTGTCATAAGGAAGAAGTGTGTCCTCGCAGATACCTAGAACAGGAGGCATGGCATGTCACACAGAGCCTCACAGGGAAGCAATGGGATAGGTCAGGAGGAAGAGACAGTGAGTAGAAGACATGGGCAAGAGCCTTGATGTGGTTTCTTTGGGAAGGAATAGTTGAGGCAAGGTAGGCAGGCTTGGGATTGGCCAGTTTGAACCACTGGAGCAGGCTTTCAGCCACAGGGGCTTGGCCTAGTGGTCTGGTATCTGACCCTGGGGTGTCAGGGCAGGTGAATAATGGCCCAGTGTGTAAAAGCCCAACAGTGGAAGTGTTGGGGGTATAGGCTCTGGGGTGTTGTAGGCAGTTCCTCCAGAGTCAGCAAAGCCCCAGGATGTCAAAGCATCAGATACAGAATATAAAAGACATAATTAATACAGCACTCCTGACATTTGGGGCAGATTTTTCTTTCTTGTGGGTGGGAGCAAGGGGACTCTTCTATGTATTGTAGAATGTTGAACAGCATACTTGGCCCCTGCATGGATGCCAGTAGCACCACTACTCCAAGCTGTGCAACCAAAAATGTCTCCAGACATTGCCAAATGTCCCCTAGTGGATACAATCATCCCATCATCCCCAATTGAGAACCACTTAAAAGTGAAAGAATAAAAAAGCACAGCATTGAAATAGCTGGTCATAGATCTGAGATGCATAGTCAAGAGGCCCATTTGGCATTGATGCCATTAAAATGTGAACTGAGTACTGGATAAAAGGTCAGATTTGGTAAAATGAAAGGTTGGGAGAGTGCAGGGATGTGAAATTGTGGGCAAAGTGGAACTTGAAGGAATGTTTGTAGGGGCAGAGCTGAAATGATTAGAGATGGAAATCATTCAAGCCGAGGAGGCCAGGAGAAAAATAGGAGCTATTTTCTTGCTGTGTGGCTCAAACTCTTAAACATGAAGCTTCTGTGCATCTTTGGGAGGGTGCGCGAGGGGTCATCAGTTTACGTTGATACTGTGGAAGTCTCCTATTCAAGTGGCAGGTCATAGTTTACAGAAAAAGATTTTGCTCCTGATACCAAAGGGGCAATCAGGCAATCTAATCCTCACCAATCCCTAATTGATTAGCTAATTAAAAGGACTGAGTTTGAAGTAGAGAGCAGACTTGGTGACAAAGCAGAGACAGAAAGAAGAGGGAGGTCACAAGGCCAAGTCGCAGGGCCAGCACTGCAGAACTGAGCCAGAGTGCACAGCAACCCTCAGGATGGCTCTGCCTAAGGGAACTCTGTGAAAGTCCACTTTTTATACCATCTTTTACCCACCTCTTTTCTTACCCCAAAGTTCCTTTATGTAGCTCGAAATGCCAAAGACTGTATGGTTTCCTACTACCATTTCCAAAGGATGAACCACATGCTTCCTGACCCTGGTACCTGGGAAGAGTATTTTGAAACCTTCATCAATGGAAAAGGTACGGGAACATCCTTCACACCCTTGCATTCTCACTCCAGCTAGGCTGGGTCTAGGGAACCACAGGCAGCATTTTATCCCCTAGAATGCCTGTACTTCATCAGGTGTGTCCTACCACAGACTGGGACTGGGCAGAGCAAGCTGGCCACTGAGTGTATGCCCACAGCCCTCAGCAAACATCTTCCACCTGATTCAGAGTCTTTAATTACAGCCATCCTCTTCCAAAAGGTGTCCTTGTCCCTATGTGATTGCACATAATAGGAAGCCACTTTAGGGACGATGTTGGGGCAAGTAACCCTAAGGCTGTCCCCATCTACACCACCCTCAAAATCAAACAGATCAGAACCCTTAGGACATATCTAATACAGAATTTGGGTTTTCTCTCTCTAACTCACTTCAGGAAAATCCCTAATACTCAGAAGGTTTTGTGTGATGCCTATGTAGACTATTCTGTTTCCTGTGTCTATTTCAGTGGTTTGGGGTTCCTGGTTTGACCACGTGAAAGGATGGTGGGAGATGAAAGACAGACACCAGATTCTCTTCCTCTTCTATGAGGACATAAAGAGGGTGAGTGAAGGCTCTGCAGAAGAACCATTTTAAAGTGGTTCTTCAGGTGCAGAGAAATTCAAAGTTGTTTCAAAGGACATCCCAGAGAATTGTAGTATTTCTTTATGATACTCTCATTCATTCCAGTCCAATGTTACCCTTGCCGCAGGACCCAAAGCATGAAATTCGGAAGGTGATGCAGTTCATGGGAAAGAAGGTGGATGAAACAGTGCTAGATAAAATTGTCCAGGAGACGTCATTTGAGAAAATGAAAGAAAATCCCATGACAAATCGTTCTACAGTTTCCAAATCTATCTTGGACCAGTCAATTTCCTCCTTCATGAGAAAAGGTGTGTGGGGCCTCTTTATCATACATTCAGATTGTCTCGTAACATCCTGTCTGCCTCTTAGCAGACAATATTGAGTTTTATTAATTCCAAGCCAATGCATTTCAACTATTCCTAATATGTGTTTCTAATAAAACCAGGGATTTGATCCTGTTGTAGAAGAGAGCTTTCTAGGGTATTGTTCCAGTATTTGGTTGCAAGGAACAGAGAGTCCCTCAAGCTAGCCCCAAAGAAAGGGGCTTACTGTGAAGATTCACCATGGACAATAAAGGAAATGCAATCACATAGAAAACTAGGAAGAGGAGCCACCACTGGTCCAGACCTCCCAGGGGCCGCTGGATCTCAGGGTCCAGGACTCAGCAGCAGGAGGGATGTGTCTTTGCTCCAAAGCTCCACCACTTACAGGACTCAGCTGCTTTTCACATATCTATTAGGCATGGCTTCCTCTGCTAACCAGCTTCCGGTCTCTCCACCCATTACAACTTTCTCCCACTTTATAACTTCTGATGACTCAGTTTCTGCTCATAACTTGGTCTTGACCCTTACCCAAACCTGCTCTACTTCATGAGTTTCAACTACAACTACTGTTGAGAACTGCCTCATCCTCAGTATTTCTTAGTTCCAATTCCCAAAGGAGGAATTCTAACTGGCCCATCTAATATTTTTTAAGAAAAAACTTTATCACTTTCTAATTTAAAAAGCAAAACATGTCATTGTTAAATATTAAATTGGGCTGGGCAGATTGACTTATGCCCATAATCCCACGTTTTGGAAAGCTGAGGCATGAGGATTGCTTGAGGCTAGGAGTTCGAAACTAGACTGGGCAACACAGCAAGACCCCATCTCTACAAAAAAAAATTAATTAGCTGGGTGTGGTGATGCATCCCTGTATTCCCAGCTTCTCAGGAGGCTAAGGTGGGAGGAGCACTTGAGCCCAGGATTTTGAGAATGCAGTGAGCTAGGACCTTGCCACTGTACTCCAGCCTGGGTGACAGAGAAAGACACCAGCTTTTCTTAAAAAATAAACTAAATAGGCTGGGCATGATGGCTCACGCCTGTAATCCCAGCACTTTGGGAGGCCTAGGCAGGCAGATCACGAGGTCAAGAGATCAAGACCAACCTGGCCAACATGGTGAAACCCTGTCTCTACTAAAAATAAAAAAATTAGCTGGGCGTGGTGGTGCACGCCTGTAGTCCCAGCTATTCGGGAGGCTCATGCAGGAGAATCACTTGAACCCAGGAGGCAGAGGTTGCAGTGAGCCAAGATCATGCCACTGTACTCCAGCCTGGTGACAAAGTGAGACTGTCTCAATAAATAAATAAATAAATAAAATCAGTATAAAATTATATTTTTTAAAAGTCTCTCCACAAAAACTCCACCCCCAAGAAGTAACTACCAACAGTATGGAAGTCCCTTTCTCTCTCATTTATAACATACAGATTTTTTATTCACAACAGTGAAATCATGGTATACACACTGCTTTGAAACATCTTTTCTTCTTCCTCTTTGATTTTGCATGTGCTTGAATTTATGTTGTTGCATTTTCCAATCTACAACAGTATTCCATACCAATGAAACAAACCAAAATATTCTACCCCTTTTCTCTTTGGATAACCAGTGGTAATGATTTGTCAAGGTGCCCTTCTTCAGGCTCATACATAACCATCTTTCTATACACCCTCCTTCTTCAGACTCACACAGACACAAAGATATGTAACCATAATGAAAGCTTGCTCCCTAAAATGCAGAATGGGGTCATATTTTATACCTTTACTTACCAGGATATGAGAAACCCCTCTAGGGCAAGGCATATAGACTCATACACCTCATTGATTTCTTTGGTCCCATGTTATACCAAGCGAAGGATGCATCATAATTCATCCAACTATTCCCTTAATGATAGACACTATAGTTATTATTGTTTTCAATGTTTGTTTTTATGCATAATGTTACAGTAAATATCTTTGTGCATAAATTATTTCCAGATGCTTTTATTTCTGTTGCATAATTTTCTGGAAGAGGTATTGGTGGGGAAAAGAGAATTTCCCCTGTTTAAAATTAGTTTAAGTTGTTGTTTGGTGAAAAATATTATCTCATTCATATTTTTCCAAAATAGTTTTTTATTGAGATATAATCAAAATACCAAAAATGCACAGATCTTAAGTATACAGTTCAACCCATTTTAATAAATGTATATACCCACACCACCCGCACCCCAATCAAGATATGAAACATTTTCATTACCCCAGAAAGTTCCCTCTTGTGCCCTTTTCAGTCAATGTCTACCTCCAGGGACAACCGTTTTTCCAATTTCTATTACTCTAGATTGATTTTGCCTGTTGCTGGACTTCACGTAAATGGAATTTCACAGTATTTACTTTCCTGTGTCTCGTGTCTTTTGCTCAACATAATGTTTTGAGATTCCTCCATGTGGTTGTGTGTCTGTAGTTCATCATTCTTTTATGTCTATGTAGTAATCCATCAGGTAAATACACTACAGGTGGGGCCAGGTCATGCAGGCCACTAGCTGCCTTGGGTCAGTTGTCCAGCTGACTTAGAAGTCCATCCCCCTGCACAGAGTCCCCTAGGCCTGCTTCTTATAGGAGAGCTGCTCATGGACAGGTGTCCACTGAAGGGGGAGTTGGGTGAGTCAGGTATGTGGACAGGCCAGATTCAGTATGGGCACTACACCACTTTACTCAGGGACACCACATCTTTCAATCAGAGTGACACTCCTGTCTGGCCTTCCTTTTTCTAGGAACTGTGGGGGATTGGAAAAACCACTTCACTGTTGCCCAGAATGAGAGGTTTGATGAAATCTATAGAAGAAAGATGGAAGGAACCTCCATAAACTTCTGCATGGAACTCTGAGCAAGATGTAAATAAAATTAAAAGGTGGATGGCAAGAGTGCAAATACTATCTTCAATCCTTCAGTCCCAGCCAGAAGAATCTCTGAAAGCATATTGTGAATGTATACAATGTAGTACAAACAATCTCTGTGATGATTAACAGTATGTCACCACTTCATTTTTTAAAAAGGATCACGTCTAATGCCCATTTTCCCAACTATTCTTTCCAAAGTAAGATATAAGGTAGCTTAATAAACTAAGTAAAACGTATGACTTGAGTACAAAAGGATTGTTTTAATCCCCATTATTCTGGAAAGTGCATCCTAGTCTCCCAGTCTATAACATCATAATACCTTGAGTATAAGTCCAAATATTAGGTTATATCTATATTAAAAACAAAATTTCTGTCATCTGTCCTGGCCATTCAGGCAACTCCAGCCTGGGCTCAATCCTGGAGTTCTGTCTGGTCACTATCAGAAGGAACACTTTGAGGGAAACCCTGGTGCAGCCAGCCCTGAGGAAACATGGCCTGAGTGCCCTCACTGGTGGGTGGGAATAAAATGGAAGTGCACAGAGGAGATGTCAGAAGACCAAAACTTGGTGAATAGTCCCAGTGCTAGGTCATATAGGAAACAGAAAGCATGACAGTGGCCTTTTGGGAACCCAAGTTACGTCCTGGTGAAAGCAGAAAGGAGGAGACAGGATGGCTGTCAACAACGTCAGCATGGGCATGGCTCCCAGGCATGGAGGTAATTGGGTCTTGGCTTCAATGCCACCCTTTTGGGAAGCCCTAAACCAAGTGAGGTGTTCTTTTCCCTTGCTTCCCATATTTGTCCCAGTTGCAGCCCTGTTGTTATGTATTTACTCTTCAATTTCTTATTTATACCTCTCACTCAATTGTTAATTCTTTGGGTTCAGTCTCATGCCATATTTACTCCTAGTACCTAATGCAGTGCCTGGCACACAGCAAGTGCCCTTGAGAACTTGTAGAGGGAGTAAAAAAGTGCATGGATAAATGACTGCAGCAAATCACAAATTTTGAACTTTGACCCTTTTCTTTTAGTCCCAAATAGTGGCATTCCATAGCTGAGGGTAGTAGGAGCAGTTCACCCTGGGAGCAGACAATAAGAGGAAGAATGAAGCCAACTAAAATTCTGAATGCTTTTTGTTGGATTTCGTAGGGTATTTTTTTTAAAATAGGGTCTTGCTATGTTGCCCAGGCTGGTCTTAACTGACTGCTTTTTATTATTACCATGCACTGGCAATTCCAAACAATGTCAGTGTTAAAATGCTTCTCCCTGAAAAAGAGAAAAAAAAAAGGAAAAAAAGAAAAGAAAAGTGAAAAGAAAAACTCTTATTGGCCTAAGTTCTAAATAATAGCTAGGTTACCACTGAGTTTTAACTATATGTATATGAGCTTCAAATAAGCACCTTTTTATTATGTAAATAAATAAAAGTTATCTGTATCCCCACTGCATTGTAAAATTTTTGTTGTTTTGTTTCATGTCTTATTCACCTTTGTATGGAAATTAATTCAGAAACCCCAAGCATAGAGTCTACCTCTTTAATTCCAGCAGGCAGATGTAGTTCTGCCTGCTTCCTTCCAAGGTTAAGTTCATAACAGTTCAGAATCTTGCAAGCTCACTTCAGGTATAACCTGTGTCTCCAACCCTGCAGTATTTGGATATTGCTGTTTAAACAGTAGATTTGGCATAGATGATGGTGGCACAATGGTTGTAAAGGAAAAGAAGCAGAACACCTCAGTTTGTTCAATTCTCTCATTGGGGTTTTCAGTTGTATCCAGAATTTAAAACAGTAAAATTTAAGAGTGTGAACAGCAACATTCACACTTTGTTTAGTAAGTACAAAGTTGTGCTCATACAGGAAGTTTACTGACTTTGAATAATAACTTTAAAAACAAAATTTACTCTTTTCTAAGTGTTAATTATTTGTTTTAAAATTTAAGAATGAATCAAGAAATAAAACATTACACCAGTGGTATGATTTAGTAATTGTCTGACTTATACTTTTTGTAGACATTTTAGTTTTATTTAAATTGGCATTCTGATTTTTTTACTGGTCTTGAGTCTATACACAAAAGTTGAATAAAAGAAAAGTTTCACTGACTACATTTCTTTACTATTATTATTACTTGTCTCTATTCATGATCAACACTGAAAATAATTTTGTTGTATACGGAAGTAATGTTGATATGGTTAGGCTGTGTCCCCACCCAAATTTCATCTTGAATTGTAGCTCCTATAATTCCCTCATGTTGTGGGAGGGACCCCGTGGGAGATCATTGAATCATTGAGGTGGTTTTCCCCATACTGTTCTCATGGTAGTGAATAAGATGTGATGATTTTATAAGGGGTTTCCTCTTTCACTTGGCTCTCATTATCTCTTGTCTGTCACCAGGTAAGACATGCCTTTTCACCTTCTGCCATGAATATGAGGCCTCCTCAGCCACATGGAACTGTAAGTCCATTAAACCTCTTTTTCTTTATAATTTACCCAGTCTTGGGTATGTCTTTATCAGCAGTGTGAAAATAGACTAATAAAGTAAACTGATACTGGTAGAGTGGGGTGCTGCCATAAAGATACCCAAAAATGTGGAAGTTGCTTTGGAACCTGGTAACAGGCAGAGGTTGGAACAGTTTGGAGGGCTCAGAAGAAGACAGGAAAATGTGGGAAAGTTTGGGACTTCCCAGAGACTTGTTGAATGGCTTTGACCAAAGTGCTTATAATAATATGGACAATGAAATCCATGCTGAGGTGGTCTCAGATGGAGATGAGGAACTTGTTGGGAACTGGAGTAAAGGTGACCCTTGCTATGTTTTAGGAAAGAGAATGGTGTCATTTTTTCCACGCCCTAGAGATTTGTGGAACTTTGAACTTGAGGGAGATGATTTAGGGTATCTAGTGAAATAAATTTCTAAGCAGGAAAGCATTCAAGAGGTGACTTGGGTGCTGTTAAGAGCATTCCATTTTAAAAGGAAAACACAGCATAAAAGTTCAGAAAATTTGCAGCCTGACAATTCACTAGAAAAGAAAAACCCATTTTCTAGGGAGAATTTCAAACCAGCTACAGAAATTTGCGTAAATAACAAGGAGCCAAATCTTAATCACCAAGACAATGGGGAAAATATCTCCAGGCCATGTCAGAGACCTTCATGGCAGCCCCTCCCATCATAGGCCCAGAGGCCTAGGAGGAAAAGATGGTTCCATGGGCTGGGCCCAGGGCCTTCCCTGCTGTGTGCACCCTAGGGACTTGGTGTCCTGTATCTCAGCCACTCCGGCCATGGCTGAAAGAGGCCAACGTAGAGCTCAGGCCATGGCTTCAGAGGGTGCAAGCCCCAAGCCTTGGCAGCTTCCATGTGGCATTGAGCCTGCAGGTGCATGGAAGTCAATAACTGAGGTTTGGGAACCTCCACCTAGATTTCAGAGGATGTATGGAAATGCCTGGATGTCCAGGCAGAAGTTTGCTGCAGGGGAGGGCTCCTCATGGAGAACCACCTCTAGGCCAGTGCAGAAGAGAAATGTGGGGTTGAAGCCCCCACAAAGAGTCCCCACTGGGACACTGCCTAGTGGAACCATGAGAAGAGGGCCACCATCCTCCAGACCCTAGAATGGTAGGTCCACCGACAGCTTGCACAGTGCACCTGGAAAAACCACAGGAACTCAATGTCAGCCTGTGAAAGCAGCCTGGAGGGAGGCTGTACCCTGCAAAGCCAAAGGGGCAGAGCTGCCCAAGACCACGGGAACCCACCTCTTGCATCAGAGTGACCTGGATGTGAACATGTAGTCAAAGGAGACCATTTTGGAGCTTTAAGATTTGACTGCCCCACTGGATTTCAGACTTGCATGCAGCCTATAGCCCCTTTGTTTTAGCCAATTTCTCCAATTTGGAATGGCTATATTTACCCAATGCCTGTACCCCTACTGTAGCTAGGAAGTAACTAACTTGCTTTTGATTTTAAGGCTCATGGGTGAAAGGTACTTGCCTTGTCTCAGATGAGGCTTTGGACTATGGACTTTTGAGTTAATGCTGAAATGAGTTAAGACTTTGGGGAACTGTTGGGAAGGCATGATTGGTTTTGAAATGTGAGGACATGAGATATGGGAGGGGGCAGGGGAGGAATGATATGGTTTGGCTGTGTCCTCACATAAATCTCACCTTGAATTGTAGCTCCCATAATTCCCACGTGTTGGGGGGAGGGGACTGGTGGGAGATAATTGAATCATGGTGCAGTTCCCCCATACCATTCTCTTGGTAGTGAATATGCCTCATGAGATCTGATGATTTTATTAGGGGTTTCCCCTTTCAATTGGCTCTCATTTTCTCTTGTCTGCTGCCACGTAAGACATGCCTTTCACCTTCCACCATGCTTGTGAATCCTCCCGCCTCAGTTTCCCAAAGCACTGGGATTACAGGCATGAGCCACTGTGCCTGGTCTTTTTCATTTTAATTGCAGACACAGTTCTTTAGTACTTGCATGCTTGTGAGGCCTCCAAAGCCATGTGGAAATGTAAGTCCATTGAACTCTTTTCTTTATAATTTACCCAGTCTTGGGTATGTCTTTATCAGCAGCATGAAAATGGACTAATATAAAGATAGTTAAAAAAAAAAAAAAACATTCACTCCAGGGTCAGCTATGATCCCAAATGATAAAATGAGTTCTGACTTTTAATTGGTTGGTTGGTTGGTGGGTTGGTGGTTGGTTGGTTGATTGGTTGGTCCTGTTAAAGAAAAAATTATTCAATGACACTTATTAAAGCACAGTAGGGCAGATTTTAGTCAGGACCATCTCCATAGGTGTAGGGACCATGGCAATGGAGTCTGGCAGTGGAAGAGATTGTGTTCGACTCTTAATATAACGTGGGCAAGTGGGAATTTATAGCCATGCAGAAGGGTGGAGAAGGAGGGATAGAAAATCCCTAAGAGGAAACATCATCGGTAAGGAAAGGGATGGGTTCTGGCTACAGTGATCCAACAGGATTCTTGCTAAAGATAGGCCAGGGTGATTAGATATTACCTGGGTGGTGGTGGAGGATGAAGAACCTGATCAGATGTTGGGGGTAGGGAGTTCCTGCTATATTGACTTAATAGTTTTCTTGCAAAAACTGGATTTTTCAAAGAATTACACAGAGGGGTATAGGAGATATGTTAAGAACCTTACTAAAGTTTGGTCAAGAAAATAATCTTTGTCATTTGGTTTAAACTCTTTCTGCTTCCTTTTCTTCACTAGCTAGGACCTAAACATGCCGACTTTGAGGTTTAGTATTTCAAAGAGCTTTGAAGTTTAATGCTGTGAGATTACATGGGACTGTGAGTTTTTCAAACACCCACAAATCACATTTAAATTCAGGCTTCCAACAACCAGTAGAAACTACATGGCAACTGGAACACGTTAGAATCAGGGTCAAGAATGAAAAGCCACCATGATGGTAAAGCACAGTGTTTTGCAACTCGACCAGTTGTCCACAACTCAAGCAAGGAGGGACCAATCTAACAAGAACAGAGATGCAAGAAATAGAACTAGCCCCAGGAAATTCAGTATTCAAGCTAAGATGCAAAGAGCCCTAGCACACCCTCTCCCCACATATACCTGCACCATAAGTATGTACCAACAGCTAAAAAGAAATGATTTTATGTTTCTTTCCTCTTAAGAGTTACAGCCATTCTTCATTCAGTCATTCATTCATTCTCAATAGTACACGTACTATGTGCCAGGTACTGTGTGAATGATGGGGATACAGTGGTGAGCAAAGCCCTTCCCCTATGGATTTCATGGTCTAGCATGTGAAGCAAAAGTCCACTAAGTCGTGACACATGTCACCAACCGAGGAGAGTGCCATGTGAGATGGTTTCAGGCTTCGAGAGGCCAGAGCAGATCAGCTGAGACTGGGGCCTGAGGCACAGCTTTCCTGAGAGGACATGGTCCTTCCTAGGTGTGAAGCATGTGCTGGCTTTAACTAGGCAAGAGACTGGGCAGAGAGAAGGAGACCCAGGAGCAGGCTTGGTGAGGCGGGCCTGTCTCAGGGCAAGAAGGAAGGGCTATGAGGGGAAGAGCTACAAGCTCAGGGAGAACTGACAAAATGGGGCCCCAAAGAGAGCCGGGCATGTCACATGGGGCCTTGATGGTCATGGCAGAATGTTAGACTTTATCCTAGGAGCATCAGGAAGCCCCTGCAGGCTCCAAGATAGATGGTGAAACACTCAGACTACCATGTCAATATGTCTACTGTGTCTGTGCCATACACACAGCACAAGGGTGGGAGCCACACTGTTCCAGTTGAGAGGGCTGGGAATTGTTCATGGGTGTGGAGACTTCCAGGGTTAAGGGTTAAGGGAACCTCCTCCCTCAGCCTCTCACACCTGGTTACAAAAGCAGGAAGTAGAATTTCAGGTTGACCAGCAGGATACTCACTCCTTATTAAAAAAAAAAAAAAATTTAAGACAAAGTCTCACTCTGTTGCCCAGGCTGGAGTGTAGTGTCACAATCGTGGCTCACTGCAGCCTCAACCTCCTAGGTTCAAGCAATCCTCCCAGCTCAGCATCCTGAGTTGCTAGCACCACAGATGTGTACCATCATACCTGGCTAATTTTTATTTCTTACTCTTTGTAGAGACGGGGTCTCACTATGTTGCCCAGGCTGGTCTAAAACTCCTGGCCTCAAACAATCCTGCCACCTTGGTTTCCCAAAGCACTGGGATTACAGGCATGGGACACTGTGCCTGGTCTTTTTCATTTTAATTGCAGACACGGTTCTTTAGTGCCTAGTATACTCTTTAAGTACCACTGGAGATTCATGACAAGAGGAAGAGTAATAGGAAAAGATTAAGATGACCAAGCCTCAGATCAGCAAGCAAACTATCAGAGATTCACAGATCTCTCTGAAAAGAAAAATGTGGCCTGAGACATTTAACAGATTCTCTATCAGGAGTGTTTCTCATATGCAGCAATATATCTGACCCAAAGGACACAATTTAGTTAATGTCTTAATAATACAGAAGTAGACTCACCCAAGCAGGTTGCTGCAAGTCAGAGATCTCAGAGATTAGCCCAATGCTGGTCAGGTTGTCAAGTGTTTGTCAGAGTGACTGGTGTGGTATTCTCCACTCTGCCTGTGGCAGGCCAGGTCTCATTAACAGCTGAAGAGGCAGGCCTCCATAACAACTGTTTCAGCACTGACTGAGTGGTTAAATATTAAAAGCTGAAAGAACCAGTGCCCTTATACAAAGGCTGGAATGTAACAAAAGCCCACAAAGAGTTTTGCCTGGGCCTTTCCTGGGCCTTGACAGGAATGACAAATAATGAAGGAATTCTTAACAGGACCCATAAAGATTAAACAAGTTTTTATTGGGGGTCTAAAGAAACTCCCCAGACCTCCACAAACAAGTTTTATTGTGGGTCTAAAGGAACTCCATAAACCTCCATAATTTAGCAGGAGACAAGATAAGGGTAATTACCCTAGCACCTGGACCCATCTAGATTAAGTAAATTTACTGAGGCTCCAGAGGAAGGTCTTCTTCGAAACTCAGACCGTAACTATAGATTAGAAGACGTTAATCACTTATGTCTTTGGATGAATACACACTTAAATGTAAACATATAGCTTAGAAGGTATATAATCCCTGAAAAACTGTAATTTTGAGCTGATCTGGCAATATTTTCCAGGCCTTCTCCTTGTACCCAGTTACAGAATTAAACTCTCTTCTTTCCTAGTTCATCTGCATCTCGTTACTGGGCCGTGAGAATAAGCAGCCTGACCCTCGGTTTGGTCTGGGAACATGCCTAGTCAAGGGCATCAATAGGGTCACAGAATAGAGATTGGTCTGTGGCCATTCAGCCTTGCCCTTTCCTGCCTCTCTTCACCCAGCCACACCTTTCCCTCTCCTTCTTCCCACCTCTCCCACTCATCAAAGGACGAGCTGGCCAATCATTTCGAAACGGGGAATACTAAAAACACAGGGGAAGTGCAGATAACTTCTAGCATTTCCTGTCCCCTCAAGAGGATACTTAACATAGATTTTCAACAAAAGAATACCATGGCCTAACTATGTGAGGTATTAATGAAGGTCAATTTATAAAAAAGAAGGAGGAAAGCTGTGCTTGCTTTCTCAGCAGGGAAGCCTATGGACTGAGCCAGGTCTGAGTTCTGTGCGCAGGCTGCCTGGATCTAAACTAGGCGCTGTTAGCAGTGCGCTGCAGGAGTGAGACTGACCTCACCAACTGTGTAGGAGCTGGGTGAGGCCTCTCGCTACCGGCTATCCCCCACTCCCCCGACGAATTCTGCTGCACAGCAGAGAAAGCCATACTCCCCTCTGGATCATAATCCCATTAGCCTGAGAACCACCCCTGCATCCCCCACAGTGGCCGCGGCAAGCCCCGCCCAAAAGCTCAGACCCGCCTAACCCTGCCCCTAACCGATGGTATTTCTCTACTGGCCCTGGTAGCATAACACAAAAGACATAAACTCTTGGGAGCTTTATGGTCCCACCCATCAGCTGAGAACAAGAATACTTACCCTGGTCAACTTAGAGCAAGCTTATGTCCCACTACTACTACTGCAGCAGGAGCTCTCTTGCAAATTCCACCTCAGGGCTGGAAGCCATTCAACTCAGACCATTACAGCAACCCTTGGCAGAAAAACACTGCTGCCAGGAAGAAGAAAACAACAGCTAACACCACTGCCTGCAACACCCTGGTCCTGAGTCTGCCCACATGACAACTTCACTGCTAGCATAACCAACATTTGAGAAAGCCTGCACACTAAACGTATTCTACAGCCAAGGAATCTCAGAGTCTACATCACTTCCCTGCCACTTCCACCCCTGCAGGTGCTGGTATCCACTGCTGGGAGACCTCAATATGGGTCGCATCACGGGACTCTTTGTAGATATTCCCCAGCACCAGACAAGAGCCTGGTAGCCCCGCTGAGTGGCTAGACCCAGAAGAGCAGTAATAATCACTGAAGTCCAGCTCTCAGGGGAAGGGGGAGAACACCACATCAAGTGATCACCTCATGGGACAAAAGAATCTGCACAGCAGGCCTTGAGTTCCAGATCCTTCTGCTGGTGGGAAGTTTCTCACATCAGAGACACAGCTGCAGTGCTGGGCACAACAGGTAAAGTTTAGGTGAGCAAGATCAACAATATCACAAATACCGAGATGAAGAGAATTGAAATAACTTTTCCCAGATTTGTTTTCCTTGCTTTCCCTTGTTCTCTCCCCCAAATCCCCTAATGACTACTTGTTGCCCTTCCCCACTCAACAGAACCCAGAACATGAAGTTCAAAAGGATAATGGAATTTATGGGGAATAAACTAGATGAAGATCCTGTCAAAAGAATTGTTCAGCACACATCTTTTGAAAGTAAGAAGAAAAACCAGATGACCAACTATGTAATGATAACCTGTGACATCATGGACCACTCCATCTCCCCATTTATGAGGAAAGCTGCCTGCCAACCATCATGAATTTCCTTGAGAACCATATTATTACATAATTAGTATTTTGGGAAAGAATATTAATACGTTTTTTCCTTTTTATTCATTTTTTTAAAAGATAGAAACTCACTGTCACCCAGGATGGAGTGCAGTGGTGCAATCACAGCTCACTGCAACCTTCAATTCCTGTGTTAAAGCAATCCTCCCACCTCCAGCCTCCCAAGTAGCTGAGACCACAGGTACACACCACCATGCCCAGCTAAATTTTTTATTTTTTGTATAGACAGGGTCTCACTGTGTTGCCCAGGCTGGTCTTGAACTTCTGGGCTCAAGCAATTCTCCCACCTTGACCTCCAAAGTGCTTGGATTTCAGGCATGAGCCACCATGACGAGCCTTATTACCTTTTTAACTAACATGATGCTGCCAATAATTCTGAGGTTTTCTCAAAATATTAATACGTCTTTGAAAGAAAATAGACTGTGATGTGTACCTGTAATACGAATTCATACTTTTTAATTATCTCTAAAGTTTCACTTTATGGAAAAAGCATTCAGAATAGACTTCCCGTCCAATCTCTCAAGCACGATTGCATTGCTTTTCAGGGACCGTTGGAGAGTGGAAGGATTACTTCTCAGCAGCACAGAATAAGAGATTTGATGAAGACTAGGGAGGAAAATGGCTGACTCTTCTCTGACCTTCCACACGGAGCTCTAAAGAGAGAGAGACAAAGTCTATACTACACAGGGGCACTTTTATTACCTTGTCTTCCAGTTTTTATTCCCCTTGTCACTGCTTTTCCCTAGAAATGACTTCCTGAGCTTGCTCAAATTGTTCAGGCAAGAACTGTAAATTACCCTTTCCTCTCTGCATGCCCCCGGAAAATAAAATTGTTTTGTTAGCTAAGGAGCTGGGTTCAACATTCTTCACAAACTGACTGAATAGTTGTAACAGAAACTGTGGAACCTTGTCAAAAGTCTGGTGGTTCAGTCTCCAAACCAAAGTTTAGAGGTCCTGAGGCCACACTGAAAGTTTAGAGGTCCTGAGGTCAGCTGGCCACGTTCTTCCACCCGTCACCTGGGCCTGTCCTTCCCAGGAAGAGCATCTTCTCTGATGGGCGCTTGGCAGGAGAACCACCCGACAGCTTTGCTAAAGTTTTCTGAGAGCTAAACCAGTCTAAGACTTTGCCTACCCAGTCTTCCTTCCTTCCCTCTTTCCTGCCCTTCTCCACAAGGGTTACTACTACACCAGGCTCTGACAGCCCTGCTCATTTATCCCTCACAAGCGTTGTCCCTCAATAAATCTCTTACTCTTACTCTATCTCAGTGATAGGCCAAGCATCTGTCTATCACTGAAAAGGGAGCAATATTCTCCCTTTGTTAGAGTGACCATTATATTTATGATTTACTGTTAAATTCAGATGTGCAAATACTAGGTTGAGTCATGTGAAATTGGTATCAAAAAAGAAAGCAAACATTCAAGAATCACAGAGGCAGCAACTTCAGAAAGATGAGAATTACTGAAATAGGATCTTGGAGGAGGGGTGTGTGGAGAAAACCCTCGCCCCTGGGGAAGGAGCACAACTTGGCCAGGTCTCTGTCCCTGAGGACACTGTGAAGACGCTGACTCTGAAGTGATCTGCACACTGGACTCTGCTGCTGCTACAGGAAGTGAATTATCTCAGGGGTACCACTCGCTGGAGCAAGAAGGCAGCAAAGGGAGCGAGTCCCTACTCCTCCTCTTGTCTGTCAGTCTCCCTGTGAGCAGAGACTCAGAGAAGACACACCAGCTGGCCCAGTGGAAACACAGATGGCACAGTCCCAGCCCAGCATCTCAAAGAAAACCTGAGACACGTGAACTAGGACATGAGAGGCAATAACTTCATGAACAGGCCAGCCAATATCTGACCTTTTTAAGCTCAAAAATGGCCATTTCAAATAGTTCAACCTAATACGTGTGTTTGTGTGTAAATATAAATGTATATATGTAAATATAAAATATATTTTCATGTGAAAAAAAAAAAAAAAACCTAGGCCGGGCACAGTGGCTCATACCTGTAATCCCAGCATTTTGGGAGGCCGAGGCAGGTGGATCACCTGAGATCAGGAGTTCGAGACCAGCCTGTCCAACATGGTGAAACCTCGTCTCTACTAAAAATACAAAGTAAGCTGGGCGTGGTGGCGCATGCCTGTAATCCCAGCTACCCGGGAGGCTGAGGCAGGAGAATCGCTTGAATCTGGGAGGTGGAGGTTGCAGTGAGCCGAGATCGTGCCATTGCACTCCAGCCTGGGCAAAAAGAGTGAAACTCCATCTCAAAAAAAAATAAAAAATAAAAAATAAATAAAAATCTAAACTTACCTAAAATAAATAAATCAATAGACTTACTATTTTGGCAAACACTCCCTCTCCTCCTTCTGCTGGAGACTCCAGGTGGCAGGTCTTCTCTGAAGTCTCAAAGCCCCTGCAAGGGCTCTCAGGAGCAGCGGTAGTGACTGCAGCTGAGGCTGCGAGATGACTGAGAGTGGGATGCCACGGTGGCTATTGTGAGCTTGGTAGAATTCCCTCCATCTGACCAACTGAGGCAATGTTTCTCTGATGGCCTTTATAATGGTTTGTTTGAAATGTGTGGTTAATGCCAATGCCCAGCATGCCAGATGACACATTCTAGAAAGTAAATGAACAGTAGTATGAGCTCTAAAATCCCTTCAACATGACTGAGGGAAGCACCCTTGCTTGGGTTGAGTCAATCTAAATGCTGAGAGAAATCCTGGCAGAGGTGGTCCCTGGAAAAACCTGCCTCTCCAACACAGTGACAGGGCCCATTTGTTCAGTGGCCCATTGTTCAGCAGCCACTCACTTCAAACTGAGTGGAACTTACTGCGCCGATAAGGCACACACCTGGCTGAGCCAGCAGCTGAGTGACATAAATAAGGGGCTGCCAGTCCTCCCACACTACCAGGGAGCCAGAATCTCAGAATTAGAAAAAGCACTTAGAGATCATTCGGACAGGTGGTCAGGTAGCTCTTTTGATGTCATTAACTGAAGTGTCATTGTCTATGTATGGAGAAACTGGAAGTTTCTACTAAGGTTAAATATACCAATAATCCAGCAATTCAAATCATAGTCATACACCCAAGAGAACAAGAGAGAATGCATCTATCCCCCACCCCAAGAAAAAAGTGTGAAAATATCATAGAAGCTCTATTCATATTCATAATCACCAAAAACTGGTATCAACCTATATGTCCATCAAAAGAAGAATCGATTAAAAAATTCTGGTATATTCATTCAATGATACAGTATATAGCAATAGAAATAAATGAACTACTGATAGTTGCTGCTAATACTTGATGAATTTCAAATACATTATGTTGAAAGAACAAAGCCAGACACAAAGGAGTACATAATGTATGATTCCATTAATATGAGGTTTAAGAATAGGCAAAACTAAACTATGGTGACAAAAGTCAGAACAGCCTCTGCGTTGAGTGTGGGGCACTGGTGCAGCATTGACTGGGAAGGAGCATGAGGAAATTGTCCGAAGCAATGGGAATGTCCTATATCTTGATCTAGATGGTAGTTATGTGGGTGCATATAGAAGTATAAATTCATCAAGACATAAACTTACACTTTATGCATTTGTCTGCATGTAAACTGTGCTTCAATATAAAAAAAAAACTCATTGTAGTAATAGTCCTCAAATATTGCAGTCTAACCTCTCACAGAACAGAAACAGACCTGAGATTTAGGTAACTTTCTAAGTCAGTCTTGGAAGTTGAGATGGAATTCCCAGCTGGACTGTCCCAGCTGACAACATGTGCACCTAACATGGGCACCTAGCATGTGATATGTCAATAGAAGCGTGGGTCTCCCTGGGTCTGGGGAAGGTGTTTCTCCAAATCTCCATGGATAACCAAACCCAGAAGGGAGAATCACTTTCCTTTCTGTAGGGAGAGTAACTCCAGGTGAAGAGAAGGAAGAGGGAAGGGAATTCCTGGAGGCTTGCTCCAGGCATTCCTTCAATATTTTCTCTCAATTCCCCATCTCCATGGGCATCCACAGGACCAGGAAGTGACCTCCTGGACTTGGGCAGGCCCCTAGACTGGTGCCCCACTGCTGTTCTTCCTCCTGGCACTATGGAGGTGCAGCCCTGCCAGAATCTCACGAGTAGAAAGAGTAAGGCCTATTCTGGCACAATGCTTAAGATTTTGTTCCAGTTCTACCCAGGAGCCATGCAAATTGTGTCTTTGTTTGCCTGAACATATTTACCTGTAATGAATGACCAGAGCTCTGTGTCCAAAGCACTGAATACATAAAACCCGTGTGAATCTCAACTTTCATTTACTTTTTACTTTCCCCTGCTGGTGCCCAAGACCACCGTGGAAGGAATGGCTAAAGGATAAGGTGGAGGAGACAAGTGAGTTAGAATGGGGCTTGTTACCCCCAGAAGAATTTTCCCAAGTGAATGGAATCATTCTTCAAAAGAAAATGTGCGATTTCTGGGATAAGATCTGGAACTTCCAAGCCAAGCCTGATGACCTGCTCATTGCTTCTTACCCCAAAGCAGGTATGTACACGGACATGAGAAGAGGGAAGTAGAAGTTGGAGCATGTATCAGCACCTTATGGGGTCATGTAGTAAAGTCAAAGAGCAGAGGAAGGAAGTGTCCTTGTCTATAAATCAGACAGAATGGCAAAGGATCTAAGATTCTTCTATAAAACTATAGGGATTTTTTTTAGAGATAGAGTAGTTGGTATATCAAAAACATATAACTAGTCAAAGCAGATTCTTCAGGTTAAAAAAATCCATGTTATTCATTTTTTTCTTTCATTCAACAATTACCTATCAAGAATCTTCTAAATGCCAGAGACTGGCACCAAGCATAGTGATCGGTAAAATGTTTGTTATCTTTGTCCTGCAGGGATTTACAGTACAGTCTAGAGAAGAATATTAAACCATTAAACAAATCATTTCACAGAATTTTGATTACCTGTGATAAGATCTTAGAAAGAAATGTAGAGGGTGTAATGAGAGAACATTGGGGGTCCTAATTTAGATTAAGGAATTAGTACTCTGAAATTCTGAGCTACTGGGATTATTACATAGGGAATGTATTATCCGTTTGCTGTGGCTATGAAACAAAGTACCACCAGCTCAGTGGCTTAAAAAATAGATATTTATTGTCTCACAGTTTGGGAGGCCAGAAGTCCAAAATCAAGGTACCAACAGACTTGGTTTCTTTCGAGGGCTGTGAGGAAAGGCACTGTTCCAGGCCTCTCTCTTTGGCAGGTATATGGCATCTTGATATTCACATTGCACTCTCCATGTGTGCACATCTACCTCCAAATTCTGCCTTTTTATATAGACATCAGTCATACTGGGTTAGAGCCATCCTAATGACATCATTTCTATTTGATTACCTCTACAAAGACTCTATCTCCAAATAAGGTCACATTCTGTGGTACTGTGGATTAGAACTTCAACATATTAATTTTGGGGTCACACAAGTTAGCCCATAACAGGGAGCATGGAGAGGAACGTTTCCATATGCAGACAGGAGCAGTAGGACTTACTGACAGATGATAAATGTGGGGTGAGAGAAAGAGAGGAGACAAGCTTTGGGGCTGGAATGATCAGGTGGATGCCAGCCCCAAGAACTGACTCAGGGAAGTCCAGAGAGGACCAGGTCTGAGAGGGGCCAGGGCATCTATTAGGCAGTTGAATGCATTGAAGGGGGTCAAAAATGGACTGGGGAACACAAGATGCGTGTGTTGCCATTTCCAGATGAGAAAGAAAGTAGCTTGGACTAAGGAGGTGAGAGTGCAAATGAAGAGTGAGAGAAAAATTGAGATGTATTTTGGAGGTAAAATTACTTGAGATCCAAGAAGAAGTGATGACTCGTGGGTGACTCTCTTCCGGCTTTATCAACTGAGTGGCCTCTTGTGCTGGGATGGGAAGGCCTGGGAGAGGGAGAGGCATGGAGCTTATGCAGGAGGTGGGCGGGTTAAACTACAGCTCAGTTTGGGACATGTTAAGTTTGAGGTGACCTTTAGACCACTAAGTGTTGACGTCAGGGGGGCTGTCAGAAGTAGAGCACAGAGGGAAGCCCACTCTGGCTGAAGATATAACTGGAGTTGCTATAGATAGTGAAATCTCAGGTTAAATGCCCTACGGCAGAGCCTGAGGCAAGGATTCAGGTACATGTGATTTATTGGAAGGGTGCTCTTTAGGAAAAAAAAAAAAACAGTAAGGGTATGTATAGGAGTATAAGATAGGGGAGAGGAAGGGGCCAAGTAAAGATGTGGCATTGGGTAAAGCCTTGCCCTGATGTGGTTAGGGCAGGAGGGGAAGGAGTAGAAGGATGGAGACTTTCTCCATTAGGAGCCTCCCTTCAGAGGAGGACACTTCTCTAGCAAAGCCGGTAGCTGAGAGACATGAGCGGCCAACACTCACAGCCGTGGAGGAGGTGAGGGGGTGCAAGAGGCTGGTACAGGGGATCTGAGGAAGCCACCAACAGTGTCTACTAAAGATGCTGCTCAAAGCAATGGGAATGAATGAAATCACATAGGAAGAAAGCATAGAGGAAAAAGAAGGCACAGGACCAAACCCCAAGAAGCTTTCTCACTTAGACGGTGGACAGAGAAGAAGCCAGAAGTGGGTAGTGTCCTGGTAACCAGTGGAGTGAATCTTCAAGCCAGAAACATCTGAACTGAGTGCCTGTTTTGATCGAATTAATCAGATGGCCGTCAGATGGACACTGCACTTGGTACTTGTAAACAGCCCCAGTCACAGCCTGGAATGACTACTGGGTTTTCTTTCCTCAAGTTGTCAGTTCTATCAACACAGATTCTATTTGACTCTCCTAGAGGCAGGATTTTCCCTGCCTAGAGGCAAGTTTCCCCTGAAAACTTGAACTGCCTTTTTTACAAAGCAAGTCAAGTTATCCAGGGTCACACTCTTAGTAACTTCTCTCTAGGATAACACTTATCAATGTGGAAGAAGAAATACTATGCTACAAGTGGGAAGTAATTATGAAAAGAGAACTTCATTTGAATGAGAAGTTTATCTCCTTGGGACTCATGAGAACTGAGAATTTTCCCAGCTCAAATCCAGAAAATGAGAAAGAACATTTTTTCTGAGACTAGCTACAGGGCATGACAGATACTTGAGACATGCAGGAAACAGCTGACCTGATGCTGTGGTGACTTCATCATTTATCCTCCAAACTAAGTCATCTGATATAGAAAGATATACTGTTAATAATTAATCTGGGACAACAGAATCAAGCTGTATTGCCCTGGGTAAGTTGGAAGGTTACAGTGACCCTATAAAACACAAGCCATCCCAGATGCTAGGTTCCAGGCCCGATCTACTACTTACCTAAGTCAGCCTGTCATAATCTGAAATCATGATCCTCACTCCCAAACCAGCTCCTTTTCTTCCCAGGAAGCAGATTCTGAGTTGAAGGTAAGTATGTGAGATGTTTATTAGGGAGTGCTCCTGGGATCACTCCCTCTGGAAGTGAAGGGAAGAAAGCAGGATTGTCCAGAGGGAGAAGTTGAGCTTCAACTCAGTCCCAGCAAAAAGCCTCCTATGGGATGATCTGAAGCTTGGATGGCCCTGCAAAGTTGGTTCCATCCCAGTTGGGGAGAGGGGAACAGAGTGTCAGCGAGTCCCTGGATGGAAGATGTCCCAGGAAGGGACCTGGAGAGGGCTGAATAGCTGGGGGTCATCTGCCAGCAGCATCCCCAGCAGCTGATGGAATAAACACTTCCGTTCAGAAGCAAAATCTGGGCTGTACATCCAGCACCTTTTATAATATCCATGAATAGCTGTAGAGCACAGCCCTTGCCACAGCTTGCCTGAGCCATGCCATGGCTTTCTGAGTTGCCATTCAGGTCAACATCTGTGTCTGGAATTGCCACCTTGTTGGTGGAGTCCATGGAAAAGCAGCCATCAGCCTGTGCTGGAAACCAGGCCATAGTGGTGACTGAGAAGCATAATCTAGTGGAACTCAGCTCCCCAGGGCAAGAGGGAGGCAGTTACTAGTGAGTACGACTCATGATGCAAGGTGCCCTGTCAGCAGGCTGAGTTGGGAGCAAATCTGGAATGTGAGGTAAGAAGGTCTGGCAGAAGCCCTTGCACAGTGTGGGCCAAACAGGAATAGGGTCAGGGGCCACTGAGGGAGCCCAGGTTTCCTGAGATGGTCACAGCATCTACGACAGCAGAGCCAATTACAAAGGTGGAGTCTGGAGGTAGAGGCACCCATGACTTCCTGTGAGAGGCTGCAGGCAAGCAAGGCCCAAATTCCATGCTCAGAGTTGAGAGGAAAAAGCAGAGCTAGCCTATGTGGAGAAGGGCTCTCTGGAACTGCCAAAGCAGTGTGGACTGGGAATTAGGACAGCACATCATCAGGAGGCAACAAAGGTTCGAAGACGAAGCCAGTGCTGACCCCAGAAGGGCAGAAAGAGAAATTGGTTTTAGTACAGAGTAGGAACTGACCAGGAGCTGAGCAGCTGGCACAAGGGCATAGTCTAGAGGCGGAGCCAGAGCCATGGCACTGCACCCAGGTACCTCTATCAGGGTACTAGGGAAAGGAGACCAGGATCACAGAAAACTGGTATGGGGGAGCCACGATGAGAATGGCACCTTCTTCCCCAGGGCTTCCCCGAGCACAGTGGTCCCATCTGTTCTAGCTCTGGCCCTCGGGATGTACACCAACACCGTCAAAACATGAAGACAGCTACCATTTCTTTAGTGCCTATGACAAGCTGGATTCTGCCCATTTTCTCTTCCAACTCTCAAAACCACATGAGAATCATTAATATACATCAGGTTTACATAATTCATCCGAAACCACCCAATGCATACATCATATATAGGAGTCGAGTCCATTTGATTCCACAGCCCCACACACATCCAATCCATGCTTCCCCACAGAAAAACAGGACCAGGTCAGCCAAGCGTCCCAGAAGCCAAACAAGGATGCACTTTCTGAGGACAGACACTGCAGAAGCCAGAGCCCAGTCCAAGGAAGCCCCAGAATCAGGAAGGAGATCGCAGACAAGACCATGAAGAGAAACAAATTTTACCCTCAAATGCAGCAAAGGTCATTTTTTCATTTATAAGGAGTTCACCTTTCTTGTAGAAGCCACTGTTTAACTTTTCTTTGCCTTTGAAAGAGGAATTCATTCAATCTCATTTTTTCAGTTTGTGGATTATTTGAAATTCTTACTTTTCCTTCTTTTTCTTATTATGGACATTGTGTCAGTTCCTCGGTTCTAAAAAATAAAAATAAAAAATAAAAAAATAAAAGTAATCCAAGGAAGAAAAACTAGACTACTTATTAGCAGCCAGAGCTTTTAATGGGAAAAGCTGGGGTTTGGGAATTTCTGTGATTTTCTCCAAATGGAAACTTTTTAAATAATCCCTGTTGTTACATATAATAGTTATTTGTATTATCGTTTTATAGAAATACCAATGCATATTCAGATTTTTTAAGTACATCATTGGAGTACAAAAATAAAGAAGTCACATTTCTACCCTTAACCTTTCTGGTGAGGAAAAGATTATCTTAATAGTTGGTTTTAATTCAATGTTGTAAGCAACATAAGTGAGGTATTAACAGGCAAATTAATTTTTTATAGCATGTTTCTAAATTCTAAGTTGCGAAAAGTCAATAATCAGTTTCTCAGATCTTTATTCTACTCTCTTTCAGGAACCACTTGGACACAGGAAATTGTAGATCTGATACAAAATGATGGCGATATTGAGAAAAGCAGGCGCGCTTCCATTCAACTTCAACACCCTTTCCTGGAGTGGATAAGAATGACACACTGTGGTAAGTCTTCCATTTACAAACCCACAGTCCTTGCATAAAGATGAGCAATTCAAGAGTAGACAGTCTGAAAGTCAAACATATTCTGGTGGGGAAAAACTCCCTTTAATCCCTAATTCTAAGTACTGGATGAAAAATAACTTTTCCTGTGCAAATCTAGATAGATCCTTTCGCCTAACGTATTTCGCTTCAACACTTAACAATAGAGAGGTACAATCTCTCAATTAAACAAAGTGTTCAACCAGTTACAAGTGCCAAGCGTTAGCTACACAGTTCTCACCCAGCAGAGTCCCTGCTTGTTCATGTGGCACCCCAGTGTCAGTGCCAAAGACGTCTGGCACCAAGGACCACAGATTCAAATTTGGGATGCACCATGCACTTCCCATGAAAGATAATAAGTGTCATAGTCATAGCTAAGACTTTCACAGCACATACCAGGTATCAGGCATTATTCTTTTTTTACATATGTATACTTTAAGTTCTGGGGTACGTGTGCAGAACGTGCAGGTTTGTTACGTAGGTATACACATGCCATGGTGATTTGCTGCACCCATCAACCCGTCATCTACATTAGGTATTTCTCCTAATGCTATCCCTCCCCTATCCCCCACCCCCCGACAGACCCCAGTGTGTGATGTTCCCCTCCCTGTGTCCATGTGTTCTCATTGTTCAACTCCCACTTATGAGTGAGAATATGTGGTGTTTGGTTTTCTGTTCTTGTGTTAGTTTGATGAGAATGATGGTTTCTAGCTTCATCCATGTCCCTGCAAAGGACATGAACTCGTCCTTTTTTATGGCTGCATAGTATTCCATGGTGTATGTGTGCCACATTTTCTTTATCCAGTCTATCTTTGATGGGCATTTAAATGGCTGGCATTATTCTAAATACTTTTCACATGTTAACTCACTTATTCTTCACAACTTGTGAGGTAGCTGCCAGGTTATATGTGAAGAAATTGAGATACAGAGGGATTATGATTCTGAAGGTCCACAATTAATAGG
Organism: Homo sapiens; assembly: GCF_000001405.40. Lineage (NCBI taxonomy): Eukaryota > Metazoa > Chordata > Mammalia > Primates > Hominidae > Homo > Homo sapiens. The sequence continues at coordinate 108,328,735 of NC_000002.12, forward strand.
TAGCAGAGCCAAGATTTGGACCCAGGAATTCTGTTTCCTAAGTTCATGCTCTCAACCACTAAGCTATGCAGTGTGCGTGAATGTGTGTGTGTCTCCTATATGGACTCTGGCTATACGTATCTGAGGGATACAGTGGAATTAAATAGTCCATGTTGGACCAGCATTGGTACCTGGTCATCTTTATTTAGGCCATCTGTGGACACATCTTTGAGAGTCCTCAAGACCTCTAAAACAATTGCTTAATTATGATTTTATTTTCATAGTAATCAAAAAATATATAAAGTAAACACATTCTGGGTCACCTGGATGATCACCATGTAATCTAAATTCTGCCAATGTGGTCTCATTGCCCTCATTTGCATTGGTGCCAACAATCCCTTGTTGCCAAGTGGAACTGTGGTAATTTCTAAAGGCTAATGGGATGAGCAATGGAGAGGACACTTAACAGTAAATAATATACCAAATGAAGGCCAATGTAGCAAAAAATCAGAGGTATGAAAGGAAATACAAAGTGCTAAGTACTAAAAGAAAATAGGGAGAAATGGTTTCTTATCATCTAGGAGTGAAGAAGGCATAACATGGCACAAAACCCGGAAGCCATTAGGAAAAAAACTGATAAGATCAACCGCATAAAAATTAAAACTTTTTTAAAAATTAAAGAATAAGCCAGGAAAATTTTTGCAGGGATTGACCAGGCTAACACAATGCCTTCCCCAAGGACCCTGAAAACTCATCTTCCTGTACAACTACTGCCTCCATCCTTCTGGGAGGAAAACTGTAAGGTAAGCTTAAAACAGAAAATGTTCAGAGACAAATTTTCCTCATGAGAACATAGGGAGCAGCTTATTGTGTCATAACCATTGCCCAGCCATCCCTACGTTGTGTCTACCAGGAACAGATTATGGAAGCTACTATCATCTTCCATGTTCTTAATCTCTCAATGATAAGGATGTGCTTAGCATACATCTATATCAAGAAGAAGGAGAGAATAAACATATACTAGGCTCATTTCTGAGCATCTTAGCCCCTTAACAATGCTATAAGGTAGAGGTACGTGAGCATATTGTAGCTCAGGGTGTTAAATAATTTGTCCAATGACAAAGACATGGAAGGTGGAAGAGATGGGCTGCAAATCCACCTCTTCATTACCCAACAGCCCATGCTCTTTCTGTTACTCTATACCACCTACTCTATGCCTCCTATAACCACAGAAGTCTTCCAAAGCTTCTTGGTAGTTGGCCTCCTGCCAATATTAAGGTAATGAGTATTTAAATGATCAGAAAGTGCCACTGAAGGAATCTTAAAAACTATATGCTCTACTATCCTCTCGCTTTATCTCACTTGTAGCTAAACTGTCTCTTGCAGACATCTAAAGGTGCCTACAAGCTGCAAGCCCTAGTCATTCTGAGACCTGATGAAAGTCAAATTTTTGTAAACATCAGATTTATTTTCCATATTGAAGCCTACAGGAGTGCAGATGCATTTTCATGTATGTCTTAAATTGGTCACTAAGGAATTTTTTTTAACTTTTTCAGAGCCCCAAGAGACCACTTATTGCCTTTCAATCTAAAAAAGTGCTCCTCTACAGGGAGGGTCTATAAATGGGCCTTGGCACTAAGCCAAAGCAGTCCCCACCCTCCCTTCCATGTGGCATTCTGTTCCCTCTGTCAGCTTGCCAAGATCCACACCTTTACTGTTTCTGGTTCTCTAGAGTACATCCAGGGTCTTACTCACTCTACCTTACTGACCCTAGTGGATCTTCCGATGTAGATCTGGAGTCTGGGGGCAGGGGTGGCTGAATGACTGAAAGCAAATGGAAATATATTGTTAGTACAAATAGAGCCAGGCCTGGGCTAGGAGGGTCAGTAAAATAAGAATAACTATAACAGCAATCTAGCAAGTACCAAAAGCATGCTCAGGTACCTCCACCTTATAGCATTATTAAGAGGCTAAGAGGCTCAGAACTGAACCTAGCAGATGTTGGTTCTCTCTTCTTGAAGTAGGTATACTGAGCCCATCCTTATCAATGAGAGATTAAGAACCAGGAAAGGTGTCATGGGAGCAGAAAGTGGGGAGTACGAAACTTCTTGAAAAGGAGAGTCAACAAAAGTGACAGAGGAGTCAGGGCATAAAGAACAGACATAAATTTGTCAAGTGATAAGAGAGGGAAGGACATTCCATGTTACTGAAAGAGCAAAAGCCAAGACTTAAGAAAATAGGTCCAACGCCGGAAAAGAAGCATGAGAGGTGGGAAGGAGCCAGAGATGCCCTGTTGCACAGCCTTGCCTGCTAAGATGTTTGGACTTAACCTGTAGGCTACTTGGATCCCACTGAAGAACGTGAAATGAACCAGGAAGTGACATGATCCCATTTACATTTTAGAAAGTTCCCCAGGGGGATGTGGTGGTGGGGAGGGGTGAACAGAACTGGCGCAAGACTGAAAACAGGATATCAGTGAGGAGATGGTGGCAATCGTCCAGGAAAAGAATTTAAAAGGCTTGGGTTAAGGCAGAGGCAGTGAGAAAATGAATTCCAAATGTACACAACAGACAGAATTTACAAGATCTCTCAAGGACCTGCTATGGAAGACATGGAAAAAGAAACATCTTGTATGATTTTGTCACTGTAACTATTGATCATGGTACCATTAATGGAAAGAGATCATAAAAGAGGAGCAGCTAGTTTGTGTGAAGACGAATTGAATTTTGAACCCATCGAGTCTAAAATGCATGCAGAACATTCAGGTAGGGACACAGATACATGAGTCTCTAGCTCGGGAGACAGACATGTACTAGAAACAAATTCGTAAGTCATAAACATATGAAATTTATCGCAATAGAAAGATAACAAAAAAAAAACAGGAAAAGCAAATATAGTGAAAATAAAAGTAGGCCCCAGGCAGAGCACTAAAGAAGGCCAACATTTAAAGATTTCAAACTTTTAGTGATCGTAAACCCCATCGAGAATCTACAGAAAGTTGTGACTCCACTCCTGACAAAGTAATACATCTATAAAAAATTTTGCATATACTTTTAGAGAGAGGGACAGACCTCTTGAAGGTCATCATTTCAAGACACCCTGATTTAAGAGTAGAGTGGCAGAGCAGGACACACTAAAGAAGGAGAATCAGAAACATTATAGGACAGCCATGAAATCAGCACTACCACAGAAGAAGGGAAGTTAAGTGTGATCAGGGAAGGGTAAGCAAAGGGAATCAGAGGGCGAGATTACACAGACCCTGAACACCAGGTTGAGAACTTTGAACTTAATCGTAAGAACAAGGTACAGAAATTGACAAGTTTTACACAGGGAAGCAACATCATCTGATTTGCATTTTTACAAGATCATTCTGGCTGCTGGATGATGAGTGGAAGAGAACAAAGATGCATTCATGACCTTTAGCACAAGGTTACCAGAACACATATGCTGTGCACACTGAATGCCCGATTTCTAACTTGTTCTATCATTTATTTTGTTTCCTCTCACCACTTTAGATAATCTATGTGGCAAGAAATGCCAAGGATAACCTGGTGTCCTACTACCATTTTCAAAGGATGAGCAAAGCACTCCCTGACCTTTGGGAAGCTGGGATAAGTACTTTGAAACATTCCTGGCAGGCAATGGTGAGCCAAGTGCATGAAACCAGCCTTCACCTATGTCTGCAGAGGATAAGCTTTCCCCATCAAATTCTCCTTGGGAAACAAAATTCATCCGTAGAAGGGGCTCAGATTTTCTTGGAGGGAAGGACTAGAGACAACATCCTGAGAGATGTGGCTAGCCCTGGCTGTCATCTGTGGTCAGTGGATTTGCTTCCAATTGCAATATATCCTCTGAATGAAGTCAAACCAGTATTATAGGCAAGCCAGCTATAAGAGAAGGTCCCAACTCTAAGCCTATGTTAAATGTTTTACATGCATTAACTTGTTTAATCTTTAGAGCAACCCTATAAGCTTGGTAACAATATTCATCATTTGTAGGTGATGAACTGAGGCTCAGTGAGTTTGAGTAACTTGCCTACATTACCCTGCTAGCGAGAGCAGGGCTAGAATTTGAACATAGGCAGGTTTAGTTAAGCTCAAACCCTGTGTGCTTGGCGGTTGAAGTCTTACCAATTGCCTGCATGTTCAACTGGAAAGAAAGAAAAGGTTTAGTGTGTATGCAAGTTTTTCAGTCATTACCATCATTTGAATTGGTGGTGCAGTGGTGGCTCCTGACACTGTAGGTTCACAAACTATCATGTGCAAAAATGTATGATCTTTCAGTCAGGCTTCCAGTGTCAAAACTGAGTCTTCACAAGTTTCTTGACGTTTTTCTAAGTCTCAAATGCTGCTATATCTTTTAATACATCAACTGTTCTCCTAAAGAAGCCTAAAGAGTACTAAAAGTACTAAAAGGTGATGAGATTATTAAAACTGGATGATTGGTTCATGGAAATTCATTACACTATTTCCTCTATCCTTGTATATATTGTATATAAATCAGAGAGCTGAGAGGATAGTTCCAAATCCTTGCCCTGCATCAGGCAAGTTGAGCACCAGAGAAGAGAAGCACTGAAGTCAAACAAAGCCTTAGGGCTGCTCCTCTACACACACACACACACACACACACACACACACACACACACACAGAGGAACTCCTGAAGAATATTTTCATAATAAAAAGATTTCTCAAAAGTTTTTTAAAAAATGGTAATTTAAGCAAGCTTTTACAAGGTTATACATTTGGGGAAGTACAATATAAATATAATATCAAATTGGTTTGCACGATGAAGTTGAATTGACAGCTTTGCATGATTAAAACCTAAATATTTGCACCAAAGCACTTTATTATTCAAGGTAAAAATTTATAACTGAAACAATTATTTATATAGTCCTATGGAGAAACAACTGCCTTGTCTCCTATATTTAAGTTTTTTTCCTCTAAAATAATTATAAATAAATGTAAGAAAGTAGTCCTTCCCATTAGTAACAAACCACCAGTAATGCATGAAAATATGATACCTTTGATTGCCATTTGACTTTCATAATTTTAAATAACAAAAATTATTATTATTATTATAGTCTTCTCCTTATGAGATACACTCTGAAAATGATCCATTGTACCCCAAGGTATTTTCACTGGTTGAATGTCTCTAGTAAATTTCATTGTAGGTGTTCTAACAATGATGTCAGAATGTCTTTGGACAAAGAGTGATCCCTAAGAAAGTGACCTTGTTGACAGGTTGAGACACTGGGCTTGTGCAGGGCCAGGACTGGGCTGATGTAGATGGCTGTTCCTAAATCAGAGAGCTGAGAGGATAGTTCCAACTCCTTGCCCTGCATCAGGCAAGTTGTGCACCAGAGAAGAGAAGCACTGAAGTCAAACAAAGCCTTAGGGCTACTCCTCTACACACACACACACACACACACACACACTCCTGAAGATGCACCTTCAGGGCCAATGGCATGGAACATGGGTAGAAGGAATCAAGAATAAGAAGTAGAACAATAGCAGCTCCCCCTATTTATGAGGGTCTTAGTACCAGTGCCATGCTGAGGCATTTCACCCAGCTGGAGTAGCACAAGTGCTTTCTGCCAAAGTGCAGATAGACTGGCCCTATGTCTCGGTCATCTACCCATACAGCTTGCCCTGACCTAAGCAGTTTCCTGCAGCATAGGGTTCTCAGTAATTAAACTGACACAGCCCTAGACAGAATAGAATGGCTGGTCACCCTATGACTACGCTGCATGCCAAAAGAGAGAAAAGGGTTGAATAGCTACTCCCTAATGATTGGAAGCTATCACTGGGAGTGGGCTGAAGTGCTCTTAGACATCCTAGTATCAAAGAGACTTTCAGACACATCCTACCTAATCTTTACGCTGTGTAAATGAAACATAAGAAGGGCAAATTTTGGCAGAAGGGATAATAGAAGAAAGGGGAAAAATATTACTGAATTTTTAAGTTAAATTTTTAAATGACTTTTGTTGAATAGCTACTATGTGTCAGACACTTACTATTATACTGTGTCCTAGGCACTACCAGACTATTGCTTTCATATGTCTTAGCATTGGCCCATGCTATTATTTCTCCCACCTTAAAATAAAATAACATTTAAAAACCACTCTGTTGACCCTACCTCCCCAACCCCAGTTACCTCCCCCATCTTTCCTTCCGTTTACTACAAACACCTTGTGGCACTGGCTTACACTATTATCTTCAATTTCTCTCCCAACACCACCAAACCTGTCCTGCCAGGGTCATCATGACTTCCACATCACTAAACCCAATGATCAATCCTCTGTCCTCATCTCATTTAAGCCATCAACGTCATCTAACGCAATTGGTCACACTCTCTCTTCCTTGAAATGATTTCCTTATTGGCTCCCAGGACCCCTCCCTCCCCTGACATTCCTCCTATGTCTCTGTTCCTTCCCAGTCTCCTTTGCTGGTTTCTCTTTATCTCCTAGATGTCTGCAGTTGGCTCCTTTCTCTCTTCTACCCACATCATTCCTTGGTCAATATCACTCACTTTGTGGTTTCAGATGTCACCTATCTGCTGATGACTCCAAGATTTGCACTAGTCCTGGCCTTGGCCCTGGGCTCCTGGTGCATAGACCCAGCTGCCTTACCAGCGTCTCTACCTGGATGTTTACAGGGCATCTTAGACTTCATGTGTCCAAATCTTAACTCCTGACTTTCCTCCAAAACCTGCTTTTCCTTCAGCCTCTGCTTCTTGTTAATTGTGACTGTCCCTTAAATTACTCAGGCCTAAAATCTTGATCTTATCTTGAGCCTCTTTGTTTCTCATATACCCCATCCAGCCCATGAGAAAATCTATCAACCCCATCTTCAAACTCCATCCAGAATCTCACCAATCCTCACACTTCTGGAAGTGTGATTAGATTACACACTTCCGGAAGTGCGAGGATTGGTCAGATTCTGGACTTAGTTTGGGCCAAACTATCATCAGATTTTTGCTGCATGAACGAAACAGCCTCTGCCCCAACTTTTGCCCTTGCCAACCTACACTCTACTCTCAGCAGAGAAACCAGAGAGATTCTACTAAAAGGGAAGTCAGACCATGCAACTCCTCTGCCGGAAGCCAATGACTGGGATCCCATCTCACTCAGAGTAAAGTCAGAGTACTTAGGGCATCTCACAGGTCCACAGGACCAGGCCTCACACTTCTTACATCTCTCCCCACTCCCCTGGCCTCACTCACTCTGTCCTGGTCCCACAGGCACACCCAGAACCTCCTATCCAATGCCTCCCCTGGCTGTACCCTCTGCCCAGCAGGGCTCCTCCTTTCCCTTTTTTCAGGGTTGTGCTCAATAATCCCTTCTCAGAGATCCCTTCTTCTGACCAGCCTCCTATGTAACCTCAACATTTTCCCTCTCTTTCCCTGGTTTATTTGTTCTGCTAAGCACACACTGTGTTCTTACGAACACAGTGAAATAGCATCCTGCATATTTCACATCTATCTCATTTGTCTCCCCCATAAAATGTACTTCCAAGAGCAGGGCTTTCTGCCTGTCTTGTGTGCACTGCTCTATCCCCAATACCTAGGACAGTGCTGAGCACACAGTAGATGTTACAGAATACATTTATACAAATATTACCAAATCCAGCAGCACATCAAAAAGCTTATCCACCATGATCAAGTGGGCTTCATCCCTGGGATGCAAGGCTGGTTCAATATACGCAAATCAATAAACGTAATCCAGCATATCAACAGAACCAAAGACAAAAACCACGTGATTATCTCAACAGATGCAGAAAAGGCCTTTGACAAAATTCAACAACCCTTCATGCTAAAAACTCTCAATAAATTAGGCATTGATGGGACATATCTCAAAATAATAAGAGCTATCTATGACAAACCCACAGCCAATATCATACTGAATGGGCAAAAACTGGAAGCATTCCCTTTGAAAACTGGCACAAGACAAGGATGCCCTCTCTCACCACTCCTCTTCAACATAATGTTGGAAGTTCTGGCCAGGGCAATTAGGCAGGAGAAGGAAATAAAGGGTATTCAATTAGGAAAAGAGGAAGTCAAATTGTCCCTGTTTGCAGATGACATGATTTTATATCTAGAAAACCCCATCGTCTCAGCCCAAAATCTCCTTAAGCTGATAAGCAACTTCAGCAAAGTCTCAGGATACAAAATCAATGTACAAAAATCACAATCATTCTTATACAACAATAACAGACAAACAGAGAGCCAAATCATGAGTGAACTCCCATTCACAATTGCTTCAAAGAGAATAAAATACCTAGGAATCCAACTTACAAGGGATGTGAAGGACCTCTTCAAGGAGAACTACAAACCACTGCTCAATGAAATAAAAGAGGATACAAACAAATTGAAGAACATTCCATGCTCATGGGTAGGAAGAATCAATATCGTGAAAATGGCGATACTGCCCAAGGAAATTTATAGATTCAATGCCATCCCCATCAAGCTACCAATGACTTTCTTCACAGAATTGGGAAAAACTACTTTAAAGTTCATATGGAACCAAAAAAGAGCCCGCATCACCAAGTCAATCCTAAGCCAAAAGAACAAAGCCGGAGGCATCACGCTACCTGACTTCAAACTATACTACAAGGCTACAGTAACCAAAACAGCATGGTACTGGTACCAAAACAGAGATATAGATCAATGGAACAGAATAGAGCCCTCAGAAATAATGCCACATATCTACAACTATCTGATCTTTGACAGACCTAACAAAAACACGAAATGGGGAAAGGATTCCCTATTTAATAAATGGTGCTGGGAAAACTGGCTAGCCATATGTAGAAAGCTGAAACTGGATCCCTTCCTTACATCTTACACAAAAATTAATTCAAGATGGATTAAAGACTCACATGTTAGACCTAAAACCATAAAAGCCCTAGAAGAAAACCTAGGCATTACCATTCAGGACATAGGCATGGGCAAGGACTTCATGTCTAAAACACCAAAAGCACTGGCAACAAAAGCCAAAATTGACAAATGGGATCTAATTAAACTAAAGAGCTTCTGCACAGCAAAAGAAACTACCATCAGAGTGAACAGGCAACCTACAGAATGGGAGAAAATTTTCACAACCTACTCATCTGACAAAGGGCTAATATCCAGAATCTACAATGAACTCAAACAAATTTACAAGAACAAAATAAACAACCCCATCAAAAAGTGGGGGAAGGATATGAACAGACACTTCTCAAAAGAAGACATTTATGCAGCCAAAAGACATGTGAAAAAATGCTCATCATCACTGGCCATCAGAGAAATGCAAATCAAAACCACAATGAGATACCATCTCACACCAGTTAGAATGGCAATCATTAAAAAGTCAGGAAACAACAGGTACCAGAGAGGATGTGGAGAAATAGGAACGCTTTTACACTGTTGGTGGGACTGTAAACTAGTTCAACCATTGTGGAAGTCAGTGTGGCGATTCCTCAGGGATCTAGAACTAGAAATACCATTTGACCCAGCCATCCCATTACTGGGTGTATACCCAAAGGATTATAAATCATGCTGCTATAAAGACACATGCACACATATATTTACTGTGGCACTATTCACCATAGCAAAGACTTGGAACCAACCCAAATGTCCAACAACGATAGACTGGACTAAGAAAATGTGGCACATATACACCATGGAATACTATGCAGCCATAAAAAATGATGAGTTCATGTCCTTTGTAGGGACATGGGTGAAACTGGAAACCATCATTCTCAGCAAACTATTCCAAGGACAAAAAACCAAACACCACATGTTCTCACTCATAGGTGGGAATTGAACAATGAGAACACATGGACACAGGAAGGGGAACATCACACTCCGGGGACTGTTGTGGGGTGGAGGAAGGGGGGAGGGATAGCATTAGGAGATATACCTAATGCTAAATGACAAGTTAATGGGTGCAGCACACCAACATGGCACATGTATACATATGTAACAAACCTGCACATTGTGCACATGTACCCTAAAACTTAAAGTAAAATAATAATAAAATAAAATAAAGAAAAAAAAGAAAATAAAGTGTAAGGAAGACTTGTGATCAAAAAGAGAAACGTACATCAGTAAAAAGGAAAATAAAGTGGACCCTGCAAGCTTTCTGAATCTATAAATAGGTACACAATAAACCCCATGCAGAGAAATGGAAACAGACTCTGAATGAGCCATGTGTGAAAGTGTATAAGCTTGATGGCTCAACTGCTGCCAGCCCTAGAATTCAAAGGTGGGCCATCCATAGTCATTAGCAGCTTTCAACTGTGGGCATGTCTGTTTTAGCTGACCTTAACCTCAATGAATTACAGGAGGAATGCTCTCTAGTGTATCAAGAAAACTTTGTTATTACTGTCATATTTCTTCTTCTCTTCTACTAAAGCCATCCCTTTGTTTGGCAAGTCCTGCCAGCTTCCTGTGGGTACATTTTCCCCCCAACCCTGTAACCCACACTCTTCCCTAATGCATATTCCTATGTGATGTCCAAAACCCACACAAGAGTAGTTGTTTGCACAATATTATTGTGTGTTTCAATAAAACCTCAAAATTCATATGGTCAAGCAGGAAATATAATCACACACAAAGAAAAGGCTAAGAATAGTTCATGTGATTGGTCAAAATCTAGCTCTGGGCTTATGAAAATCAAGGCAAAAAGGGAAATAGTTTCCAGGGACTTTTGAACAAATAGGAACTCTAGGTCACTAAGGGAGATAAGGCTTTTTGATCCATTTTGTCCTGTTTCACTTTCTGGTTGTTGTTTTGGCATAGAACACTCAGAGGAGTCTCACATGCACACATTAGAGACTTTGGCCAACTTCGTAGGCATGTGAACTGGTGAACACAACCCACTTCCATTTTTTCTGGCCACCTATGGGCTTAGGATTAACATGAGGATAAAGGGAGTCAGAGTCGGATCCCAGGAGAAATCAGGCACCCCTTTATGGCAGTGGACTCACCCTGCCATGCATTAGAATCATCAGAGATGGGGCCTGGACATAGATGCTTTTCTGAAGCTCGCCAGATGAGTTTCTTTATTTAAGTTCCAGGATACATGTGCAGGATGTGCAGGTTTGTTACATAGGTAAATGTGTGCTATGGTGGTTTGCTGCACCTGTCAACCCATCACCTAGGTATTAAGCCCAGCATGCATTAGCTATTATTCCTGATGCTCTCCCTCCATGCCCTGCCAACAAGCCCCTGTGTGTGTTGTTCCCCTTCCTGTGTCCATGTGGTCTCATCATTCAGCTCCCACTTATAAGTAAGGACATGCAGTGTTTGGTTTTCTTTCCCACATTAGTTTGTTGAGGATAATGGCTTCCAGCTCCATCCATGAGCCTGCAAAGCCCATGATCTTGTTCCTTTTTATGGCTGCAAAGTATTCCATTATGTATATGTAACCATATTTTCTTTCTCCAGTCTATCATTGATGGGCTTTTGGGTTGATTCCATGTCTTTGCTATTGTGAATAGTGCTGCAATGAACATATGCAAGAACGTATCTTTATAACAGAATGATTTATCTTTCTTTGGGTATATAACCAGTGATTGAATTGCTGGGTCAAATAATATTTCTAATTCTAGGTCTTTAAGGAATCACCACACAGTCATTCACAATCGTTGAACTAATTTATGTTCCCACCAGCAGTGTAAAAGCGCTCCTATTTCTCCTAAGCCTTGCACTTTCTGTTGTTTCTTGACTTTTTAGTAATTGCCATTCTGACATGAGATGGCATCTCATTGTGGTTTTGATTTGCTTTTCTGTAATTATCAGTGATGTTGAACTTTTTTCATATGTTTGTTGGCTGCATAAATGTCTTCTTTTGAGAAATGTCTCTTCATGTTCTTTGCCCACTTTTTAATGGAGTTGTTTGTTTTTTTCCTGTAAATTTGTTTACAGGAAATACCTGAATAGTATTGTCTAGATTTTCTTCTTTGTACGAGTATCATGCTGTTTTGGTTACCATAGCCTTGTAGTATAGTTTGAAGTCGGGTAGCACAATGCCTTCAGCTTTGTTCTTTTTCATTAGGATTGCCTTGGCTATTTGGGCCCTTTTTTGGTTCCATGTGAATTTTAAAACACTTCTTTTTCAAATTCTGTGAAGAATGTCAATGGTAGTTTAATGGAAATAACATTGCATGTATAGATTGCTTTGGGGAGTGTGGCAGTTTTCACAATATTGATTCTTCCTACTCATGAGCATGGAATGTTTTTCCACTTGTTTGTGTCCTCTCTGATTTCACTGAGAAGTGGTTTGCAGGTCTCCTTGAAGAGGTCATTCACTTCCCTTGTTAGCTGTATTTCTTGGTATTTTATTCTCTTTGTAGCAATTGTGAATGGGATTTCAATCCTGATTTGGCTCTCTGCTTCTCTATTGTTTGTATATAGGAATGTTAGTAATTATTGCACATTGATTTTGTATCTTAAGACTTTGCTGAGTTGCTTATCAGGTTAAGAAGCTTTGGGGCTGAGACTACGGGATTTTCTAGATAAAGGATCATGTCCTCTGCAAACAGAGACAGTTTGACTTCCTCTCTTTCTTCTATTTCTTTTATTTCTTTCTCTTGCCTGATTGCCCTGGCCAGAACTCCAGAACTTCCAATACTCTGTTGAATAGGAGTGGTGAGAGAGGGCCTCCTTGTCTTGTGCCAGTTTTCAAGTGGAATGCTTCCAGCTTTTGCCCATTCAGTATGATATTGGCTGTGGGTTTGTCATAGATAGCTCTTATTATTTTGAGTATGTTCTATCAATACCTAGTTTATTGAGAGTTTTTGACATGAAGGGATATTGAACTTTATCGAAGGTCTTTTCTGCGTCTATTGAGATAATCATGTAGTTTTTGTCTTTAGTTCTGTTAATGTGATGAATTATGTTTATTGATTTGCATATGTTGAGCCAGCTTTGCATCTCGAGGATGCAGTAGATTTGATCATGGTGGATACATTTTTTGATGTGCTGCTGGGTTTAGTTTGCCAAAACCCACATAGGAGTATTTTTTGAGTAATTTTATTGAGGATATGTGCATCAATGTTCATCAGGGATGTTGGCCTGAAGTTTTTTTTTTCTTGTATCTCTTCTAGGTTTTTGTATCAGGATGATGCAGGCCTCATAAAATGAGTTAGGGAGGAGTCCCTCCTTTTCAACTCTTTGGAACAGTTTCAGAAGAAATAGGATCAGCTCCTCTTTGTACCTCTGGTAGAATTCAGCTGTAAATCCATCTGGTCCTGGGCTTTTTTTGGTTGGCAGGCTATTAATTACTGTCTCAAATTCAGAATTTGTTATTATTCTATTCAGGGAGGAATTACTGCCTCAAATTCAGAACTTGTTATTATTCTATTCAGGGATTCAACTTCTTCCTGGTTCAGTGTTAGAAGGGTGTATGTGTCCAGGAATGTATCCATTTCTTCTAGATTTTCTAGTTTATTTGCATAAAGGTGTTTATAGTATTCACTGATGGTTGTGTGTATTTCTGTGGGATCATGGTGATATCCCCTTTATCTTTTTTTACTGTCTATTTGATTCTTCTCCTTTTCTTCTTTATGAGTCTAGCTAGCAGTCTATTTTATTAATTTTTTCAAAAAAAAAAGCTCCTAGATTTATTGATTTTTAATGGTTTTTCATGTCTCCGTCTCCTTCAGTTCTGCTCTGATCTTGTTTGTTTGTCTTCTGCGAGCTTTGGGGTTTGTTTGCTCTTGGTTCTCTAGTTCTATTAGTTGTGATGATATGGTGTTGATTTGAGACATTTCTAGCTATTTGATGTGAGCATTTAGTGCTACAAATTTCCCTCTTAACATTGCTTAGCTGTGACCCAGAGATTCTGGTACATTGTCTCTTTGTTCTCATTGGTTTCAAAGAACTTCTTGATATCTGCCTTAATTTCATTATTTACCCAGGAGTCATTCAGGAGCAGGTTGTTCAATTTCCATGTAGTTGTGTGGTTTTGAGTGAGTTTCTTAATCTTGAGTTCTAATTTCATTGCACTGTGGTCTGAGAGACTGTTACAATTTCTCCTAATTTTGCATTTGCTGCGGAATGATTAACTTCTGATTATGTGATTGACTTTAGAGTAAGTGACATGTGGTGCTGAGAATAATGTGTTATATATTCTGTTGTTTTGGGGTGGAGAGTTCTGTAGGTATTTACTAGGTCCACTTGAACCAGAGCTGATTTCAAGTCCTGAATATCTTTGTTAATTTTCTGTCTCAGTGACCTGTCTAATATTGACAGTGGGGTGTTAAAATCTCCCACTATTATTGTGTGGGAGTCTAAGTCTCTTTGTAGGTCCTAAGAACTTGTTTTATGAATCTGGGTGCTCCTTTATTGGCTGCACATTTTTTGAATACTTAGCTCTTCTTGTTGAATTAAATCTTTTACCATCATGTAATGCCCTTCTTTGTCTTTTTTGATCTTTGTTGGTTTAAAGTCTGTTTTGTCAGGAACTAGGGTCGCAATCCCTGTTTTTTTTTTTTTTTCCTGCTTTCCATTTGCTTAGTAAATTTTTCTATGTCCCTTTATTTTGAGCCTATCTGTGTCTTTGCATGTGAGATGGGTCTCTTGAATACAGCACACCTATGGGTCTTGGACTCTATCCAGAGTCCCATTCTATGTCTTTTAATTGGGGCATTTAGCACATTTACATTTAAGGTTAATATTGTTATGTGTGAATTTGATTCTGTCATCATGATGCTAACTAGTTATTTTGCAGGCTTGTGATGTAGTTGTTTTATAGTGTCATTGGTCTTTGTACTTCAGTGTGTTTCTGTAGTGGCTGGTAGTGGTTTTTCTTTTCTATATTTAGTGCTTCCTTTAGGAGCTCTTTCAAGGCAGGCCTGGTGGTAAATTCCCTCAGCATTTTCTTGTTTGAAAAGGATTTTATTTCTCCTTTGCTTGTGAAGTTTAGTTTGACCAGATATGAAATTCTGGGTTGGAAATTCTTTTCTTTAAGAATGTTGAATATTGGTCCCCAATCTCTTCTGGCTTGTAGGGTTTCTGCTGAGGGGTGTGCCGTTAGTCTGATGGGCTTTCCTTTGTATATGACCTGGACTTTCTCTCTGGCTGCCCTTAACATTTTTTTCTTCATTTCAACCTCAGAGAATCTGATGATTATGTGACTTGACGTTGATCTTCTCATGGAGTACTTACTGGGGTTCTCTGAATTTCCTGAATTTGAACGTTGGCCTATTTTACTAGATTGGGGAAGTTCTCCTGGATAATATCCTAAAATATGTTTTCCAACTTGGTTCCATTCTCCCTGTCTCCTTCAGGTACCCCAATCAGTCATAGGTTTGGCCTTTTTACATTATCCCATCATTCTCAGAGGTTTTGTTCAATCCTTTTCATTCTCTTTTCTCTAATCTTGTCTGCCTTTCTTACGTAAGCAAGATAGTCTTCAAGCTCTGAAATTCTTCCCTCCACTTGGTCTATTCTGCTATTTATACTTGTGGTTGCATGGTGAAGTTCTTGTGCTGTGTTTCTCAGCTCCATCAAGTCATTTATGTTCCTCTCTAAACTGGTTATTCTGGTTAACAGCTCTTGTAATGTTTTATCATGATTCTTAGCTTCTTTGCATTGGGTTAGAACATGCTCCTTTAGCTCAGTGAAGTTCATTACTACCCACCTTCTGAAGTCTACTTCTGTCAGTTCATCCATCTCAGCCTCAGCCCAGCTCTGTACCCTTGCTGGAGAGGTGTTGCAATCATTTGGAGAAGAAAAGAAAGACACTCTGGCCTTTTGAGTTTTCAGTGTTTTTTCATTGATTCTTTCTCATCTTCATGAGTTTATCTAACTTTTATCTTTGAGGCTGCTGATCTTTGGATGGGGTTTTTGTGGGGACTATTTTGCTGATGCTGTTTTTGTTATTGCTTTCTATTTGTTTTTCATTTAACAGTCAGATTGCTCTTCCATAGGGCTGCTGTGGTTTTCTAGGGGTCCACGCCAGACCCTATTTTCCTGGGTCCCTCCTGCACTTGGAGGTGTCACCAGTAGAGGTTGCAGAACAGCAAAGATGGCTGCCTGCTCATTCCTCTGGGAGCTCCATCCCTGAGTGGCACCAACCTGATACCAGTGGGAACAGTCCTGCATGAGGTGTCTGGTGAACCCTTTTGGGGGATTTCACCCAGTCACGAGGCACAGGATCAGGGACCCACTTATTGAAGCACCCTGGCTGCCCCTTGGCAAAGGGGGTGCACTGTGCTGGGGGGAATCCCACTCATCTGAAGGGCCCAGATTCCTCAGAGAGAGCAGGTGGAAAGACTAAGTCGGCTGATCCACTGAGATCACAGCCACCCCTCCCCTGAGCAGCTCTGTCCCAGGAACATCAGAGTTCTGTCTGTAAACCTCTGGCTGAAGTTGCTGAAATTCCCACAGGGAGGCCCTGCCTGGTGAGGAGAGATGGGTCCAGGTCCAGCCTAAAGAGGTAGTCTGGCCACAATCTGCCACAGCCACTGTGCTGTGCTGTGGGGAATTCCTCCTGGGTTCAAACTGCCCAGTCTCCCAGGCACCAGCAAGGGAAAATGGCAGACTGGAGCTGCAGTGATGGCTGCCGCCCTTTTCCGCAGGAACTCGGTAGCCTTAGGCAGTCTCTAGCCCAGTGGCTGCCGAGAATCTGCATAGCTCTGTGCTTGGGTCCCAAGGCCCTGGTGGTGTGGGCTCATGAGAAGATCTCCTGATCCGTGGGTTGCACAAATCCGTGGAAAAACTGGTTTCCCAGGCAGGGTAGAACAATCACTTCACCACCTCCCTTGGCTGGGAGTGGGGGCTCCTCTTGCCCATGCAGCTCCCAGGTGGGCCATTGCTCAACCCTGCTTATCCTCACTTTCTGTGGGTCACGCCAACTGCCTAGTCAGTTCCAATGAGAGAACCTGGATACCTCAGTTGCCAGTGCAGGATTCACTCGCCATTTTCGTTCTTCTCAGTGGGAGCCTCTGACCAAAGCTGTTTCTAGCCGGCCATCTTGGCCCCTCCCCCATGAGTTGGTTTTAACAAGAAGCCAGAGTTGAGAAAGTGGTATCAGCAATAATGCTTCCTGACTCTTTCCTTCTGGGAAAGAGAGGACACAACATCTGTGGTCACAGAAGAGGAAGAAAAATCAGAGAGGAGCCTGTTCCTTAGGTCCTTTCACCTCAACTTAGAATAGAAGATGTGGAGACGCAGCCTTACACTTCAGCTAACAAGGATTCCGCTTAGTAGATCCAGGGAAAAAAGCCACTAGTGAGGACCATAAATCCATCACAAATATAAGAGGAAATCCACATAGAGATGTTGTTTTGAAATGGAACTACTGGTTTCAGTACAAAATAAAATACTATGTTGCTACCAGTTAGCCTTATAAAACTATAAACCACAACAAAGATTTTTTTTAAACAAATGTTTAGCCATTTCCTCATTCAAGTGCACATTTTACACTGGCATCCTGCCCACCTATCTACCAGTGTGACCACTGGGTTATTCCTCTGAACAAAGGCCAAGGCACGAATGCCGGAGCTATAGGAGCAACATGTGAACAGGCTACTTAGGTAGACTCCTAGTGATAAAACGCTCCAAAAATGAAAGCAAAGTGTTTACATCTGGGTCACAGGTTTGGCTCTCCTTTGGCATATTAGGCTAAAAACTCAGGGAAGCAGGTTTGGTTTCTAGAGAGAATAGGCAGAGATGAAGAGAGAGATGGTGGTGGCACTAGGCAGAAGGGCCCAAGGAGAGGAAATGGAAATCTGGAGAATGAAGATGGTGAGGACTTGGAAAGATGTGCATGGCCAAAAGAGGCAGCTGAGGACAATGAGAATCAGGAAGACCCAGGAAAGAGTCAAACCAATAAGCAAGCAAAAGAAGTCTGGAGGCAACATTTGGCCAGAACAAGCAAATAAAGCACTGCTGAACAGCCATCAGGAAAACATCTTGGTGAGGAGTTGCAACGGAGGAGCGACGGGAGGTTGAGGGGAGCAACAGGGGAGTCCTATTAAGAGTTGGTGCCTTCTATACCCATATTCCTCTATGCATCCAGCTGTGGAAAAGGCAGAAAATAAATAGTCACAACTCAAAAGAAGGAAGTCTAGAGGAAATGAGCAGAACAAGATCTGGGATTCCAGCTTCCCAAATTGAGAAAGGAAACCCCTGCTCTAAAGCCAATGCTGGAGTAAGAGAAGAATCCTCAGACCACGTAGAAAAGGCGGGGGAGGAGGTAGATGAGCACTGAAGAATGAGGTCAAGGATCCTAAGCAGGACCCAAGATTAATAAAATGAACAATAGACCCACCTCACAGATAACGGTTTCACTCATTCTGCCTCTTTTGCAGCTCAGTCATCTGTCCAAAGGGAGTATCTCACACAGTGCCACTGACAAGAACAAGGGATTTGGGAGGAGAAGGAGAAACACACAAAACAGCTGTAGTACATAGATAAGAGGGAGAAACAAGGTTAAAAAGGAAAAGGAATCATCTGACTTTTTAAGTTTTATTTTGTTTATAATTGACAATAATTGTACATATTTATGGGGTACAGTGTGACATCTCAATATATGAATAATTATCTAATGATCAAATAAGAGTAGTTAGGATATCCATCACCTCAAACACTTGTCATTTATTTGTGGTGAGAACATTCAAAATCCTCTCTTCTAGACATTTTGAAATACACAATACGTTATTGTCAACTATAATCACCCTACTCTGCAACAGAACACCAGAACTTATTCCTCCTATTTAACTTCAACCTTGTTCTCGTTGACAAATCTCTCCCCAAGCTCCCCTACCTCACCTTCTTACCAGTTTCTGGTAACCACTATCACACTCTCTATTTCTATGAGATGAACTGTTTTAGATTCCACATATGAGTGAGATCATGCAGTATTTGTCCTTCTGTGCTTGACTTATTTCACTTCACGTAACATCCTCTAGTTAATCCATGATGTCACATGTGACAAGATTTTATTCTTTTTATGGCTCCATAATATTCCGTTGTGTATATATAACACATTTTTAAATCTATTCATCCATTAAAGGACACTTACGTCGCTTCTATCTCTTGGCTATTGTGAATAGTGCTGCAATAAACATGGGACTGCAGATATCTCTTTAACATACTGATTTCATTTCCTTTGGCTACATACCCAGCAGTGGGATTGCTGGGTCATATGGTAGTTCTATTTTTAATTTTTTGAAGAACCCCCATATTGTTGTTTATAATGGCTGCACTAATTTACATTCCCGCTAAAGGTGTGGAGAAAGGGAAACTCCCCTGGCTTTTGGTAGCACTGTGATGCCCATCCCCACCCCAGTCTCCTCGCCTCCTGCCCCTCCCCCATGCTGGAATTTCCCCAATCTGCCTGAGCATGGGCTCCCCTTTCTCCACATCCCCGCCAGCATTTGTTATTTTTTGACTTTTTGGTAATGCAGAGAAATTGAAAGGGTGAAATGAAAACAAAAAGAAAATGGCATTCACACAGTCAACCTTTATTTGTCTACTGCAGTAAAACTTGATGAACCTGCTTTATAGAGTAGAAGACGGCTGGGTTCTAGTATGGACTCTCCAGCATTGGCTATGTACCCTTCAGCTGGTGCCTTACCATCTCCAGTCCTAGTTTTCTCATCTCTGTGCAATATCTGGTGGCCTGAATGTAAGCAGGGGTCCTTCCCAATGCTACCACCCTGTGGGTCTACAGAACCACAAATACTTACTTCAAACACTTACCACCCCTCTTCTACTGTACCAATGAGTTCACTCTATTCTCATTCTCTAATTTGCCCACATTTAACCAAGGATAGAGACAATAAGTCATTCATGCAGTGAGGATTATAGTTAGTAATGTTGTATTGTATACTATGAATTTGCTAAGAGAACAGATTTTAGGTACTCTTTCCAAAATAATTTTTTTAACCTATGTGAGATGATTGATGATGTTAATTTGTTTGACTGTAGTAACCACTTCACTGTGTGTATCAAAATATTATGTTGTATACCTTAAATACATGTGATAAAAAAGAGAGAAGGGGAAAAAGTCACTCATGCAGGGAGATTCATGCAGTTAGAGATTCTGTACAAATTTCACTTGAAATTCCTTAATCAAAATTTAGGATACAACACAAGGTTATCTAATTTGGAATAGAATGAGGCAAAGAATTATCTCCATGGAAGCTAAAGCCTTTTTAGTTTTTACCCTCATCTTTCTAAGAAAGGAACTATGGGAGAAGCTGAAGGCATCTGTGGCAGCATAAGCAGGAGAAAGAGAAGTTCACTATTTATCATTTCAGATATTGTGTCTTCAACACATGACCTTCTCATAAACTCTGGTGTGACACAGCATTTTCCAGATGCGCCTGGTTGGTTTCTAATTCCCACCCATTTGCCTCCCTCCAGACAGACTGAATCTGACTCTCAGGGCAGCAGCCTGGGCATGCACCTAAGCACCTGAGAGGATTCCCATGCTCAGGCAGACTGGGAAAACACAGCATGGGGAAGGGGCATGAGATGAGGAGACTAAGGATGGGCATCACAGTGCGGCCAAGAGCCTGAGGATGCTGGCAGGTTACCTTGTCTCTCCACCTAGGTTTCTCATCCACAAATGAGCTCCTTGGCCATGCTTTCTGCCCAAAGGCTGAAACTCTAAGAAAGCAGGGACTGTGTCTGCCTTTTCACTGCATTATCGTCCTCTGCATTTGGCAAGTTTTCAGCAAGCACCTGTCGGATGGATGGATGGATGGATGGATGCAGGGATGGATGCAGGGATGCATGATGAATTCATGGGAGAGTTAGTGAGACAGCACATCAGATGTCTGTATACATAAGAATTGAGACATCTCATGGATGAGCATAATCTGGTCACTGTGCCTCTGGCAGAGGAGCAGCAGAGCCATCCGTAGAAGGTGTGGTGTCTGACATTCAGAAGTGTGTCCCACTAAACCCCAGCTTGACTCAACCAAGAGCCCTGTGGAAGCCCTGTGGAAGCCCCGCTCTCATCACGGGGTAGGTAGAAGCCAAAGCCAGGAAAATGCAAGTCACTCAAGTAGTCCCATTAGAACACAGAAACAAGTGAGACTTGTCATCATTTAGACTGGTACACTTAGGACCTGGCTATATCTTGATTCAAGAAAAAATCATGATGACATGAGAAGAAAGAACTATCATGAATAACACAAGATATGTTAGCAAATATTATTATCTTAGGATCTTTGCTTGAGTCAAAATATATAGGAACTCTTAGAATCAGCACAGTTTCTGGCACTTTCCACCCATGGTACACCCAGAAAGAGCCAGAGAAAACAACTCACCTTCTACTTCTCCTCAGAGAGAAAGAGAGCAAAATCCAGGGCAAATAATTGTCCTGTTTTCCAGATAGGCTCAGCAGACAGTTCCACAGACAGGAATACAAAAGGACAAAAAGCCAGGGGGGTCTTGTGGGTCTGTGGCCGGGCTGAGGCTCTCAGAAGCAGCAGGGCATGGTGCTGAACCGGCCTTCCAGGCTCCAGGGCGGTTGTCTTTACCCACTAGATGGCATCTTTGGCTAGATTATCCGCCTCGTAGTCCTTCTATATCATCTGGGAGAAGTAGGTTGGTGATTTACCTTATCACTGGGTTGTTGGAGGCATTAAATAAGTTAATGTGTATAAAGTGCCTGGCACGTAATATGGGCTTAATTGGTATAGTTATTTAGGTATTGCCAGATTTTTTTATTTTTGAGGAGTGCAGGGGTGCAATCTTGGCTCACCGCAACCTCCATCTCCCAGGTTAAGTCAGAGTGTGATTCTCTTGAGTAGCGGGGATTATAGGCATGCACCACCATGCCAGGCTTTTTTTTTTTTTTTTTTTTTGAGATGGAGTCTCGCTCTGTCACCCAGGCTAGAGTGCGATGGTGCAATCTCGGCTCACCGCAACCTCCGCCTCCTGGGTTCAAGTGATTCTCCTGTCTCAGCCTCCCGAGTAGCTGGGATTACAGGCATGCGCCACCACGCCCAGCTAATTTTTGTATTTGTAGTAGAGAAGAGGCTTCACAATATTGGTCAGGCTGGTCTGGAACTCGTGACCTCAGGTGATCCACCCGCCTCAGCCTCCCAAAGCGCTGGGATTACAGGCGTGAGCCACTGCGCCCAGCCTAATTTTTGTATTTTTAGTAGAGACAGGGTTTCACCCTGTTGGCCAAGCTGGTCTCAAACTCCTGACCTCAAATGATCCACCCACCTTGGCCTTCCAAAGTGCTGGGATTACAGGTGTAAGCCACTGCGCCCAGCATCAGATATTTTATTCATGAGAGACATTCTCACATGCTGGAAACATTGTAGGTTTAAAGCTGACATTCCTTGGTTTGAAATAAAGCTGCCATTAAAAGGCTATTTTGTATTTGGAAAATTACTTAACCATTATTTTAAATAACACTGCTTAATACATAGGGTTTAAATTTGGAATAACGTAAAAGAAAATAACTCAGGCACCCATCACACATGACAGGAGATCCAGTATTCTCCTCAATGTATTGGGTTTGTCTGTAGTTAACAGAAAATCCAGTGGTTAAAACAAGATAAAACTTTGATAGAAGTTTATTAATCTCTAATATTAAATCCAGATTTAGCTGCCCAGGGTTGGCCTAAACAGCCCCCTATGAAGATGTTTCAAAACCAACAATTTACTCCTGTCTGCAACAATAAAATACCAAGGAAAAGAAAAGGAGGATGCTCAACAGGTAAATCTCTCTGAGACTTCCAAGGACTCCAGTGGAGGGAAGAAGAAGTGGAGATGGAGGGAGCTACTATTCTGCAGCCAATTCAATCCCCAATCCCCTTTGCCTGCCTGCCACTTGTCCTACATATTTTGGACCACGTGCTTGCCCCTCTTAAGCCAAATAGAGAACAACCTCCCCGCAATGCCAGAGAACCACAAATGCAAAACTATTATAGCAGACCTTTGCTGAAGATCGGGACAAATCTAAGGTACTTGCATCAAATAAGAAGAAATAAAATATAACACAGACCTCATTATTCTTCAATTCATCAGTCAATAATTGCTGGAAAATTCCTTACCCAGTCCTCTTCCTCTTGGGTCCCTGGCTTGCTGCCATTTCTCTCGCTCTGCTAAGACCTTCTCTCCATTCTTTCTTTCCCAAGTTCAGGACCCCAATCTTCTCCCTTTCTTCTTAGACTACTTTGAGGTAAGGTAAAATGTCTATGGCTAATTATATACAACAGAAACAAGGCCAAAGGCTGGCAAATATAAAGGAGAGGATTCCAGAGAGGGTGGCTTTCACTCAGAGAAAATAAAGATTATTTAAAATATGGTCTCTTAAGATAAGCAGACCCATGTGGGAACATCTTTCTGCAAAGAGAGAAGCCACAACAAATCTCAGGGGTTACACCCAGCTGCCCTGCTTAGACAGGATGCAAGCTACAGACTTTCTCAATTTATCCTGGCAAAAGAGGCACTCATGGGAGGAGACAGGACAAGGGCAGCTCAACTGGAAGTGGTAGCCTAGGCTGATGAAACTTTGTTTCTCTGTGGTCTGCCTGGCTCCCTTTCACTGCTGCTTCCAGCCAAGTAGGGACTCCATTTTCCTCTTGCTCCTTCCCAGCATTTCTTCTACTTTTTCCTATTTTCTGCCTCCTCGACACTTTCGTTAGATGGGCCATTTTCACTACAAATTGACAATCTCTTTCTGTATTTTTGTTCCAGTGTCCAAGAGGGAGAATCTGAGACCCACTTTCCTGAGGTCATCCAATCCCCTCCCATCTTATCAGGGGTATGGTATGGCAGCTGTGGCAGAGGGATGGAGGAGAGGAGACACCAGAGGGAAAAAAAAAACGCAAATCCTGTTCACCCAGGAGGTCAACAATGGAAGGAATACAGAGGAGAAAGCACCAGGAGGGTGTAGCAGGCATACCCCGAGATGAAGAGGGGTTTGGGCGAAGTTGGATGTGCAAACAACTCAACCCCACCATGACATGAAGGAGGCCACCGTGTGAGCACAGGGCCTGGAACAATGGGTGTAATGAGTTACTGCCACGTCAGAGAAATTGGTTGCTCCTGTTGATATGGTTTGACTGTGTCCCCACCCAAATCTCATCTTGAATTGTACTTCCCATAATCCCCACATGTTGTGGGACGCACCCGGTGGCAGGTAATGGAATCATGGGTGGTTGCCTCCATGCTGTTCTCATCATAGTGAGTTCTCATGGGATCTGATGGTTTTCTAAGGGGCTTTTCCCCTTTTTCTCAGCACTTCCTTTTGCTGCCATCATGTGAAGAAGGATATGTTTGCTTCCCTTTCCACCATGATTGTAAATTTGCTGAGGCCTCCCCAGCCATGCGGAACTGTGAGTCAGTTAAACCTCTTTTCTTTATAAATCACCCAGTCTCAGGTATGTCCTTATAGGAGCCTGAGAACAGACTAATACACCTGTCAATGCCAAAATGATATATTTTGGTGGATTTAAAATTAGCAAAGCCAGCCTGCCCAACCACAAACACCTCCATCTCAGGCACATGGTACTGCTTTAAATAAATATCAGTAGGACATGAAAGGTTGGGTCTGAAAAGTCATCACCTACCTAACTTCCTCAGATTCCTACCTTTTTTTATATTAATCTTGAAGCTTGCTCTCCCTATCTAATTTTGTATAGATTTAGGAATGTTAAAGTGTGTGGATAGGCTGATGCTATAGGTTGCTTCTAGGGGAGGAATCTGCCAAGAGATACTGACCCCTGACCCTAGTCATAGACTGTTCTCACTTCACGGTAAGTCAATAAAATGATAGCTTTCCTGTTTGAGGGATGCCCAAATTCTTTGCAAAATCTAATTACAAGTCTGAATAGGCAGTAAAATTTGTTCTTGCTATTTATATAATTGTAAACTTTAACTCAGAAATGGACATTATAAGCTGTTCTCAGAGTATCCAAAGATCAGGTTGGCACCAACAGGTCCCGAGTAAGTCAGGTTTTCTTCACCCCTCCCTGTGTCCCTCTGGGGACCGAGCACGTCCAGGGAGCAAGGAGCAGACCAGTCAGCAAAATGTAAAACCTGTCTTAACCTGGAAGGTGGGGCTGTCTTATCCACATTTGGCTCCACCTCTGAGCTAACTTCTGATTAAAGCTGATCTAAGGAAAGGACTGTGGTCTTCTGTGTGTTGGGAGTCCCCTGGTCATGGCAGCCTACCCACACTGTGGCATCTTTAGATCTATACAAAGTCAGATGGGGGGACTTTGAAGATCTATACAAAGTCAGATGGGGGGGCTTTGAGATCAATCGGAGGCTTCTATGGCCATGGATGCTGTGAGGCAGGTGAAAAAGAGATTAAGGACACTAGCCTAAGATAATACTTCTAATAACGAGAACTAAAAATATTAATAGTATTAATAATGAGTATTAAAAGTATTAATACTTTTAATAATGAGTATTACAGGTTCACAGCTGACTCTGTAGACCTAGTGCCAGATACTGGAGAGGAAAGGAGGAATCAGACACAGCCCCTACCCTCGAGGTGCTTCTGTGGGGAGACACAGAATGAACTATAAGTCTCGTTCTTGCTTTTATTTTCTCTCTGATCACTGGGCATTGAAATGGTTAGGCAACATGCAGAATTCTAATTTTACGTAACCCAATGTGAGTACTAAAATCTTTTGACACCAAGTCCTGTGTTACTAAGGATTGTCTTAAAACAGAACTTTGGAATTGCAACACACATTCTCACATATAACTGTTTTGTTTTGAAAACATCAGGAAGGGGGAGCATGTGGCAATTTGCTGGTCTCTCCTTACAGAGAAATGAATATGAGTCTTCTCACCACGTTTTGGGTCTGTTTCTTAATGCACAATTTCATGATTTCGATAAATAAGCATATGCCTTAGGAGCTGAGGAGAGTATAAAGGTGAGAAGCTTCTAGATTCTGCCCTTAAGGAGCTCAAACTCTGGACCCAGAAATAGCAAACTAATACTGCTTGGAGTAACATCATGGCTGTGGGAGCCAGGCTAAACTCCACCTAGGGAAAATGCCTTGGTCTCAAAGACAAAATTCCACCTAGCTCTCCACTTAGAGCAGAGGTTTCCAACTAGTGGCTTTTAGGTTGAATATGGCTTGCAGATGTGCTGTTTTTAAAAAATTTTGAATTAGTTGTCAACATGTAAAAGTCAGGAGATGTTCCATAAACTCCCAATTTCTGGCACCAATGGCACCCAGAGCTCCATGGCCTCCTGCTATAAATGGGGCTGGCACTCACCAGATGCCAACAAGTTCACTCCACCTGCTTACTGCCCTGCCCCTGCAGGCATTGGGGTTGCGACTCTAACAAACTATGTGGCTCAGAGTTCGTGATTGAAATGCATAAATCCTATCTAGAAGGACACAGACTTTAACAGGACCCATGCAGGAAAGGGGATCCAAAGCCTTGGAGCCAGGGAATTGTGCCAGCCAGTGGAGGCACACTACTGAATAATAATCTTCAGATTAATAAAATCACCCGTTTCCATGTACTTTATTTTATTTTATTTCAGATTTTTGTTTCCCTTTAATAAAGTTAGTTTTGAAAAACTTTCTCAACTTAAGTTAGAGAAAGGCAAATTTGGTATGATGATAGCCATTAAGGAGAAAATGCAGAGATAAAGGAGTGATCAAACTTCGTCAGGAGAAAGTGCTGAAGTGCAGTTGCTCTGCTGACCCATCCTCACACACAAACCACAGGCTCTTCTTAGAGGTCTTTTCTTTTTTTTTTTTTGAGATGGAGTCTCGCTCTGTCACCAGGCTGGACTGCAGTGGCTCAATCTCGGCTCACTGCAACCTGCGCCTCCCGGGTTCAAGTGATTCTCCTGCCTCAGCCTCCTGAGTAGCTGGAACTACAGGCTCCCGCCACCAGGACCGGCTAATTTTTTGTATTTTTAGTAGAGACGGGGTTTCACCATGTTAGCCAGGATGGTCTCGATCCCCTGACCTCGTGATGCGCCCGCCTCAGCCTCCCAAAGTGCTGGGATTACAGGCGTGAGCCACCGCACCTGGCCAACAATGTTTTATGGTTTCATTTCTTAATATTTATTCTTTTCAATGCTATAATAAATGGAATTATTTTCTCAATTGAATTTTTGGATTGTTCATTATTAGTGTAAAGAAATATGAATTTTTGTATATTGATCATGTAATCTGCAACTTTGCTAAATTTATTTATTAGCTCTAATAGTTCTGAAGGGATTCATTAGGGTTTTCTGTATACAGTCGTGCCTTGCATAATGATGGGGAAATGTCTGAGAAATGTGTCATTAGACAATTTTGTCACTGAGTGAACATCATAGAGTGTACTTACATAAACCTGGATGGTATATCCTTCTCCATTACATAGCTCCATTATAATCTTATGGAACCACTCTCATATATGCAGTCCATTGTTGACCAAAATGTCATATGGCTCATGACGATATAAGATCATGTCATATGCAAATAGAGATAGTTATACTTCCTCCCTTCCAATCTGGATATCTTTTTCTTATGCAAGTTTTGTGACTAGGGCCTCAAGTGCAATGTTGATTAGAAATAGTGAGAGCAGACATCCTTGCCTCATTCCAGATTTTAAAAGCAAATATCTCTCTTTCACCATAAGTATAATGTTACCTGTGGGACTTTCATAAGTGCCCTTTATAAGAATCAACAAGTTCCCTTCTATTCCTACATGGGTGAGTGTTTTTATCATGGAAATATGTTGGATTTTGTAATGTGACTAACAGATCTGCATTCATTTCCTATGGCTGCAAAACCCTCAACAAATTAACACAAACTTGGTGGCTGAAAACAATACATATTTACTCTTTTACAGAGGCCAGACATGTAAAATCAGTTTCACTGGGCCGAGATCAAGGTTGCAACAGGGCTGGGCTCCCTCCAGAGGCCCTAGGAGACAATTTGTACCTTGCCTCTTCTAGCTTGTGGTAGCTACTGGCATACCTTGTCTTGTAGCCACATCACTCTAATCTGCCTCCATGGTCACACTGCCTTCTTATTTTCTGTGGACAAATCTCTGTCTCCCTCTTATAAGGATACATGTGATTGCACTTAGTGACCACCCAGAATCCAGGAAAATCTTCTCAAGATCCTTAATTTAATCACATCTTCAAACTCCTTTTTGGCACACAAGGTAGTATTTTCAGGTTCCAGAGATTAGAACATGGAAATCTTTAAGAAGACCATTATTCAGTCTAGAACATCTTCTATTACTAATTTGTTTTATTTTGTTCATGAAAAGATGTTGGATTTTGTCAATTGCTTTTTCTACATTGATTAAGAAAATTACGTGTTTTCAAATTATTAATAATTCTGTTAATATTGTACATTACATTGATTTTGATATGTTGAATCAATCCTGCATTCCTGGAATAAATCCCACTTCATCATGGTGTATAATCATTTCTCTGTGCTGCTGGATTCAGTTTATTTTTTTTTTTTTTGAGGATTTTGCATTTATATTAATAAGGAATATTGGTCTATAGTTTTCTTTGCACGTTATGTATTTCTCTGGCTTTGGTATTAGGGTAATGTTGGCCTTATAGAATGAAGTAGAAAGTGTTCTCTCTCTTTCTAATTTTTGGAAGAGTTTGAGAAGAATTGGTGTTTATTCTGTGAATATTTGGTAGAATTCTCTATTGAAGCCATCTGAACATGAGTTTTTTTCTTTGTTGGAAGTTGTGTCATGACTGACTTCTTTGCTTATTATAGATTTATTTAGATTTTCTATTTCTTCATTAGTCAGTTTCAGGAGGATGTGTGTTTCTAGCAATTTGACCATTTAATCTAGGTTATTTAACTTGGCACAAAATTTTTCATAGTTTTGGTTATTTGAGTCTTCCCTCTTTCTTTCTTGGTCAGTCTCACTAAAGACCTGTCAATTTTGTTGATATTTTCAAATAACCAAATTTTGGGGTCATTGATTCTATTGTTTTTCTATGTTCTATTTCATTTATCTCCACACTAATCTTTAATATTTTCTCCCTTCTTCTTGCTTTAGGTTTAGTGTGC
The DNA here is from genome assembly GCF_000001405.40 of Homo sapiens. Lineage (NCBI taxonomy): Eukaryota > Metazoa > Chordata > Mammalia > Primates > Hominidae > Homo > Homo sapiens. The sequence goes on from NC_000002.12 coordinate 108,357,688, forward strand.
TCTTGTTTTTCTAATTTCCTATGGTAGAAAGTTAGGTAATTCGATTTGAGATCTCCCTTTTTAATGTAGGAATTTATAGCTATAAATTTCCCTCTGATCACTACTTTTCCTGCTTCTCATAAGTTTGAGTATGTTGTGTTTTCAGTTTCTTTTATAGTACAGTATTTTCTAATTTCCCTTGTGAATTTCTCAGTGACCCATTGGTTATTCAAGAGTGTGTTGTTTAATTCGCACATACTTGTAAATTTTCCAAATTTCCTTCTGTTATTGATTTCTAATTTCATTTTATTGTGGTTGGAGAATATATTTACCTGGTGTCAATCCTTTTAAATTTACTGAGGCTTTTTTTGTGATCTATCATACAGTCTATCTTGGAGAATGTTCCATGTGCACTTGAGAAGAATGTGCATCATGTTGTTGGCTAGAGTGTTCTATAGATATGTTAGGCCTAATTGGTTTACAGTGTTTTTCAAGTCTAATTTTTTTTTAACTAATCTTCTATCTAGTTATTATGTTAATTACTGGAAATAGAATATTGAAGTCTCCAACTATCACTGTTGAACTGTCTTTTTCCCTAAATTATGTCAGGTTTTGCTTCATGTATCTTGGGGCTCTGTTGTTAGGTGCAAATATATATATATTTTTTGTTTGTTTGTTTGTTTTTGAGACGGAGTCTCGCTCTGTCGCCCAGGCTGGAGTGCAGTGGCGCGATCTTGGCTCACTGCAACCTCCACCTCCCAGGTTCACGCCATTCTCCTGCCTCAGCCTCCTGAGTAGCTGGGACTACAGGCGCCCGCCACCATGCCCAGCTAATTTTTTGTATTTTTAGTAGAGATGGGGTTTCATCGTGTTAGCCAGGATGGTCTCCATCTCCTGACCTCATGATCTGCCCTCCTCGGCCTCCCAAAGTGCTGGGATTACAGGTGTGAGCCACCGCGCCTGGCTCTATTTTTCCTTTTCTACACCTGCGCTCCACACACTTCTGTGACCAGGGATTGAAGGGATGTCAGGGAATACTCTGACACCAGCAAATGGACACCAAAAGTGAGCAGGGTAGCTATTCTTGTATCAGACAAAACAAACGTGAAAGCACAGCAGTTAAAAGAGACAAAAAGGGACATTATGTAATGGTAACAAGCCTTATCCAACAGGAAAATATCACAATCCTAAACATATATGCACCTAACACTGGAGCTCTCAAATTTATAAAACAACTACTAATAGGGTTAGTAAATGAGATAGACAGCAACACAATAATAGTAAATGAGATATACAGCAACACAATAATAGTTGGGGACTTCAATACTCCACTGACAGCACTACACAGGTCATTAAGACAGAAAGTCAACAGAGAAACAATGGATTAAAAATATACTTTGGAACAAACGGACTTAACAGATATATACAGAACATTTCATCCAACAACCACAGAATACACATTCTATTAAACAGTGCATGGAACTTTCTCCAAGGTTAGACCATATAATAGGCAAAAAAATGAGCTTCAATAAATTTAAGAAAATTGAAATTATATCAAGCATTCTCTCAGACCACAGTGGAATAAAACTGGAAATCAACTTCAAAAGGGACCTTCAAAACCAAGCAAATACATGGAAATTAAATAAACTGCTCCTGAACAAGCATTGCATCAAAAAAGAAATCAGCATGGTAATTTAAAAATTCTTCAAACTAAACAACAATAATGACACAACCTATCAAAACCTCTGGGATACAACAAAGGCAGTGCTAAGAGGAAAGTTCATAGCCATAAATGCCTACATCAAAAAGACTGACAGAGCACAAACTGACCTTCTAAGGTCACACCTCAAGGAACTAGAGAAATAAGAACAAACTAAATCCAAACCCAGAAAAGGAAATGAAATAACCAAGATCAGCACAGAACTAAATGAAATTGAAACAAAGAAAAACAATACAAAAGATAAATGAAACAAAAAGCTAGTTCTTTGAAAAGATACATAAAATTGATAGACCATTAGCAAGATTAACCAAGAAAAGAGAAGGCCGGGTGTCATGGCTCATTCCTGTAATCCCAGCACTTTGGGAGGTTGAGACAGGCAGATTACCTGAGGTCAGTAGTTAGAGACCAGACTGGCCAACATGGTGAAACCCTGTCTCTACTAAAAATACAAAAATTAGCTGGGCATGATGGCAGGTGCCTGTAATCCCAGCTACTCGGGAGGCTGAGGGAGGAAAGTCACTTGAACCCGGGAGGTGGAGATTGCAGTGAGCTCAGATTGCGCCATTGCACTCCAGCCTGGGCAACAAGGGCGAGACTTCATTAAAAAAAAAAAAAAAAGAGAGAGAGAAAATCCAAATTACCTCACTAAGAAACGAAATAGGAGATATTACAACTGACACCACTGAAATATAAAATATCATTCAAGGCTATTATGAACACCTTTATGCACACAAACTAGAAAACCTAGAAGAGATGGATAAATTCCTGGAAAAATAAAACCCTCCTAGCTTAAATCAGGAAGAATTAGATACCCTGAACAGACCAATAACAAGCAGCAAGATTGAAATGGTAATTTAAAAATTAACAACAAAAAACAGTCCAGGGCCAGATGGATTCACAGGAGAATTCTACCAGACATTCAAAGAAGAATTGGTACCAATCCTTTTGAGCCTATTCCACAACACAGAGAAAAAAGAAACCCTCCCTAATTCATTCTATGAAGACAGCATCACCCTAAATAACAAAACCAGGGAAGGACATAACCAAAAAAGAAAACTACAGACCAATATCCTTGTTGAACATAGATGTTAAAATCCTTAACAAAATACTATCTAACCAAATCCAACAACATATCAAAAAGATAATCCACCATGATCAAGTGGGCTTCACACCAGGGATGCAGGGATGGTTTAATATATGCAAGTCAATAAATGTGATACACCACATAAACAGAATTAAAAACAAAAATCACATGATCATCTTGATAGATCCAGAAAAAGCATCCAACAAAATTCATCATCCCTTCATGATTAAAACTCTCAGCAAAATTGGCATAGAAGGGACATACTTCAATGTAATTAAAGCCATCTATGACAAATCCACAGCCAATCTAACACTGAATGGAAAAAAAGTTGAAAGCGTTCTCTCTGAGAATGGGAATGAGACAAGGATGCCCATTCTCACCACTCCTCTTCAACATAGTACTGGAAGTCCTGGCCAGAGCAATCAGACAAGAGAAAGAAATAAAGGGCATCCAAATCGGTAAAGAGGAAGTCAAACTGTCACTGTTTGCTGATGATAGGATTGTTTACCTTGGAAACCCTTAAGACTCCTCCAGAAAGCTCCTTGGTACTTCAGAATATGTTAGATCTTGACCTGCCAGGGTGTGTCCAGAGGAAGGTAACTGAAGTGACAGGGATCTTAAAATTATGTAGCATAAGAAACATTTAAAGAATCTTGGAAAAAAGTAGACTTGGGGAAGATATAATTCTTCAACTGTTTAAAAAGTTGTCATGAAAAGCAGAATGAGCTTATTCTATATGGCTCCAATGAACAAGAGGTGGACAATGGATGGATGCTGCAGTGAGGAGTTTAGCTCAGGATAAGAAAAAAGTTCTAAAAATAGAGCTGATAAAAATGGAATAGACAACCTGTTAGGTGGTGATAACTAGGCTGAAAAAGTATAACAGCAACTATAGAGATGTGGTAGAGGAGATTCTTACACCATCTGGGAAGTAGGACTAGGATTAGAACACTTGCAAATGTCCTTTCCAACTCTAAGGTTTAAGATTCTGGACTCTGGCTCCCATCTTCCCCCACTCCAACTTTTTTTTGTTTTTTTTTGGCTTTTTTTTTTTCACTATAGTTAGAATGATTTGTCTAAATCAGAACTCTGATTTTCTCACTTTTCCACTTAAATCCCTTCAGTAGCTTGCCATTTTCCTTAGGATGAAGTTAAAATGCTTCAGCATGACCCTACTCCTTCAGTCTATTCCTCTTGCTTCCCACCTACCACCACCACTGGTGGATCACCTCTGCATCATTACATACCTTTCTCCTACCTCAAGAAAATAGAAAAATAAGAGTACACCAAACCTAAAGCAAGAAGAAGGGAGAAAATAGTAAAGATTAATGTGGAGATAAAAGAAATAGAACATAGAAAAACAATTGAATCAGTGACCCCAAAAGTTGGTTCTTTGAAAGTATCAACAAAATTAACAAACCTTTAGAGAGACTGACCAAGAAAAGTAGAGAAGATTCAAATTACTAACACCAGAGATAAAAGAGATACCACATCTTTCATACTACTGAATTCACAGAAATAAAAGGATTAGAAGAGAAAACTATGAACAAATTTATACCAAGCTAGATAACCCAGAAGAAATGGCCAAATTGCTAGACATACACATGCTACTGAAACTGACTCACGAAAAAATAAAAAACCTAAATAAATCTATCATAAGCAAAGAAAAAGTCAGTAATGACACAACTTCCAACAAACTCATGTTCAGAGGGCTTCACTAGTGAATTCTAACGAATAATCACAGAATTAGCAACAATTATTCTCAAACTCTTTCAAAATTAGGGCCAGGCTCAGTGGCTCATGCCTGTAATCCCAGCACTTTGGAAGGCCGAGGTGGGCGGATCACCTGATGTCAGGAGTTCGAGACCAGCCTGGCCAACTTAGTGAGACCCCATTTCTACTAAAAATACAAAAATTAACTGGGCCTGGTGGTGTGCGCCTGTAGTCCCAGCTACTCAGGAGGCTGAGGCAGGAGAATCGCTTGAACCTGGGAGGCAGAGGTTGGACTGAGCCGAGACTGTGCCACTGCACTCCAGCCTAGGTGACAGAGCAAAACTCCATTCTGAAAAAAAAAAAAAAAATTAGAACAGGACCCATCCCTGGATGAGTCAGCTGGTAATGACTCAGGGAAGGCAGAGCTTACTTTCAGCTTCTCTAGATGGCTGGACTCCTGTTTTTGCTCTGAATTTAAATGGGACAGGTGGCTAGGCTCTGCTATCTGGCAAAACTACTGGCTGAGCTCTGCCATCAAGCCGAGCCAGTCAATTGGCACTACAATGGCTTCTAATCAAGCAGGGCCACAGGGTGTATTCCCTGGTCAGATGGTACTGATATTTGAGTTCAGCAGCTAAATAGTGTTGCAGGAGGGACCCTGAGGTTAGGTGGAGTCACTGATTGGGATGGATGGAACCAGCTGCTATGCTTAATAGCAATGGATGGTTGAGGTTTGCTGCCCTGCCTAAATGAGTCCTTGGGGTGGGCTTTGAGGTTGGGCTGAGAACTGTTTAAACTCCTGTGTGTGGCAGATCTAGCCTTGGCTCTTTGCCAAAGTTTGCTGCATCAGTTGTCCCCCTCTGTGGGTGGGGTTTGGGGATGGGCTTTGAGGATGCTTCAAATGCTGTTTGAACTTCTGGGTGTGGCAGAACTAGTCCCTACCCTTTACTGAAATTTGCTGCAGTGATCATCTTCCTCCTTAAGTGGAATCCCTGGGTAGGGTCTAAGGCGAGTCATGGAGGCTGACCATCTAGGGACTCAAGCTAGGTAGAGCATTACATCACATCTGTTAGCTGGTACCTCTGATTGGGCGCCACCACTGACAGGTACACAGAGTTACCACCAATACTGCTTTGTTACCACCTCCTTGCTTTGTTTCTACCTCACCCCAAGTGTTCTAGCCACGCTGTTTCCCACTGTATTTCCCATGAAGTAAAACTGGAATGGGCTTTCTGGGAAGCATCTCAGAAGACTAGGGAAGTTGGATGTCCTCCTCTGGCTCTACTTCTCACTGTAGAAATCATGGGTCCTGGGGAATCCCCTCTGTGTGGCACTGTGCCAATTTGGGGGAGTGGAAAGGGTGACATGGTTAATGTGAGACTATTTCTATTATCTCTTTAATGTCGTTTTTATTCAGTTCTGTGGACAATGCAGGAAACTCCAGCTTATACCCAAAGTTTGGGATTTTTACCAAGGTGTTCTTTGTTGTCAGTTGAACTTTCTGTTGGCAGTAGTGAAGCCTGGGACCTCCTATTCTGCCATTTTGCTGATATCATCTACCTGCAGCTTTTAAAGTGTTTCACTACAGTTTCCTGAAAACCACTTCTGCTTTGGTCTTCATGATATTTTCACTGCCTTGGCTTTCAAAGCTTCGTGCTAGCTTCTCCTTTTCTCCTTTTTCCATGAAGCTGGCTTCTAAACCGGCTCTGTTAGCAACATCTACTTTTCTTTCCACAGTCAGTCAGTCATAAAATCCTGTCTGTTTTTCTTGTGTCCTGTCTTTTGAATCTCTCTTTCCTTTCAATTCCACTGTCAAAAGTCAAATCCAGGCCCTCACTGACTCGTGCCTTAACAATTGTCTTTTCATTGGCTCTCCTTCCTCCAAGGTTTTTCTCCAATTCTTTGAAAAGCTTATTGTCTTAAGCACTGCCTTGTTGCCTTTTTCCTGCCCAAAAACTTTAATGTTCAGGCACCCAAGAGTGTCTGATTACTGCTATGTCCCCAAAATATATATAACTACCACTTATCAATTTAAAATATAAATAAATAAGCTTCAGGAAGACTTAGTTGAATAGGAAACATTCTTGGATTTTTTTCTCATATTCATAGTTCTTTAGTGATTCTGATAAAAGAACCTATAGAGAGAAAAAGTAAGCACCCGAAAACAACCAAAAGTTGTTCTCACTTAGAGGATACCTCAGAATCCTAATCCTGTTATCCTTCATTATCTAATTCTCTTAAGTCTGCTTTTAATAAGAAAGATTTGCAAATTCTCATCCCCTAAAATGTTATTTTCCAATATATGCAATTTTTCTAACATGAATCACTTCTTTTCCCTTCATTTGACCATGGCAGTAATCTAAAGGAGAGGACAGAGGAAGAAAAGCAAGGGGAATCTCAGATCTGTTTTACTATTTGCTAATATGTAGAAAATGAAATAAGTAGAGGTTCCTCTTCAAAGGTACTTTCCTCCAAGTCTAATTGAGAATGGATAGTAACCTCTCTTAGAAGCAAAATTTAGTCAAAGTCCTGTGCTAATATTCTTAAACATCTGCTAGCCATAATAAAGAAATCAATATACTCTGTGTTCTCAGCTCCCACATTCTAGCCTAGATATTTGCCCTGGCATGCCTGAACCGGTCCAAGCAAGCATTAGGTCATAACCAATTTCTCTTCCTTATTTGGAAGTGTTTTTGCCTCTCTCAGCATTCCGCAATTTGCCTGTTTTGGGAAGTTCTAAGTTGCTAGCCAATCAAGTGGAGTACAGAATGTGAGGTCCTGTTCCAGCCAAAGGAAACCAGACACAGCAGTAGGGTGGACACGTCAGGTTATAAATGACCCCGTCTCCTTTGTTCATGTGTGCTCTCATGGCAAGACTGCCAGAGAACAGCACCCTTTCTGCAGAAAGTAAACTAGCCTTGCTGAGAGATCCTTTGTCTCAATGTTGATTTTTGCGACACCGAGCACCCATTCCCAACATAATACAATCATTAAAATTAGACTTACAGATTTTCTGCAAATTTCTAGTTATCTTTGCTAGCCTTGCTCCTTATTCCCACTTATAATCTAGTTTTTCTGTTCATCTTTTGCTAAAATTGCCATTATAGATTTCACTTTTTACTACAGAAAGTTTCTCTAACTAATATTTTATAGATAATTAACGTACCTTGATTTTTTTTTCTTATATCCCATCAGGAATCACTTGGACATGAGATTATAGATATGGCACAGAATAATGAAAATACTGGAAAAAGACAAGCTCCCATTCAATCTCAGCATTCAGTGCTTGAGTGGGTAAGACCAGTCCACTTCGGTATCTGATGCAAGCAGTTTCCCATACAAAATCATCTGATTTATAAGTAACTCAGCCACAGGAACCAGCAAGGAAATCTTTCACACCCTGAATCCACGCCCCAGTCAGAACACCTAGAAATGACCAGCATCCATTACTTTTTACCCTTCTTCAGCGAATGCAAAGGAGTAACTCATATATGGAAGTGTCTTATCAGCTGTAGATACTAACTTGAACAACCAAGGGACTGGTATTTGTTGTTTATTTAATAAATTTTCTGACCCATTCCTTCCACAAAGCAAAAGGAGATATTTATCTCCAGTGTTCGAAGTTGGGAGATAGAATGCATCTGCCACAGAAACAGTTCCGTGACTTGCAGCACTTGAAATGTTAGTATTTGTTAGTGTTTGGGAAGTAGGCATGAGTTAAATGAACATTAAGATAGATGATCAGGATCTTAGCCCTACCACTCAAGCTATGTAACCTTGGACAAGTAACTTAATCTTAGCAATCCTCATTACTAAGAAATAAATACAACCAGGAATCGTGGTGCATGCCTGTATTCCAGCTACTCAGGAGACTGAAGTGGGAGGACTGCTTGAGCCCAGGAGTTTCAGACCAGCCTAGGCAACACAGTAAAACCCCATCTCTACAAAGAAAATAAAATAAAATAGCCAGGCACGGTAGCTTGCACCTGTAGTCCCAGCTACTTGAGAGGTGAGGCAAGAGAATGGCTTGAGCCCAGGAGTTTGAGACAAGCCTGGGCAACATAGCGAGACCCTGTCTCAAAAAAAGAGAAGAAGAAAGAAAGAAAGAATGCTCCCCAAATGTCAGATTTCAAAATGTGTGATAAATGCAAGTGAGGTTGGGCAAGAGGCTTCTCCCACTCTAGTAGTGGAACTGGAGGCTGTGCTTGAGGAGGGGTTGGTGTAGGGTCAGAGGCTATGGAGTGGGCTCAAGGGGGCAGCTGGCATCCTGGAGTGCCATGGTACCAGCAACCCACAGACTCACTGAGCCCAAGCCACAAGAGCAGGCCATAGGCCAGGACACAGAGAAGGCCCCGTGGCAATGATGGCCTGGTAGCTGAAATCCCCTTCTCTAAGGAAGCTGGATGAGGGTACCAGAGACCATCCACCACAATATGTCTTTAAAGAAAACTGAATGGCTTAAGGTGGCATTTGGCTCTCTGAATCAAGATGATGTCTTAACAAAAGCCAGAGAAGTTACTGCTATTTGAGCAGCAGCTCATATGCTGGTAGCAGAATAGCTTAACTCAGCAATGTAGTAAGAAATGAAATATATGATTAAGAAGAAAACCATTGTGGCCGGGTGCATTGGCTCATGCCTGTAATCCCAGCACTTTGGGAGGCCAAGGCGGGTGGATCACCTGAGGTCAGGAATTTGAGACCAGCCTGGCCAACAATAGTGAAACCCCATCTCTACTAAAAATACAAAAAAAAAAAAAAAACTAGCCAGGTGTGGTGGTGGGTGCCTGTAATCCCAGCTACTCAGGAGGCTGAAGCAGGAGAATCACTTGAACCCAGGAGGGGGAGGTTGTGGTGAGCAGAGATTGCACCATTGTACTCCAGCCTGGGCAACAAGAGCAAAACTCTGTCTCAAAAAAAAAATAAAAATAAAAAAATAAGAAAACCATCTGTGGCTCTCACACATCAATAGAGAGGTATGACTCAATTCAATTTTTTTTAGAAAGGTGCAAAATGTGTCTTAAATGGCTTCTAAACAAGTTAGTGACTCACCTGTGTGGAACTTTCTGGAAAACATTTTAAAATCTCATGCAGCAACTCCTCTATGTTCTAACCCACTTGTAACATATGGAAATAGTGCGGTTCTTTCTCCTAGTGTTGTCTTGAAATAAATCATTAATGCTGTCTCTAAATGAAGCAGAGGCCAGGTTTCCCAGGTGTATTTAATTTTTTGAGGACAGTGTCTTCCGTAAAACCAAAGAAGGAAAAGCATTTCACCGGTGAGGCAAATCAGACTAGGTCACACTATCAATGATCTGTCATCACTGGAATCTTCAGCCTGGGCATCCTCCATATACAAACAGCAATGATTTGCCATGTTCAAAGAGCAGAAGACCATGATGTTGAAAATGAGAAAGTCAAATAAAGAACACCTTGAAAAGAAAGTATGAGTTGTAAAAAGCATGCCAAGGCTGGGGAGCTCAGCTGGTAGACAACAGAGTTTAACTTCAGCCTTGACTTCTTGCCATGTATCAAGTGCAGCGTTAGTTTCAAGTACAACACATAGAATCATCATGTAGCAGAGTACATCTGGAATTCTTCCAGAGCAGTGAGAAGTTTATTTGCACTGGAACTAGTAAATATCATATCTTCACCCTTAAAAATAATCAGGAATAAAGCGTGATGAAAATGAATGGGAAACTTCTCATTTTTCTCTTATGTATCTGCTGTAATTTTCTATAAATAACATTCCAAAAGAAAAAATACAATGAATGTCAGAAATGCATAAGCATTGTCAGGAAGCATATGAAAATAGCATATGTCAGGAAGCAAAACAGGATCTCAGTCACTATAGTAGCTGCTGTATTATTTTTGGCATGTCTTTCTATATGGATGTGGAATTTAAACAAAGAAAGAACTAGAACATAGGCAAATATCACAGTGTAAATGGTATATTGTGGTACACCTTTTTTTGTTTTTTTGAGACAAAGTCTTGCTCTGTTGCCCAGGCTGGAGTGCAGTGTCACACTCTCAGCTCACTGCAACCTCCGCCTCCTGGGTTCAAGCAATTCTCCTGTCTCAGCCTCCTGAGCAGCTGGGATTACAGGCATGCGCCACCATGACCAGCTAATTTTTGTATTTTTAGTAGAGACGGGTTTTACCATGTTGGTCAGGCTGGTCTCGAACTCCTGACCTCAGGTGATCCACCCGCCTCAGCATACCAAAGTGCTGGGATTACAGGTACAAGCCACTGCGAATGGCCAGCTGGTACAAATTTAAAGCATTGCCTCTCCCCAGGACGTTGATCTGGCACACCAGTTCCAACAGGCCGGCACAGATCCTTTGATCACCTGAGTGATCACATTAATATTCTACCTTTTTGACCTAACATGTGGCATCCATTGCCCCAAAACTAGATTAGAGCTTGACTCTTTTTGAAGCAATCTGAAATCAATTGTTTTAAAACTTTCCCAACATACAGGAAAACTAAATATCCATTCCTATTCCTAGGAAAAACCTACAGCACACTTCCCATTATTTTTTTGTCATGTCCTTCTTAGTGTAACAATTAGAATTGAATACTCCACAAATTCTGAATTTACAAAGTGCCTTCCCTAAACCATATATGCCTCTTATTTTGAGTTGATACCATATTTACCAAGTAATTTAAGGGGAGAGCACCAAAAATTCTTTGCATTGTGGTAATTCGATGTCATTGGGTAAGATCATATACTTAATATTATTATTTACCATTTATTACATGAGGTTCAATTATTTGTTCACATTGCTGCCTCCCACCGCTCTGTCATAATCTTCACAAGGGCAACCACTATGACTTATTTTTTTCTGCTTCCTCATTACCTTAGAATATACTTGATACATAGTAAACAATATGGTTAGGTATAAATGAAGGAATGAGTTACATTCTACGTTCATACCTTTCTATCCTGTTGCCCTCAAAACAGACAAAGCATACTAAATATAATGCCATTTCATATATATCTTTTTCCATCTTACAGTCTCTTGCCCTATTCCAGCTAGTTTATGAGATAAGAAATGTCAATGATGATATTATATCTTTTTGCCATAATCACAGGATGAATAATATACTTCCTGATCTAGGACCATGAACACTCTGAAGCATCCTTTCCCAGCAATAGCAAGCGATGCACAGTAGGTGATGCTCTCCAGATGTCTTCCATTTTGAAGCAAGTGAAAAGCACAGTAGCATTCACTCTGTACCTGCCGTACATACATCAGGTACACAGGAAGTGTTGATGAGTGAATGATGGAAAGGTGAGTCTGCAGGCAACAGCAGTAGTCTTTCTAGGGAACAGGACAGGGGCTTTGGTATAAATACATTTCACAAACAAAGCTCCAGCTGAAAGTCCTGTGCAAAGGATGTGATGGGAAGTTCTTTTGTTTCTATCCGTAATGAAAAACTGTCTTGAACATCACCTGGCACATTAGTAAGAAGGTGGCAGTAGATGACAACAGAAGCTTAATTCTCCCCAAGTTTAAAATGAATCCATGATTATTTATTAAAATGTAAAACCACCTCTAACTGCACCCAGAGATGTTCTATTTGTAAATTTCCTTTCAGCATCTTACGTATTTTTTACATAAGTGAGATCACACCCCATGAAGCTTACATCTTGCTTTTTTCTTTTAATATAACAACCAATTCCCAATTACCTGGCTCATAAATTCTTCAATAACAAGAGAAGCTGGAAGCTCCTAGGGCAATATTGAGTATGTCTGAAACAAACATGGTCAATTCTATCTCTTCTTCATATTACTTTCCCTCTGGATTAAATGTTCAGGGAGAAGGTGTAGATTTTAAAATTAGACTTCAGAACATCGGTGTCGCTGGAAATTTTGTCTGAACTAAAGAATCAGACAGTGGCTCCAGCCAGAGCTCTCTGCACTTCCAATACCTCTGAAGATGGTGGGGAAGAGCAGAGAAAGAAGGAGTTCTATTTATTTAAAAATGATTTTACTTTGAAGACCAGTTTGTAAAATAAATATTGGTGTAGCATAAGCTTGAGATGAGTCACCTGGGGCCTATAAATATTGATATAGCATAAGCTTGAGATGAGTCACCTGGGGCGTTACATTTAGTATGCTTTGTCTGTTTTGAGGGCAACAGGGTAGAAAGGTATGAATGTAACTCACTCCTTCATTTATACTTAGCCATATTGTCTACTATGTATCAAGTACATGCTAAGGTAATGAGGAAGCAGAAAGAAATAAATCATAGTGGTTGCCCTTGTGAAGATTATGACAGAGTGGTGCGAGGCAGCAATGTGAACAAATAACTGAACCTCATGTAATACATAATAAATAACAATATTAAGTATATGATCTTACCCAATGACACTATCCCTGTCCATTCCCTGCCCTGTTCCTCCTCCCATCCCAATGCACAGTAACCTCTGGAAGACAATACCTGGAGGCCTAGGGCTCTCAATAAAATGGCTATAAAAACTGTTATAGGTGGACTCCATGATATTATAACATATTGTTATTCTGTCAGCTTTTAGCATACATGTCATTTGTGAGCATCCTTAGTCATCACAGAGGTCAAATCAAGAAGTAAGAATCTTTGTGAAAGGCAGCTGTTGATACTTAGGGCAGTGGCCAAATTTCCTGCATTCAAATACCGGTAATGTCACTGATGGGGTGTATTACCTTGGACAAGTTACTCAACCTCTCTGTTCTTCTGTTGTATCTTATATAAAATGGGAAGAATATTAGTATCCACTTCAAGTAGATGTTGTGGACAGTAAATGAATTATTACATGTAAAGAGTTTAGGAAGACACCTGCAACATTGCAACCCCTCCTCAAAGAGATACAATTAACACAGAGGTAGGAATCCGAACACCAGACTCTTCTGATCTCTCATTCATTTGTCCAGAACAAAATTACAGAACTTTCCTAGCTCATGTTTCCTGATATATTATAGTGACCTCATAATAATTCATCTCTCACTAAGATGTTAGAAGAAAATCAACTTTGAGACACTTTGAATCTCCAAAAGTTTCCCATTATATTTAAATTATAAACTGTTCTAATTTTTAAATAACTTTCATATTATAAAATAATATATACTTATTGAAGATTCCAGATGTATATTAAGTCATATGTCATCCCATCTTCTAGAGATAACTTTAACATTTCAGCATACATTCATCAAGCTTTTCTACACTTTTTTTGTTTTTGTTTTGTTTTGTTTTGTTTTGTTGTTGTTTTTTAGACACAGTCTCGCTCTGTCACCCAGGCTGGAGTGCAGTGGCGCGATCTCAGCTCACTGCAAGCTCCACCTCCTGGGTTCATGCCATTCTCCTGCCTCAGCCTCCCCCCGAGTAGCTGGAACTACAGGTGCTCACCACCATGCCCAGCTAATTTCTTTTTGTATTTTTAGTAGTGGGGGTGGTTCACCATGTTAGCCAAGATGGTCTCGATCTCCTGACCTCATGATCCACCCATTTCGGCCTCCCAAAGTGCTGGGATTACAGGCGTGAGCCACCATGCCTGGCCACTACACATGTATTTTTATGGTGAAGTATTTTTTGTTGCTACGTTTTAAGTACCATTGCAGGCTGGAAAAAGTCACTTTGTAGTGGTTCAGAATGAGCAATTAAATGACTATGAAAAGGTCTGACTGGTATTGTACTTTCTGCAGGGCTCTGAAAAGTAAAGCTAGATGTCAAGACAAGTGATAAAGACTACCTCATCACTCACATTGACCAGTTACAATGTAGCCAAAGAACATTTTGTTTTCAGTGCAATTAATAACCCATGTGGTTCCTTGTAACACTTTTTAAAATAATAACCTAAAGTAAAAGAAATATGCATTAATTTTCTCTCTAATGGCCTTTCTAAACCTCTGTGAGGCCCTAATTTGATCATGGCACAGTACTTCCTGATCCTGGACACATACCCAGGACCATTTCCCTGTAATTCCTAATCCAGAATCCACTACTGAGAAATCCCAAATGTCATCTTTCAATGGTATGATTTACTAATGAGATGTAAAAGTTAAGGATAATACAAGTTTTTCATACAGCTAGGTACATTCAATTTTCTTTTTACTCTGAGATTATGCTCTCACACTTGATGTTAAAATGTCCTTCTTAATGAAATGGAAGTGTGATTGTAAATTTTTTTGGAAATATCCTTACTTGGAAAAATAAACATCAGGCCCCATGTTTTTTACATTAATTTATGAAATACATAAGTCAGTGAGCCTCCCCTTAAAAGATATCTTCTTTTAGTAGTGCTTTTACATTTTAGAAATTTCTTTTTTTTTTTGAGACAGTCTTTCTCTGTCACCCAGCCTGGAGTGCAGTGGCACAATCTTGGTTTACTGCAAACTCCACCTCCCGGGGTCAAGCAATTCTCGTTTCTCAGCCTCCCAAGTAGCTGGGATTACAGGTGTGTGCCACCAAGCCTGGCTAATTTTTGTGTTCTAGCAGAGATGGGGTTTTACCATGTTGGCCAGGCTGGTCCTGAACTCCCGGCCTCAAGTGATCTGCCTACCTCAGCCTCCCAAAGTGCTGAGATTACAGGTATATTTTAGAAATTTAATTGAAAAGAAACGGTAAGAGAATATGACATACATGAGAACTGCCTAGATACCTTATTATTAGTGACAATGTTGCTGTTGTCACTATGGCTACATTCTTCTCCTAGGGACATGGAAAGATTGGACATCCCCACCTCTGAAGTTAAGGCATGCCAAATGGCCTGCTTGGCTAATTAAATATAAGACAAAGTTATATGTATTTCTCATGGGTAGAAATGTTAATTAGAGCATGGCTTACTTTTGCCATGCCAATCAACAACACTCCAGATGGGGCAGGGTGCCAGGCTAGGTTTCACAGTGAGAAGCCTGTACTAAGGGATCAGGAACAGATCTCAGGTGACCCATGATAGACAGGCAGCACGAGAGAGAAATAGACTTATGCTAGTAGCCACTGAAACATCAGGACTATTTGTTACCAATACTGAAGAGTAGAATTGCTTTTCAACAGAATAAAAAATCTGAGGATATAAATTCCCCTACAATTTAAAAAGAAGCAAAAGATATGAACACATGCTTCACCAAAGAAGGCATGTTAATGGCAAATAGGCACATGAAAAGATGTTCAATCTCATTACCCATTAGAGAAATACAAAGTAAAACCACAATGAGATACCACAGAACACTTATCAGAATGACTAAAAAAAATACGGACGATACCCGAATACAAAAATACAATTTAACTGGATCTGTAATACATTAATAGTGGGAATACAAAATGATACACCCACTCTGGAAAGTAATTTGGCAGTGCATTGATAACATTAAACTCACACTTACTACGTGGCCCAGCAATCACACTTCTAGATATTTACCTTGAATAGTGGTTGGCAAACTACTTCCACCGGTCAAATCCAACTTTTATTTTAAGAGTGTTGTACAACCGGGCGCAGTGGCTCACACCTGGCTGCTTCCTGCTGGTTGTCTGCTCTCAAACCCTGTCTCCTGATAAGATGTTATCAATGACAATGCGTGCCTGAAACTTCATCAGCAATTTTAATTTCGTCCCGGTCCTATGATCTCGCCCTGCCTCCATTTGCCTTGTAATATTTTATTACCTTGTGAAGCATGTGATCTCTGTGACCCACACCCTATTTGTACACTCCCTCCCCTTTTGAAAATCACTAATAAAAACTTGCTGGTTTTGCGGCTCAGGGGCATCAAGGAGCCTGCCGACATGTGATGTCTCCCCCGGACACCCAGCTTTAAAAATTTCTCTCTTTGTACTCTTTCCCTTTATTTCTCAGATCGGCCGACACTTAGGGAAAATAGAAAAGGACTCATGTTGAATTATCAGGTGTGGGTTCCCCCAATAAAGGTGGTGCCATCTCCACAAAACAAGCTGGGTGAATCTCCAGGCCCAGAGGAGAGGCTGGCAGAGATGCTAACAACTGGAAAGTATGAAGTTTTCCCCATGAGCCAGGGAAAAGAGGCAAGTGGTCACCCAGCTCATGTGCAATTCTGAAAGGCTTTCTGCTTCAGGCATGTTTCTAATCCCACTGATTGAGCTCCTGGAGTTTTTCTGTTTTGGAGTTAGACTTGGCCAGAACTGCTCCCCTACTTATGGTTGACAGATGCAATACAGGATGCCCACTCACATTTGTATTTCAAATAAACAACCAGTGATTTATTTTGAAGAATAAGTATATTCCAAATATTGCACAGAAAATGCATGTACTAAAAATTAATTCACTGTTTATCTAAAATTCAAATTTAACTGGGCATCCTGTATCTATATTTGCTACAGCTGGAAGCTCTACATGACCCAGCATTTGACACAGCTTTTCATTTTTCTGAGAATGTAAGGGGTTCTTAGGTTATGTTTTAAGGAATTGTCTGAAATTATAGATTGCCTACATCCTTGCTTCATCTCACTAAGTGCTTACAGTTACCTCCAACCTCTGAAGCTGATTAAAGTATTATAGCAAAGAGTAATATAATTCATTTGAGTTTCATTTTCTCCCTACTCAGCTCCTGGAATAGTGTACTGCAAACAGAATGGCCTTAAGGCCATCTAAATAGAGGAAGGGGGAAAAGAAGTTATGAATAAACCATATTTATCAATATCTGAACAATCTGGATTTGATTCCAGTTTTAATTATGTGGACTTGTTAGTTCTTCCTCTTGCTTCGGTTTCAAGTATTGAACAACAAATAAGTCATTTACAATACCTCTAAGCTAAATATTGATTCAAAGAACAAAGACCATTACAATTCAACTTTTTCAACACAGGCTTAGCTCACTCTCCAATGGGTATCTTTTTTTTTTTTGAGACCGAGTCTCGCTCTGTCACCCAGGCTGGAGTGCAGTGGTGCAGTCTCAGCTCACTGCAAACTCCACCTCCAGGGTTCAAGTGATTCTCCTGCCTCAACCTCCTGAGTAGTTGGGATTCCAGGCATGCACCATCACGCCTGGCTAATTTTTCTATTTTTAGTAGAGTCAGGGTTTCGCCATGTTGGCCTGGCTAGTCTCAAACTCCTGACCTCAGGTGATCTGCCCACCCTGGCCTCCCAAATGCTAGGATTACAGGCATGAGCCATCGCGCCTGGCCGGGTGTGTTTTAAAACAGTGTGCCGAGTCAAAACGTCTTTTAGACATATTCCTTTTTTTTAATTTTATTTATTTATTTTTTTTTTTGAGATGGAGTCTCACTCTGTTGCCCAGGCTGGAATGCAGTGGTGCGATCTTGGCTCACTGCAAGTTCCGCCTCCTGGGTTCATGCCATTCTCCTGCCTCAGCCTCCCGACTAGCTGGGACTACAGGCACCTGCCACCATATCCGGCTAATTTTTTGTATTTTTAGTAGAGACGGGGTTTCACCGTGTTAGCCAGGATGGTCTCAATCTCCTGACCTCGTGATCCACCTGCCTCGGCCTCCCAAAGTGCTGGGATTACAGGCATGAGCCACCATGCCCTGCCTACATATTCCTTTCGTAAAAAGCAAACAAACAGAGACCTGTTTAAGGGTAGTAACCAGCATGCTGGATTTTACTAACAAAAAAAGAGTTTGGAAACCCCAGTTACAAATTTTGCAAATGAATCACATTTGAGGCCTGAACAAGTTAGTAGTTTGCAAAAAGGACATCTAAAGCGCGTTAAGAGTTGGAATCTCCTCTCCATGCTCAGAAGCAAACAGTGACAGAGTTGAAAGGGAGGTTCAGGGAAGAATTAGAGGGGGAGAGTATATTAGCTTTATCTTGGGTACCCAATATATCCCAAGATTATAGGATACCTTATTTACATCCAACATTACATTAACCCTGTGAGATTAATAAAAAACGAAAGGCTCAGAAGAGATAAGTATTAGAAAAGTTACACAGCTATTAGGGGGCAGTTTAAATTCAAACCCATATATTTAGAATTCCAAAGCAATGCTTGTCAAATATAGACTTAGCACCAACTTTATTCTTATAATCACTAAATATATTTATTTAATTCTCCTAACCTCATGAGAAAGTACTATTGAGTAAAAACATTAAGTGAGAATAAGAGCAGTGTTTGTAGTCAAGATCACTTTTCAAATTATTTGGAACTTCCCATCTTCCCTGGATCTATTTTCAATCCCAGTCAGTCATCTTTGGGTCCAGAAGCATATCCTCCCCCATCTCCCAGCCCTCCCCCTCTAGCACACAACGCACTGGAGAAAACTGCTAAGGCATTGCTGAATATCTACCACTCTACTCTGATGGCACACAGGGCCAAAAAGATTATAGAATAAAATCTAACTGAAAAATTATAGGTGATTTTTATAAGTCTGTTTAAATGCATATGCATCCCAGGCATTCCACCTGGCAGTCTCTGTCTCAAGGGCCCATCCACCTCACCATGGTCTGGAGGGAGGGGATGAGGAATAGGGAAAGCCAAAGAATTGATCTTTTCTGAGTTTGCATCCAGAACATGGGCCACAGAGAAATGGTGAACAAAGTCACCCATTATTATTAACAGCTATGATTTATTCAACATTTCCCTGTTGCCAAGCATTAAATAAGCTGTTTTATCTCCCCACAACCATGAGGTAGATAATGTTAAGATCCCCAATTCAGACCTGAGGAAAAGCGTGATATGAAACAGAGAAAGATTCTGTAACCTGCCATTGCCCACAGCTACTGGGACTTGGCACAGGGTTCAAATACAGGCAGCCTGACTTCTCTCTGAAGGATGTCAAGCCACAGCCACCATACTCACCTAGTCCCCACATAATGATGGCCCAAGGAACTCGCTTCCTCAATTTTTGCTTAGTTTTACTCATTCATTCTTTCGAGAAATAGAAGAATGCCAGACACTAGGCATACAGCTATCAAACAGTGAGAAAACAACAGGCCCCATTTCATGTGCCTTAGAGTGTAGTGAAGGAGACAGAAAATGCCAACAAGTAAACACGCAAAAACTAACTGTCAATGGTTGCTCTAAAGGAACACAAAGTGCCATGAGCAAGGAAATAGGAGGGACCTACTTGAGATGACATAGAAAGTCAAAGAAGGCTTCTCCAGAAAGGGGGCATCAAAGCTGGGACACGAAGAAAGAGAATCAGACAGCCAGACACACAAGAGCCGACAAGATCTCCAGAAGGAGTGCTGCCATGGGGAGCAAGTGTGGCATGGCCCTGGGGTGCAGGCCAGGCCGGGGGCAGGGACTGAAGCAAGTTGTGAAATTTCTGATTATCAGGGGCAGAATGGATTCCTAAGGCAGCCACTGTCTTCTGTTAACTCTGGAGTTTTCTGCATCCCTTTTGCTTTAAATGAGGCATACATGTTTTCATAGCTGTGATGAAACCCCTACAATTCTCCAGTTTAGCATTATTTATTTTACTCTTAAAAAATAACAAAGCTGACCCTGGCAGATGTTTGTACTGGGAGATTCAGATCCATCCAGGCCCCCACTGTTAATAGCCCACGGGAAAGTCCCTGCAGTCTCTCAGGGAAGTCATTCTGTGTAGAATCTGTAATTTCACAGGCAAGTCCTGCAACTTTTTAATTGTTTAAAATTCCCAGAAGGAATAATTACTGAAATTATCTATGAAGGGTTTAATGGACACAGACATGAGAGCTATAAACAATGTGATACTATGTCCTGTTAACTCACAGAGAACGGAAGGGCTGGAACGGGACCCAGCCAGCAGGGTTTGTGACCGCCTCTGCTGTGACGTCACAGCCTGGTGAGGAGGGGGCTGCAGTTCCTCAGGAAACTGCCAGTGGACAAATTCATAAACAAGAGCTCCAGTTCCCTGGAACCTGAGTCGGGAGACCTGCAGCTCACTTTCTCCCTGTTTGCTGGCCAGCAGGGTTTGTGGCCGCCTCTGCTGTGACGCCACAGCCTGGTGAGGAGGGGGCTGCAGTTCCTCAGGAAACTGCCAGTGGACAAAGTCATAAACAAGAGTTCCAGTTCCCTGGAACCTGAGTCGGGAGGCCTGCAACTCACTTTCTCCCTGTTTGCTGGCCCAGACAGGCCTGTGCTAGAGGGCTGGATAGTGTGGTAGTGTGGTGGATAGAGTGCTGCCTCTATCCACAACGCAGCCATATGCTGACTGAAGATAACTTTGTGTCTGGAAGAGCCCTCTGATTTCTTACACTAATGGCCTTACACGACATGGAGGATTTTACATTTGATGGAACAAAGCGCTTAAGTGTCAACTACGTGAAGGGAATTCTTCAACCGACAGACACCTGTGACATCTGGGATAAGATCTGGAACTTCCAAGCCAAGCCTGATGACCTGCTTATTTCTACCTATCCTAAAGCAGGTAGGTGGAAGGGCTTGCAGGGGAAGGGGAAGAGGAGAGTTAGGAAGGTAAGTGGAAGTATGCATTAGTCATGAAATAAAGAAGTTGATCTGGAAAACTCTGGACAGAGTGATATGGCTAAGGAAAGTTACTAGTGGAAACTGAAGCTATACCGAAACATACTAAAATGACATACAAATTTTTAGAATTCAATCTTCCTATGATACTATGATGTACTTCCTTTTTTTTTTTTTTTCACTTTCCCAGGAGAGAGTGAAAACAGTTAAGAGCAAAAGGGTAGACTTGTTTATTTATTCATTCCCAATCTAGGCCCTTATTGTAGATCTTGTAAAAAGCTGCTTTGAGTGTGTGAGCTAGAAAGGTGATCCTGAGTCTGATTTGGGAAAGAAATAGGGGAGCTTTGGTTCTGCAATGCTGATATCACCTCAGCAGCCCTCCCATCTCAGGGTCTGAGAACCATCCTTCTGATTTCCACCTTCCTTTGTGGTAAGTTTTGAACCAACTGCCTTATCTCAACAATCAGTTTAACAAAGTTGTCTGTAAAAGTAGGACTAGCTTAAGCCGAGCCACCACGTCATAAAAATTGGGTGATGATGAGGTGGAAATAGTTCTCTATAAATATTTTTGCATATCTACATATCTACTAGAAATACATTACTGGGTCCACACACAAATTGTATATACATTTGCTCTTTGCAAAATCAAGCTGTCAAAAACTCTTGTTATACACACACAAACACACACACATCAAAAAATCTAAACCTCAGTATTTTCTGAGACTGTTCAAAATCCTCTTTTGTTCTTATCTCTCAAGATCCTGACAGAAGATTCTGCAGGCACATGGAGGCCTTGGTCTCTTCTTTGTCCATCTGTTTCATTTTGGTCCTGATTTCCCAATCTTACTCATCAGGAGCCCATTCAGGATCAAATTTTTCTGAATGTAAATTTCTAAAAGTAGCCACTGGTGAGGATCACATCTCATCATCTTAATTTCATTGACAATTCCACTTGATTATCAATTCAATACATAAATAATCTTTTCTCTATCTGCCAAACGCAAGTACAAAGATATGGTTCATTTAGGTTTTTCATGGCATTAATGAGGTTTAAGCAATTCAAAAAGCACACTAAGAAAATTAAATACTTGCCATCTAAAGTAATATTTAATCATAACTAAAACCATATACATTAATGAA
The DNA here is from genome assembly GCF_000001405.40 of Homo sapiens. Taxonomy (NCBI): domain Eukaryota; kingdom Metazoa; phylum Chordata; class Mammalia; order Primates; family Hominidae; genus Homo; species Homo sapiens. The sequence continues at coordinate 108,379,703 of NC_000002.12, forward strand.
GGCTATTTTATTAGAAGGAAGAAGAAACAAGCATAGATGGCAAAAATAGTTCACCCTAAATTTTTAAAAGAATAATACTCTGAATGACACAAGAAAAAAATACATCATAGAATCACTGGCCTCTAGAGAATAAATTGAGAAGTCATTCCACTCACCCCGGAGCCTCTAGCAACATTTGAATCTGCCCTCATGTTGGCTCATGTCTATAAATTCATTCAATTCATTCATTATAGACATTCAGTGTTATGGCTATAAATTCCCATAAAACTAGTACAAATGGCTGGACTATTCTTTGCATGGATAGCTAAAGATATCTTGGCCCTTTGTCCTGTAATAAAAGTTGCTGCCAGAAAATACAGGAGACCAACTACTATAAAATATAAAATGTAATTTAATTTTTTTCTAACCTATGCCCTTATTCTAGGCCTTTAAAAGCACTAAATTGAGAATATGGGAAAAGGAATCTATAGAGTTTCGGCCAGATAATACAGGAAAGATCAACCTAGATCAGGATTCAGAAAGCCATCCTGGCTAGGCATGGTGGCTCACACCTGTAATCCCATCACTTTGGGAGGCCAAGACAGGGGGATCTTTTGAGGCTAGAAGATTGAGACCAGCCTGGGCAACATAGGGAGACTCCTATGTACAAAAAAAAAATAAAAATTAGCCAGGCATGGTGGTGTGCACTCACAGTCCTAGCTATTTGGGAGGTTGAAGCAAGAGGACCATTGAGCCCAGGAGTTGGAGGCTGCACTGAGCTAGGATCCCACCACTGTACTCCAGCCTGGGCAACAGAGCAAGACCCTGTCTCTGGAAAAATAAAAAATAAAAAAAGCCATCCTAAAATAACTCAACATCCTCCTAACCTGGATTTTGCCAGAACATCTGGTGCAACAGATCTTCATCAAAGGGTGAAGATTATGTTGATAGCACAATATCACTGTATCAGTCAGGATCAGTGCAAGACACAGACAGACTGAAGCTGGGGGATACCATTCTACCTATGGCCACAGTGGCAGTGGTTGGGTCTAGGGCACTGGGCCATGGAACGTGGAATGGTCTCTGCAAAATTTCTATCTGCTGGGGCTACTATCAGCAGCCACCACCTCAGGAAGGATGACTTCTATCTCCCCACTGCCTTCCAAAACTCAGGCTAATGCATCTCACTGGAGGGATCTAAATAGCCTTCAGAATCTTAGTGGCAAAGGAGTTTAGGGAAGGCCTTTTACAGCCTTTCAGCCCATGAGATATGGGGGAAACAGAGAAAGGCGAAAAATTGAATACTAAGTGCTAATGGTCAATATCAAGTTCAAGCCCTAATGGTTCACTCATTCAGCCAACAAATACTAAGTGTCTCCTACGCTATGCAACTGGGAAAAAGAGAGTTTGAAAATCATGTAGTCATTTCTCTATAGCAGATCACAATTTGGGGAGAATGTCCTTTCTAAGGACAATACAGCTAAATAAATAGAACAATAATAACAATCCAAATTAATAGTTGTGACAGAAAAAAATAAATGTATATTTATCAGTCTAATGTCCATTCAAAATTGGAGTATTTTTTTAAAATCATATTATGATAATAAGATATAAATAAGGAATGCTATCTTCTGAATCCCATTTAAAACCTAGCTTTTAAATTCACATAGATGGTCCAGGCATGGTGGCTCACACCTATAATCCCAGCATTTTAGGAGGCCGAGGCGAGCAGATCACTTGCAAGCAGATCACTTGAGCTCAGGAGTTCCAGATCAGCCTGGGCAACATGGTAAAATGCCGTCTCTACAAAAAGTATAAAAATTAGCCAGGGGTGATTGTGTATGCATGTAACCCCTGCTACTCAGGAGGCTGAGGCGAGAGGATCGCTTGAACCCAGGAGGCAGTGAGCCAAGATTGCACCATTGAACTCCAGCCTTGATACAGAGCAAGACCCTGTCTCAAAAAACAAAACAAAACAAAACAAAACAAAAGACATAGATGTTCTAACAAGTATTTGATCATATTTTAAGGAATGTACTATACTAGATGTCTATTCATCTTCATTTTACGTGCACGTAAGGAACAACATGGACTCAGGAGATAGTGGAATTAATACAAAATGAAGGTGATGTGGAGAAAAGTAAACGGGCACCGACTCATCAACGATTTCCTTTCCTCGAAATGAAAATCCCATCCTTAGGATCTGGTGAGTATAAATAGCCACACTTCACTACAGTCCTAAAATGCACTTAGGATTTTTACTGTCTTTGCACCTTTCGAAATTATAGGCTTTCAAACAATTATTGGTAAGTTTCATGGTTTTGTCTTTTTTTAACTGTGTCTGGCCATTGTTATACTCCAGACATTTTCTAATGGAATTACTGTTTGTACAAAAGTGAGTTAAATTTTGTTTCTCTAGTTAGAAATTAATTTTACTTCAAAAGAATAAGCTCAAGTAAGATAATCCTGGTGAAAGGGTTTGAATTTTTTAGGTTCTTATTTATTTGGATGACTGTTATGGTTAGGAATTGTTCTAGTCAAAACATCTATTCATAGGCTAGACGTATTCTCTCACACCAGATCTACAGTTACAATGTTCTTATAGATGCTTTGAATTGTAGTAGTAATAATGGAAGCAGCAAGACTTGGAAGCAAATAGATAAAAAAAAAATCGTAGAAATTGATCGAAAACCAGTTTTGCAGGTTTGGAACAAGCTCATGCAATGCCCTCACCACGGATCCTGAAAACACATCTTCCCTTTCACTTGCTGCCACCATCCTTGCTAGAGAAAAACTGTAAGGTAAAAAAGCAAAAGGAATTCAGAGTTGTACTCCTTAAAACAACCTTAGTCTTCCATTTCCTCTTAAAACACTTCACTTGTTAAATATATATATATATACCTCTTCACAATAATCAATATGCAAATTAATATGAATCCTAGCCAGGCACGTTGGCTCATGCCTGTAATCACAGCATTTTGGGAGACTGAGATGGGTGGATCAGTTGAGGTCAGGGGTTCAAGACCAGCCTGACCAACACGGCGAAACCCCATCTCTACCAAAAACACAAAATTCACAGGACGTGGTGACACATGCCTGTAATCCAAGCTACTCAGGAGGCTGAGGCAGGAGACTCGCTTGAACACAGGAGGCAGAGGTTGCAGTGAGCCAAGATAGTGCCATTGCACTCCAGCCTGGGTGACAGAGCAAGACTCCATCTCAAAAAAAAAAAAAAAAAAAAAAAAAAAAAGTCTCCCATAACCAGGATGACAAGAATGCAGCCTCAGAAAAAATGAACTGTATGAAATGTATCTACCCTAACATGACTTGCCTGGGCAGTAACAGCAAAAAAAAAAAAAAAAAATTCCTGTTTTTTTGCTTCTTCCCTTCCCCTCCCCTCATCATTCCCAGATAATCTATGTAGCAAGAAATCCCAAGGACAACATGGTGTCCTATTACCATTTCCAAAGAATGAATAAAGCTCTTCCTGCTCCAGGAACATGGGAAGAGTATTTTGAGACTTTTCTGGCTGGGAAAGGTGAGAGAATTTAGCTTTGTTTCCCTTCGTTTCTCAAAATCTCCAAACACCCTAGAAGGAAAGAATCTTTTCTTTTGACCAGCAGGGGCTCTGCCTTCTTTAATGGAACATTCTCACTTCTCTTCAGGAATTCTCCTTTCAGTGGTATAATAGGACCTCTGTGACTCATTGTCCTGTTTTCCATCCCATCCTCCAGTGTGCTGGGGCTCCTGGCATGAACATGTGAAAGGATGGTGGGAAGCCAAAGACAAACACCGTATTCTCTATCTCTTCTATGAGGACATGAAGAAGGTGAGCACAGTGCCATCTAAGGTGTACCCACTGGACCATAAAACATTTAAGTCATAATGCATTGACCCCATCAGGGACTCAGATTGATGCGGGGAACCGAAAATTGCTGCACTTCATTGGTTACAGCTGTCATTTGTCAAAGTGCACATGGCTGATCATGAGTTTAAGTATCACACAGTCTCACCTGCAGCTTCCTGGTGCTCCCAGGGATGCTGCACATTTCCCTTACAGGCAGGTTATTACACAATATGGATGGTGTCATTTTCTCCCTTGCATGTCTATTTTAAAATGCAGTTTAGCAGGAAAAAAAATCCTAGCACATTTTGGTTTCTTTGGTTTTTGGGTTTTTTTTGTTTTTGTTTTTGTTTTTGAGACAGAGGAGGAGTTTCACTCTGTCGCCCAGACTAGAGTGCAATGGTGCGATCTCAAGTCACTGCAAGCTCCGCCTCCCGGGTTCAAGAGATTCTCCTGCCTCAGCCTCCGGAGTAGTTGGGATTACAGTCGCCTGCCACCATGCCAGCTAATTATTTGTATTTTTAGTAGAAACCGGGTTTCACCATGTTGGCCAGGCTGGTTTTGAACTCCTGATCCCAAGTGTTCCACCCTCCTCAGCCTGCTAAAATGCTAGGATTACAGGCATGAGCTACCATGCCCAGAGTTTTTGTTTTTTTATTAGCACTGAGGAACATAATACTTTATTTATTTATTTATTTATTTATTTATTTTATTTATTTTTTGAGACGGAGTCTCACTCTGTCACCCAGGCTGGAGTGCAGTGGCGCGATCTCTGGCTCACTGCAAGCTCCGCCTCCCGGGTTCACACCATTCGCCTGCCTCAGCCTCCCACGTAGCTGGGACTATAGGCACCCGCCAGCACGCCCGGCTAATTTTTTGTATTTTTTACTAGAGACGGGGTTTCACCGTGTTAGCCAGGTCTCAATCTCCTGACCTCGTGATCTGCCCGCCTCGGCCTCCCAAAGTGCTGGGATTACAGGCGTGAGCCACCACGCCCAGCCAATAGCTTTAAGAAACTTTAAGAAGTGGTGCAATGGAAAATACTAATGATTTAGATTCAAAATTATTGAAATCAAGTTCTGTCAATTCTTGGTAAAGACACTTAACATCTTGGGAAATTAGTTTTCTTAAATGTAAAAATGAAGATAATAATATTTACCCATTCAAGATTTATTTGAGGACTAAATGAGATAATATCAGTGGATGTTTATTGTAAATAATCATCTACTCAGCTATTTTCTGTGACCCCACTAAATACAGAGATCTATACAGAATTACAGTGTCTGTTCTTGAATTGGTCGTTGAAAGCCTTGATACTCAACAGGTGCTTCACAGACTAGTTGCATGAGCTACTGGAGCCTGCTGTAGGCCTGCTAAGTCTGGAGTTTTATAAAATTCCCAGGAGATTCAAGCACACATCACCATTTAGATGCACTTCTCTAAGGTTCAATCACTGCTGGGCCTTGTGATATGAGTGAGTTCTACAAAATATCAAAGGAGTGGAAAACACAGACTATTTTCATGTGGTTTTTAAAATAATTGTTATAGCTCTAGGATTCTCAGAAGCATGATCAAAGAACCAGCAGAACAACCTATGAGGTTATCAGTATAAAATTCCCTTCTTTGTGTTTACTTTGTTTTTACTTGGTACAAAAGTGTTGTGCCACCATACGAAGACTCCAGGCAGATGATGTTTCCCTACAGCATGTATCATAGCCATGTCAGAGAAAGGATATGTCGCTGGGAATGGGGCTCTTTTGTTTAGGTAGACCCTAGCGTATTATGCATGCCAGGAAGAAACTTTATCGAAATAGGTAATCTAACCTCAGAGTCCCTAAAACTTTTAAAAATATTGCTGTGATCTTGTTCTTGAATGTCCCCTCACTGTAGTTCCCACAAAGCTCACAATTCTCAGCACTCTCTGATTCCTAGCCTGTGTGAGGTCAATTAAATGAAACATTTTTGACATACAAGCTTTTAAAGCAGAAGCCCACTATAGACACAGTGGTCAGGGTAAGCGCTTCCACTTTCCTTCCCCACCCGCCCTCTGCTCCTAGAGATGGAGGCGTCCCACAGCCACAGTGATGTCACAAGGTTGTATGTCCCTTTGATGCGAAATCAGTAGCTACACTGGAACTCAGCTCCTCTCAGTTCCACTTGACTTGGTGGTCTGGTACCAGAGTCACTAGCCATGAGTGCCTCTTGAGGCATGCAAAAAAAAAACTTCTCTCCTCTCCTCCTGCCATCACTGCAGTCTGGGGACATTTCTGTCAATGTCAGAAACAGGATGTAGCTTCCTCTGTGTCAGGTCTTAAATCTTCTGCCCCTGTGCTTCTGAAATGCCTTGAGCAGGGCTTGTGGACATAACCCTGACACATTCCCTTAGTGAACCATTCACTAGGCACTGTATGTCATTGTCTGGTGAATGTTTCACTAACCCTACCCAGTTGATTACATATTAAGGGGAAAAAATTATTAGTGATTCCAATTACTAAAAAAAGAACAATATGGGTCATCACGTTAAAATGAGTCACTTGAGCATTTGTTAAGATTTGTTTTTTATTTTAGCTCGTAATATGTTACCGGTTACTGTCATTAATCCATCATAATATTCTTTTTAAACTAATTCTATTAAATCATTACTTTTCTTTTGACTCTGATCATAGAACCCAAAGCATGAAATTCAGAAGCTGGCAGAATTTATTGGGAAGAAATTAGATGACAAAGTTCTAGATAAAATTGTCCATTACACTTCGTTTGATGTCATGAAACAGAATCCAATGGCAAACTATTCATCGATTCCTGCTGAAATCATGGACCACTCCATTTCTCCATTCATGAGAAAAGGTTTTTATAGTTTATTTTCATTATAATCTTAAAAGAACTGTCAAATATTTTAAAGCATTTGAGGAGTTTTCTTTCCTGTGTCTAGGAAAAATAATATCTGTAATAAATGATTTGGGGAAAAGAAGTATTTAAGAAGCCACTGATAAAATGAAAATCGCGTTTAATTAGCCAATTATTATTAAGATTAAGAGAGTAAGATTTGATGTCCAAATCCAACCACTTATCCCCACTTTCCCTTAAGAGTTCTGGCTAATAACATGAAAATATATAGAATTAAGTCAGATAGGGCAAAGAATCCATTTTATAGACAGTTCTATGCTATCAGATTCAGTCATTCAAAGGTACTTACTGAGGGGCTTCTATGTGCCAGGCACTGTTCTAGCCACTGTTTGCAGCAGTGAACAAAACACAAAAATTCATGCCTGCGTGGAAATTATATTCTAGTGATAAGCAAAATAAAGAATATATAGATAGATAACATTAAGAAAAACGAAACTGGGAAAGGTAACAGGGATTACAATTAGAGAATTTGTGGGGGGAGGTCTTATTTTTTCTTCTTCAAATGGTACCTTGGGCCTCCCAGAAATAGGCCCTTCTTGGTCAGTTTACAGCATGGGAGCTACAGTCATGAGCACCCACCATGCTTCAATGTGCAACAGGGCACAGGGAAAGACAAGAAAGCCCTTCAGGCCTGCTATTGTAACATGGCGGTCTCGCCCACCCACTAATGCAACCAGGTGGCAAGAGACTCTCCTTGTCTCACAGATCAGACAAGAAAGTTGTCTTCTCTTCAGGATAAGGAAGTGACAGGATAGCAAGAGAAACGTTTTGTCCAATACTGCCCTTCCTAGAACATGGCATAGAAATCATCATACAGAAACAGGAGAATAGGGAAGCACAGACTCTTCCAACAGCTACTGAACCTCTCCCACATAACTGTATTTCAGGGGCAGTGGGAGACTGGAAGAAACACTTCACCGTGGCTCAGAATGAGAGATTTGATGAAGATTACAAGAAGAAAATGACTGATACCAGACTAACTTTCCACTTCCAGTTCTAGTAAGGAAGAAAAACTGAAAATGTTTTAGTTTATTACCCAGTATATTTGGGTAATAATGAAAGTTTAATTCTCATAACAAATGATATCAGATTCCAGTTATCAGAATAGTTTACTGTGTTTGCTCTTATTCACTCTACTAAAAAATTATTTTAAAAGGCTGGAGGCAAGGTGGTGACAGGCAGCAGGGTGGCGACATGGAGAGAGGGAAGCTCAATAAATCACTAGGTACAATCCTGGTATCATTGCCAATTATCATCATATTTACATTTTCTACAATCATGTGCTTATTAACATATTGGAAATGCTTCAGTCCTCACATGATAATACACTAACATTTTCAGATTAAGTTTTGGTTCAAGTTAATTTTTTTTTTTTTTTTTTTGAGACGGAGTCTCGCTCTGTCGCCCAGGCTGGAGTGCAGTGGCACGATCTCGGCTCACTGCAAGCTCTGCTTCCTGGGTTCACGCTATTCCCCTGCCTCAGCCTCCCGAGTAGCTGGGACTATGGGCGCCCACCACCACTCCCGGCTAATTTTTTTTTTTGTATTCTTAGTAGAGACGAGGTTTCACCGTGTTAGCCAGGATGTTCTCGATCTCCTGACCCCATGATCCACCCGCTTCGGCCTCCCAAAGTGCTGAGATTACAGGCGTGAGCCACTGCGCCCAGCCGGTTCAAGTTAATTTTTAAATGCATCACTAACGTGTAAATAGTGACTGTTTGTTCCAGCAATTTTTTGGTGGTGAAGTAACCATCAAGTGATTCAGGTTCCTCTTGGAACCCTCCAAGAAAAACTTCAGGGTCCTAGTGTAATACATCTGTCCCCATCTCTCACTGGCGTATATATTTAACTGGACTCACTCTCCCACCCTCAGCTAATGCTACAATCCTGGAGTCACCTCTTGACTCATCTTTCCCATTGCCACCACAATCCATTCTAATATGTCAGAAAATCTGTCAGTTTTAATCTACGAAATCTCTTAAAATATTTCCGTCTAACCATTCCTTGTTTTCCTTCTATTTCTATAGCCACCCTTCTGGTTCACAAACCTTTTACTTCTTGCCTCAACTAGTGTAATAGCTTCCTAACCCATTTCTCTCTATTTCAGACAGATGGCAAGGTTATTTTCCTTAAAAAGACTCTTATTATGTTGTTCCTTAGCTCAAAATCCTTCAATGGCTGAACTTTCACTGCCTGAAAGATAAATCCCAAGATTTTAGCCATGCATTCAAGAGCAGCTATAACCATAATGACTCCAGCCTTCACACTTCCAGCTTCACCTTCCAAACCACCTCCATATTCCAGCAAATTAGCCTACTTACTGGGTCCTAGTCACATCTTACCACTTCCTACCCTCCCAGTTTTATTTATACCAAGCCTCCTCCTGAAATTTCTCTTCCTTTCTTTCTACCTACCCAAGACATACCACGTGCTTCAATAACCAGTCCCTTCCTCCTACAAACACTACAACCTGGAAAGCACTCTTGCTTTTCTGAAGTCCTCTATACTTAGTGTAACTCTTCTGTGATGAAGATTAAAGTGTATTATGGCAACTCTCATGTTTCTGTATTGTCTCTCTTTGCTTATTTTAATTTTTACTTTTTTTTCTCCAAGACAGGGATATTGCTGTATATTTCACTGCACGCCAAACAGTATATAAAACACTCAAATATAAATGGCTGAAAAAACATGTCAGGGAAATTTTTAAAAGCTAACTCTTATATTTCAAGTAGATAGTCCCTAAAAGCACGCTAATTTATAGCTATGATGTTCAATATGCTAGACACTAGTCACGTGTGGCTATTTAAATTTAACTTAATTAAAATAAAATAAAATTATAATTCAGTTCTTCATTTTTACCAGCCAACTTTCAATTGCTCAGTAGCCATGAATGGCTAGAGGGTATCATATTGGGCAGTGCAGATTCTAAAACATTTCTAACATCAGAGAACCTTCTATTGGACAAGATTTTTTTTTTTTTTTTTTTTTTTTTGAGACAGGCTCTTACTTTGTCGCCGAGGCTGGATTGCAGTGGTGTGATCACAGCTCATTGCAACCTCCACCTGCTGGGCTCAAGGGCAATCCTCCCACCTCAGCCTCCCAAGCAACTGGGACCAGAGGCTCACACTGGCTAATTTTTGTGGAGCAGAGTTTCAACCATGTCGCCCAGGCTGATCTCAAACCCTTGAGCTCAAGTGATCCTCCCACCTCAGCCACCAGAGTAGCTGGGACTACAGACATGCACCACCACTCCTGGCTAATTTTTTGTTTCTGTTGTTTTTTTGTAGAGACAAGGTTTTGCCAGTTGCCCCAGGCTGGTCTTGAACTGCTGGGCACAAGCAATCTACCTGCCTTGGCCTCCTAAAGTGCTGGGATTACAGGCATGAGCCACCATGCCCAGCCTACCTCTTACTTTCCTGAAAATCCCCTCTATACCCCCAGCAAGCAAAACCAATCTCTGTGGTTTAGTTACTTAGCTCCAGCCCCAACTAGACCAACTCAGTTTGGTCTTCACTTGGCCTATTCTCTCAAGTCTTTTGAAACTAGTGATTAGGATATTGTATTCTAGATCTATTCAAGATTATTTCCATTTCATCAGAGAATTAAAATAATGCATTTAGACTTTGTAACCTTTCTGATACATTGAGTCTGTAAATACAGGGTACACATTTGGTGTTTTGCCACACCAGAGCAATAACCTTTGACTTCTGTGGAGGAGGTCTGGACTTGAACCAAAAAAATATTAAAGGAAATCAAAGCTCATGTGTAGAGATGCAATAGGTAACCTACTGCAATAATATAAGTATTATGATTCTATGTAAAGTATTTAGAAACTCATACACTTTGGCAATGTTAAGAGATTTTATATGACTGAAAGGCCTCAGGAGGCCACCTCAATCCTATTTATTTCTGAATAACCAGTGGGAACATAATTTTAAAAATAAATACACATCATACTGTTTCAAACTTAAATCCAGCGTTTGAGAAATGAAAATTCACCCTATAATTAGAAATACCTCATGAAACAGAAAATTACATAGTAGATGGTTTCTGTACCACCTAACTTGAAGTGCTAACAGAAACAACAGCATACTCAGGTTGGGTGCCACTGAGAACAAAGGTGGCTCATTACAGCACCAGAGAAACTGCACTATTGGAGGCAAACACCAGGGAGAGCAAGACATGATGAGCTCCTGATGAAAAACAGACATACCTCTTTAACTGACAGTCTGTAAAGAACAGTAGAGGTGACCGTTTTTTCAAATGCCCAAATCTCAGCAAAAGATGACAAGGCATACAAAGACACAGGAACACACAGCCCAACCAAAGGAACAAAATAAATCTCCAGAAACCAGCCCTAAATGTTACAGGTAGTTAGACAGGCATGCGTGGGGCAGGAGAGACTTCTTCCCCTACCCACCAGGAATGTTGGGCCATCATCAGGTAATGGTTCAACAGTTCTCGCATTGCCTCTCTAAAAATGATCATTTGGCAGCCAGCACCAGGGAGAGACAATCTACTGATGGTCCACAGCTGTCACATTGAAGTGTTAATTGAATGCAGGCACCAGTGAGAAGCAACTTCCCAAAGAGATAAAAACACTTGAGATTGATATTAAAATCTCAGGAACTGGGCAAATGAGCCCAGGCATGCACATTAAGAGACAAAATGGCAGAGTATGACCTTCTGAGGGGACTCCACCAGAAAAGAGAAGAAAGCCTCAGATGGGGATGCATACAGCTTCCTAAACACACTGCTCATGCTCACTTCCAAGCGTAACAAGGGCACTGTGCATGCAGGCAGCCCACCTGAAGGGAAGAATCATGGGAAAAAGAGTGCAAGATACCAAAAGTGAACCATCCTATAAAGTCCTAGGATTAAGGTTAAATGCCACACTTGACCTTCACAGTGCCTGCTTGGGTCTCTTCTAAGTGTACCTTCCTTCCTTTCCTGATCTAAAGCTTTTTAATAAGCTTCCACTCCTGCTCTGAAACTCGGTCTCTTTTTCTGCCTTATGCTCCTCAGTCAAGTTGTTTCTTCTGAGGAGGCAAGAATTGAGGTGGCTGCAGATCTGTACAGATTCACTGCTGGTAACTTGGATGCCTTCTGCCCCTAACATAAAGAAGTGGAGATCTACTAATTACCTGAAAGAGAATTTAACATTCAAAATAACCGTCATAAAGATCCACAATGAGCTGAAATAGAACACAGAAAGACAATTAAATGAAATCAGGAAACTGATGCATGAAAAAATAAGAATATCAACAAAGAGATAAAAACTATTATAACAACCAAACAAATTCTGGAGCTAAAAAATCAATAACCAAAGTTGAAAATTCACATACAGTTCAAAAAAGCAGACTTCATTGGACAGAAAAATCAGTTTAATGCATATAAAGTAAGTGTGTGTGTAATGATGTCTTGACATCTTTAAAAACCTTCCTCTCTGGGGAAAGGCTGCTCCTCCTGGGTTCAGCCAATTCTTAGAAATAGCAAGGGCTCAGCCAGGAGAGTGGCTTTGATATACAAACTAATAAATCTAAAGCCCTAACTTTCCTTTCTAGCCCATATGCCCCAGGAGGTATGCTTTAATCATCCACAACCAGGTACCGAGCAACTAGGGACAAACCCATAGCTTAGATAACACCAAAATTACTCAAATAGTCAAACTTAAAATACTTATTCTGCCCTCCCTTTTGTTTCTCATGTAAACTCCAATAAAGACTCTAGCCAAACCTTCCCCTCATTCCCCTCATTCCTGTTTCCTGTCTCCTGCCTCCTGACCAAACAGATGACCTTGTGTGGCACACTGTGTCTCCTCTCCTAGCAGCTGTCAGTATAATAAGCCTTGTCTTCCTGAGTCTCTCCAGTCAGCTATACCTGACTGACCATCAAAGACAGAACAATCAGTGAACTTGAAAATAAGTAATTTAAAATTATTGAAGAGAAGAAATTCACTGAAAATAAGTAATTTAAAATTATTGAATAGAAGAAAAAAAGAGGAAGAATAAAAGTGAAGACAGCCTGTGGGACTTACAGGACTCCATTAGGAGGAATAAATATGCACTATGAAGTTTCAGAAAGAGACAACAGAAAGAGAAAGGGAGCGAATATGAAGAAATAATAGCTAAAAATGTTAAAAATCTGAGAAAAGAAGTATGCATACAAATTCAAGAGACTAAATGAACTCCAACTAGGATAAACTGAAAGAGACCTACACTGAAACACATTACGATCACACTCTCAAAAGTTACAGAAAAGGAGAATCTTTTCTTAAATTTTTTATTTTTCATTTTTGTGGGTGCATAGAAAGTATATATATTTATATATTTTTATATATATTTATGGGGTACATGAGATGTTTTGTTTCAGGCATGCAATGCATAATAATCACATCATGGAAAATAGGGTATCCATCCCCTCTAGCATTTATTCTTTGTGTTATACACAATCCAATTATACTATTTGGGCTATTTTTAAATGTCCAATTAAATTATTATTGACTATAGTCATCCTGTTTTGCTATCAAATAGTAGGTCTTATTCACTCTTTCTTTTCTTTTTTTTTTTTGGACCCATTAACCATCCCCTTCTTCCTCCTACCACCTACTAATCTTACCAGCCTCTGGTAACCCATCATTCTACTTTTTATCTTCATGAGTTCCATTGTTTTGATTTTTAGATCCTACAAATAAGCAAGAAGATGTGATGTTTGTATTTCTATGCCTGGCTTACTTCACTTAATATAATGACCTCCAGTTCTATCCATGTTGTTGCAAATGACAGGATCTCATTATTTTTGATGGCAGAATAGTAGTCTGTTGTGTACAAGAACCACACAGAAAAAAAGAATCTTGAAAGCAGCAAAAGAAAGCAATTCATCAGATACAAGGGAGCCTCTATCAGATTATCAGATTTCTCAGCAGAAACCTCACAGGCCAGAAGGAAGTAGAATAATATATTCAAAGAACTAAAAGAAAAAAAAAACTGCCAACCAAGAATACTATATCTAACAAACTCTCCTTTAAGAACTGGAGAAATTAAGACTTTCCCATAAAAACAAAAGCTGAGAGCCCATCACCATTAGACTTTCCCTAAAGGCAATATTAAAGGCAGTCCTTCAAGTTAAAATGAAACAATGCTATCCAGTAACATGGAACTATGCAAAAATATAAAGCTTCTAGTAAAAGTAAACATATAGGCAAATATGGAATCCTATAGTATTGTATGTTCATATGAAAATCACTTTTATCAAAATCACTTGACATCTCAGGTCATTGCAAAATAAGTCAGTCACCTGACCAGAGTGATAACTCAAGTATTTCAAAAAAAAATCAAAAACCTTCATTATTTAAGAGAGGAATGTTAATTTTCCAAACAATAAGCCCTAATAAAAACAGCATGAAACCGATTAAATTTGTTTTTTAAAATGTATAAACAATCTTTAAGATTTTAATCTTGACTATAAGATATAACTTCCACAAGACTTTTATAATCTTTATTAAGGAGTCAGTTAATGCTTCAAGAAAACCTTGCTAATCTGACATAGGGGCCTATATGCTGCTCTTGCATCCATGTGTCTTTGACATTAATAATTAATTAATAGAGAAACTGAAGGTATTTTATCCCCAAAATCAGCCCTTAAAATCTCACAAGCCCACCTCTTCCACAATAGTCCCTGGGCCTTGAGGAATTGAATAGTTTTAATTTCTGGCCCCGTGTTTCAGGAATGCAGTTTATTTTGATTGGCATCTTCAACTGGACTTGTAGATGGGATTTAATTGCTGTCAAGGTTTAAAATTTAGCAGGACTTGGTGTTCTTTTAGACCCAGGAGTCAAAGCCCTGTAACTCAATGTCACAAGTACATTAAAGGCACATACAGAAAGATACATGGATGTAATAACCTTAATTTTTTTTAATTTAATCTCAGTTTTTTCCTAAGCAAACCAAAACTTGATAATAATGGCATAGGAATTGTTTCAATAAACAATAAAATCTGTTAGGCCAGTTACCAAAAGGCAAAAGTAAAGACCTTCTGCACTGCACAGAAATTTTTGTTTTGTTTTGTTTTGTTTACGAGACAGAGTTTCGTTCTTGTTGCCCAGGCTGGAGTGCAATGGCACGATCTCGGCTCACCACAACCTCCACCTCCCAGGTTCAAGCAATTCTCCTGCCTCAGCCTCCCGAGGAGCTGGGATTACAGGCATGCGCCACCACGCCCAGCTAATCTTGTATTTTTAGTAGAGATGGGGTTTCTCCATGTTGGTCAGGCTGGTCTTGAACTCCTGTTCTCAGGTGATCCACCTGCCTCAGCCTCCCAAAGTCCTGGGATTAGAGGTGTGAGCCACCATGACTGGCCCATAACCTTTAAATAAGCTTTGAATTAGACAAAATTGTTCGCCTTTTTTAGAATGACACTTTTTTAGAAAGAATTTTTTCCTACAATATATTTCTATTGGAAAATATTCAAATAATGAAATATCTATTATTTAATTTAATATAACTTTAGATTCCAAATTATGACATTTGTCTACAAGTATTTATTCCATCACATTCACCTAATTATCTTTTTTTTTTTTTTTTTTGAGACAGAGTCTCGCTCTGTCATCCAGGCTGGAGCGCAGTGGCGTGATCTCGGTTCACTGCAACCTCTGCCTCCCAGGTTCAAGTGATTCTCCTGCCTCAGCCTCCTGAGTAGCTGGGATTACAGGCACGTGCCACCACACCCAGCTAATTTTTTGTATTTTTAGTAGAGACAGGGTTTCACCATGTTTTCCAGGATGGTCTCGATCTCGTGACCTCGTGATCCGCCTGCCTCGGCCTCCCAAAGTTCTGGTATTACAGACGGGAGCCACCGTGTCTAGCCTAATTATCTTATTTTAATCATTTACCTAGACTATGAAAACTGCGATAGTCATCATTTAAAGATATGAAACTCACCATTGCAAAATTATAACTGAAACAGTGAAAAACATGTGACCTAGCCAACTCCATCTTGCTTCTAACCTCCAAGTGTCCTTGTTCATTCCTAGACATGGGCCAAACTAACTTTGGGAGGAATTTAGTTTCTACTTTAGTTTTTAAACAAGATGATAACAGTCCTTTCCCAAAACAAACCTTACTGCCTATGGACTAAACTGCCTAAAGCCACACGATTAGAAGTTATAGTAATTTAACTGAATAATTCAAGATATAGCTATTTTCCTTAAACCAGTATCAATGTCTTATTTATTAAAAATTACACAAGCAAAGATCATTCTGTTTTGGGCTGGGTTTATAGTTTTCTAACCCTTATGACAAATTTTGACATCTTATAGTATTTGGCAGGGATAAGTATAAAATTGCTTGATCAATAAATGCAAACAAAAATATATGCTGGCAGTTCTTAAGACATTTCTAATATTACTTTACCAATAATTTTAAAGCCAACTTATTTATTAAAGTTATATAACCTTGAAAAAGCTTTTGACTAGTATTTTCTTTTTTCCTGATAAAGTATTTGATTCAAGTGCTTTTTTAAGTCAATTAGAGCTCTTATATATATGTATATATATGTAGTAAAACATTGTGTACACAACACATAAATACATAGATGTATTAGGCATGACAATAGAAGTACATCTTATAGATTCATAAGAACCTTTTTTCTTATCTTAGACTTTCAAATTCTCAATAATCTGTTTGCTACCATAGGCAGTTGTCAGCTAAATAGCCCTAAATCTGCATATTGAAGGAAAACAACTTGTAGATAAAAACTCAGATAGCAAAATTTACATCTTAAAGTACTGAGAGAAAAAGTCTAATGGTGCTAGAGAGAAATTAAAGATGGATACCAAATCAAACATAAAATTATAGAAATCTATCATAAGATTGTATGAGGAGACCAATTTTATTTAGCTAGGAACTTCCTCTCTTTTTTTTTTTTTTTTTTTTTTTGAGAGGGAGTCTCGATCCATCACCCAGGCTGGAGTGCAGTGGTGCAGTCTTGGCTCACTGCTAGCTCCGCCTCCTGGGATCATGCCATTCTCCTGCCTCAGCCTTCCGAGTAGCTGGAACTACTGGCGCCCGCCACCACGTCCAGCTAATTTTTTGTATTTTTTAGTAGGGACAGGATTTCACGGTGTTAGCCAGGATGGTCTCAATTTCCTGACCTCATGATCTACCCGCCTAGGCCTTCCAAAGTGCTGGGATTACAGGCGTGAGCCACCGCACCCTGCCGGAACTACCTCTCTTTTAACTGGATCTCTGAGCTCTGGGCAGAGCCCATACTGAATCCTGGGTCTCCAAAAATGGAGAATTATTATGAAGCTAGACCATGTGATGCTTTTACAGTGCACTTAAAAAAATTTTTTTTAAACAAAGGCATTTCTAACTGTCTAAACTACACTCTTCCTTAAAAACCCAAGAGTAGCCTCTGTTGCAATAACTATTTTAGTCAATAAATCAGGTAACACAACACAAAAGGAAGCAATTTAAGAGCTGAGATGAATTTGTCTGCTTACACTCTCAGGGTTCCATAAGGAAAAACAGGTCTCTCCCCAAAGGGAGTCTGGCACCTTCTCCATCTTCTTTAAGAAACCCTAGGCTATTATAAACTATTTTAAGTCCCTCATGCAGCAGAGGGCGCAAGAGAAAGGAGAGACAGCACCAGTAAATTTAGAAAACAGAATTCAGTCAACTGAAAAGAAGAAAACTTTCGCTCAAGAAAAGAACGAGGTCCTGGGAGAAAAAAAAAAAACAACACTTGAAGGCCTTTTAAATACAAACACACACACATGCATGCACATACACACACAACTTGGATGTTATCTTTTAATTAAACTGACTTTTAACCACTGAACTCCTTTTAAAAAATCCTTTTAAGGCCAGGCGCAATGGCTCATGCCTGTAATCCCAGCACTTTGGGAGGCTGAGGTGGGCAGATTACCTGAGGTCAGGAATTCATGACCAGCCTGGCCAACATGGTGAAACCCCGTCTCTACTAAAAATACAAAAAATTAGCCGGACGTGGTGGCATGTACCTGTAATTGCAGCTACTCAGGAGGCTGAGGCAGGAGAATTGCTTGAACCCAGGAGACAGAGGTTGTAGTGAGCCAACATCACGCCATTGCACTCCAGCTTGGGCTAGAAGCGCAAAACTCTGTCTCGAAAAAAAAAAATCCTTTTAAATCTCATTACCATATTTCAGCTAGAACAAATTGCTGCTATTTCAGAAGTACCAAATATCAAACCAGAAAGGGCTTAATTTAGGAAACAAAACCAGGCTGTCATAGTAGGAAAAAAGAAGGCAGAACCCTTAGCTATGGGACTGCACTGTGGGGTGACAGCCATTGCTATTTCAGTTTGGCCCGCCTAGATAAAAGGTGACCTTGTTATGTAAATAAAGCCCCTTAAATAGTCAAAATAAAAAAATCTTTCCCTCCCCTCCTCCCCACCACCACCACCTTTTGCTGGTCATTTTTCTCCCAACACCACACCACCTCTTTTTGTGTGTGGAAATTTAGCCACTTCAGAGGCCTTGTTCCCCATAATTTGGAACTTGCCTTCAGACATGATCAAGTCAGATAGAGTTGATCTAACCCAAATGGGAAAAAGAGCAAAACAACAACAAAAACAGAAACAAACTAATAACAATAAAAACAACATCATCTGTTTTAAGCAAAACAAATGATGGCAAAACTTGTACGATTACTGAGCACTCTAGTGGTAAGGAGAAATTAAGACCAGCTGGTTATTAATCTTAACTTTGACCAAGACAAACCCTAATTCAGTTACTTATGAAGGGATGGGTCTCAGGCTGAAGACTACTCTCTACCATCCTAGAAACTGGAAAAATCTCGAATTCATCTTCCCTACTGGAAGTGAGCTCAAACTCCATAAATGAGTTACCTGCCTTCCATCACCATGAAAGCAATAAAAACTTGCCTTCCTTGTGTAAAACTCCAAAAACAAAACAAAACAAAACAAAACAAAAAACAGAAGTTGTACAGCAAAATAAACTTTAGATCTTGACCAAATTTGGGGAGATCAGGGATTCTCCGGAGGGGGTACTTCTAGGCCTCAGTAAATTGTCTTATTGGTTTGAGCCACAAAGATAGCTCAAGCAGATACCAAGCACTGATAGGAGATTTGTCAAAGGTCTGGGGCACCTCCACTCAGAATCCCTTAATGGTTACCAAAACGTGAACCCTGAAAATCTGAGATAGGTCTCAGTTAACTTAGACAGATTATTTTGCCAAGATTGAGGACACATGCCTATGACACAGCCTCCAGAGGT